>NC_000014.9:45236713-45861713 GCF_000001405.40 Homo sapiens | reverse complement strand
GATTGCTTGAGCTCAGGAGTTCAAGACAAGCCTGTACAACTCAGTGAGACCCTATCACTACAAAAGCTAAAAAAAAAAAAAAATTAGCTGGGCATGGTGACACGCACCTGTATCCCAGATACTCAAGAGGCTCAGGTGGAAGGATCACTTGAATCCAGGAGACTGAGACTGCAGTGAGCCATGATCACACCACTGCAGTCAAGCCTGTGTGACAGAGCGAGACACTGCCTCAAAAAAAAAAAAAATCATTTGACCATAAATACCTAGATTTCAATTGACCATAAATACCTAGATTTATTTCTGGACTTTCTATCCTGTTCCATTGGCTTGTGTGTCTGTTTGTATGCTAGTACCATGCTGTTTTGAAATAAAAGAGTAAGATGCTTCTAGCTTTGTTCCTTTTGCTCAGTATTGCTTTGCCTATTTAAGGTCTTTCTCGTTCCATACAAATTTTAGCATTGTTTTTTCTATTTCTGTGAAAAATGACATTGAAATATTCATCAAAATTTCATTCAATTTGTAGATTAGATTGTTTTGGGTAATGTGCATTTTAACAATATTAATTATTTCAATCCATGAACATAAGCTATCTTTTCATTTATTTGTGTATCCTCCAATTTCTTTCATCAGTGCTTTATAGTTTTCAGTGTACATATTTTTCACATGCTTTGCTAAATTTGCTCCTAAGGATTTTATTTTACTTTATTTTATGTTTTTTAGGGGACAGGATCTCACTCTGTCACTCGATCTAGGGTGTAGTGGCATAATCATGGTTCACTTCCACCTCAATCACCTGGGCTCAAACAATCCTCCCACCTCAGCCTTCCAAATAGCTGAACTCAACACTTGACAAAATGGAACTAACAGAAATCTATGGAACACTCCATACAACAACAGAAAATGTATTCTTCTCATTGGCACATGGCACATACTGTAAGATTGACCACATGCTTGGCTATAAAGCAATTTTAGCAAATTCAAATAAAATAAAATCATACCAACCACACTCTCAGACTACAGCACAACAAAAATAGAAATCAATCCCAAGAAGATATTTTGAACCCATACAATTACATGGAAATTAAACAATCTACTCCTGAATTATCTTTGAGTAGAGAATGAAATTAAGGCAGAAATAAAGAAATTATTTGAAACTAATGACAACAAATACAACACACCAGAATTTCTGGGACATAACTACAGAAGTGTTAAGAGGAAATTTTATAGCACTAAATGCCTACATCAAAAAGTTAGAAAGCTCTCAAATCAACAACTTAACATCACACCTAGAAGAACTAGAAAAACAATAGCAAACCAACCTCAAAGCTGTCAGGAAAACATATTTAAAAAAATCAGAGCTGAACTGAACAATATTGAGATGCAAAAATCCATACAAAAAAATCAAAGAAAGCAAAAGTTGGTCATCTGAAAGAATAAATAAGATTGATAGACCATTAGCTTGACTAATAAAAAAGAGAGAAGACCCAAGTAAACACAATCAGAAATGACAAAGTTGACATTACCACCAATGCCAAAGAAATACAAAAAAAAAAAAAATCCCTGAAGTCCAAATCAAGAACTCAATTCAATTCACAACTGTCACTGACAGGATAAAATACTTAGGAATACAGCTAAACAGGGAAGTGAAATATCTATACAACGGGAATTACAAAACACTGCTGAAAGAAATCAGTGACAACATAAACAAATGGAAAAATATTCCATGCTCATGTATAGGAAGAATCAATATTGTCAAAATAGTTCTACTTCACAAAGCAATTTACAAATACAATGCTATTCCTATCAAACTACCAAACTTATTTCACAAAGTTAGGAAAAGCTGTTTTAGAATCCATAGAAAATCAAATAAGGAGCCCAAATAGCTAAAGCAATCCAAGTGAAATAAACAAAGCTGTAGGCATCACATTACCCAATTTCAGACTATACTGCAAGGCTACAGTAACTAAAATAGTGTGGTATTGGTACAAAAACAGACACATAAGCCAATGGAACAGGTTAGAGAAACCAGAAATAAAGTCGCACACCTACAACCATCTGGTCTTTAGCAAAACTGACAATAACAAGTATGGAGGAAATGGCTCCCTATTCAATAAATAGTGCTGGGATAACTGGCTAGCTATATGCAGGAGACTGAAACAGGACCCCTTCCTTATACAGTATACAAAAACCATTCAAGATGGATTAAAGACTTAAATGTAAAACCTAAAGCTATAAACACCCTAGAAGAAAATCTAGGAATACCATTCTGGATATAGGCTTTGACAAAAATTTCACGGCAAAGACTCCAAAAGCAATTGCAACAAAACAAAAAATTGACAAATGGAGCCTAATTAAACTAAAAATCTTCTGCACAGCAAACAAAACTATCAGCAGAGTAAACAGACAACCTACAGAATAGGAGAAAATATTTGCAAGCTATGTGTCTGACAAAGGTCTAATATACAGAATATATAGAGAATTTAAACAAATCAACAAGCAACCCCATTAAAATATGGGCAAAGGACATGAACAGACACTTCTCAAAGTAGAACTTTGAACACTTCTCAAAGAGAACACTTATATTTTGTTGGTGGGAATGTAAATTAGTTCAGCCACTGTGGAGAGCAGTTTTGAGATTTTCCAAAGAACTTAGAAGAGAACTACCATTCAACCCAGCAGTCTCATTACTGGATATATACCCAAAAGAATAGAAATTATTCTACTGTAAAGACACATAAGCATGTATGTTTATTACAGCACTTTTCACAATAGCAAAAACATGGATTCAACTTACATGCCCATCAACAGTAGACTGGATAAAGAAAATGTGGTACATATACCCTATGGAATAATACACAGCCAAAAAAAAGAATGAAATCATGTCCTTTGCAATCATATGGATGCAGCTGGAAGTCATTATCCTAAGCAAACTAACACAAAAACAGAAAACCATATACTGTATGTTCTTACTTATAAGGGGAGCTAAACATTGAGTACACATGGACACACAGACAGAAATAATAGACACTGGAGATACCTTGAGGTTTGAGGGTGGGAGGAAGGTGAGGAGAAAACTACCTATCAGGTACAATTTACTACCTGGGTGAAAGCTTGTACACCAAAGCCCAGCAACACACAATTTACCTGTGCAACAAACCTGCACATGTACTCCCAAACCTGAGATAAAAGATTAAAAAATCAATAGATATTATAAAGCTCTAGCTAGAATTATAAGAACTAAAAAATAAGGTGCAAAGTATGAGTGTTAAGAATGAAAGAAATTAACACATCACTATAGAACATACAGACAAAAGATGATAAAGAAATATTATGAACAACTTTGTACCAATAAATTCAACAACTTAGATAAAATGGACATCACAAAAGATGCTGCCAATATTAAAAGAACAATAACGGAAATTTATGAATAAACCTATGGCCATATATTCAAAAACCTAAGTGATATGGGAAAATTTCATGGAACATCGGAATTACCGAAACTAATAAATGAGAAAATTATTTATTTTCTCATTTAGAACAGCTCTTATGTACTAAGAAAACTTATTTTGAACTTTAAAGCCTTCCTCAAAAGGCAACTGCAGTCTATTGGTTTACATGCTGCATCCTAGTCAGCATTTAAATAAGAATAATAGGATACTATCCTAATTCCATGAGAAAAAGCAGGGGAAAACACTCCTAAATAATTTTATGAATCCAACATCTAAAAACCAAAGGCAGAAAAAGACATTACAAAAAAGAAAACTATAGAACAACATTCTTCAATATATATGCAAAAGTTCTTAACAAAATACTAACACACCTAACGCAATAATATATAAAAAGGATAACACTTTATTACAACTGGAGTTTATCCTGAGAATGCAAGGCTGGCTGGCTCAACTTCAATCAACAGACTAAAGGAGAACCACATATTAATCTAATAAATACAGAAAAGTAATATGACAATGCTGGATGTGGTGGTTCACACCTGTAAACCCAGCACTTTGGGAGGCCAAGGCGGGTGGATCACTTGAGGTCAGGAGTTCAAGACCAGCCTGGCCAACATGGTGAAACCCCATCTCCATGAAAAATACAAAAAGTAGCCGGGTATGGTGACAAGTGCCATTAGTCCCAGCTACTCGGGAGGCTGAGGCCCCCGGAGACAGATGTCACAGTGAGCCGTGGTCATGCCACTGCAATCCAGCCTGGGTGACAGAGTGAGACTATGTCTCAAAAAGAAGAGAAAAGTAATATGACAAAATGCAATAACCCTTCATTATAAAAATACTAGTAAACTAGTAATAAATGGATATTTTCTGAACCTGATAAACATCATTACAAGAAAATATATAGCTAACATTATAATTAATATGAATTGTTGAATATTCCCCCTAAAATTGAGAAGGAAGAATATTTATTCTCATCATACCTATTCATGTTGTACTCAAAGTCATAACTAGTGCAATCAAGCAAGATAAAGAAATATAAGGAAAATTAATTGAAAAGGAAGAGATAGACTTCTCCCTATTTTCAGACAAAATGATGCTGCATATAGAAATCTCTATGGAAATAAGTTAGCAGAATTAGTAAGGGTGTTTGGCATGGTCGCAGAAAATAAGGTGACCTTGAGAAACAAAATAAAAGAGAAATGACACATATCCACACAAAGACTTGGTATGTAAATGTTCATAGCTGTTTTATTTATAACCAGAAACTGAAAACAACTCCAATTTCCATCAATAGTTGAATGGATAAACAAAATGCAGTATGCATTAATATACAACCAAGCAATTAGTAAAACATACCTAGAATATATTCAACAATGTAAGGCAGAGAAAAAAAAGCAATCCAGACACAAAAGGATGCATACAGTATAATTTGAGTTTTATTAAATTCTAAAAAAGTAAATCGCATCTATTATGACAGAAAGCTGATCAGTGTTTGCTTGAGGTCAGTGTAGGAATTGACTAGGAAAATACATATATGGAGAGTTCACCTGTAGGTGATTTGGTCAACAAACTCAGAGGAGCACACACTCCAGATTATCCCAGTACAAGTGCAAGATCTGTGATTTAAGAGGTTTCCAAGAAGATTCCAGTTACCAACCAATTCCCTATTATCAGATGGGACCACATACATCTTGTGGAAGAAATATGCAAATCCAGCTGTAATTTGTTCAAATTCCTGACACGTAGAATTTCTTTTTTTTTTATTAGTAATAACAATAGGCACAATTTATGTAGACTTTATTATGTCTTAAGCACTCTTCTATGTTTTTAATAAACTGTTTCATCTTATTCTTTTCTCAACACTGTAAAGTAGCTATTATTTTTTCTATTTTAAAGATGAGAGAATTGAGGTTTAATGTGATTAAGCAACTTGCTCAAGATCACATATCTCAAAAGTAGCATATGCAGCACTCAAATTCAGGACCACTTCAATTCAAACTCCATATTATTCAAAGAAAATGCAGGGGATTGAAATATTAAAGCTATTTCATAGGTACAGCTAGAGAATTTGAGTGGCTTGACCAAATTTTAAAGCAATAAATTACAAACTGGTCCCACAACTTTCTATACCCAGTTTCGTCTCAATAATAATAAAATTTGGAGTGAAATAGTATAATTCTGAGCATTCCTTACAAGAATATAGAGTTATGATCAGAGAATTTGATGAAATTCAGAAGCAAAATTAATAAAATAAGGCATATACAAAGTAGTTTTTTGTACAGGCCAAAGCAAGACATCCATATAAACCTTAACTGATATTGTTAATAAAAGTAATAAGGAAGAAAGACTGGATCCAGGTGGAAATGAGGATACTTGTCTTCTAATTTTCCTCCTACAATGACAAAACAGAGATTTTAAGGAATGTAAATGAATAAAAGCAGAAATAACCAATCAAAAAGGGTCTAAGGATGTATTAGTCAGGGTTCTGCAGGGAAACAGAACCAATAGAATGAGTGTGTGTGTGTGTGTGTGTGTGTGTGTGTGTGTGTGTACGTATGTGTCTAGGGAAAGAGGGAGAGAGATTGATTATATGCAATTAGTCACATAATTATGGATACTAGTAAGTCCAAAAGCTGCAGCATGGGCTGGCAGGCTGGAGCTGGAGGACAGCCTGGGAAGGTAAATACAGTTCCTCACTAAAGGCGGTTGGCTGGAGAATACCTTCCTGCGAAAGGATGCCAATCATTTTGTTCTAGTCAGGCAATCAATTGATTGGATGAGCCCCACCCATATTATAGAGAGCTACTTACTCAAAGTTCACCAATTTAAATGTTTATCTCACCCCAAAACAACCTGTAAGTTAACATATAAAGTTAACCATTACAAGGAGGTAAATATTAAGTGAGAAGTTCTGAAGAATTACTAAAAAAAAGTAGAAAAACTTCAAATAAACAACCTAACAATGTATCTTAAAGAAGTAGAAAAGAAAGAGCAAATCAAACTCAAATTTAGTAGAAGAATATAAATAATACAGATCAGAACAGAAATAGATGAAATTGCCAAGAAGAAAACAATACAAAATATCAATGGAATGAGAAGTTTATTTTTTGAAAAGATAAAACAAAATTGACAAACCTTTAGCCAGACTAACTGAGAAAAAAAGAGAGAAGAGCCAAATAAATAAAATCAGAGATGAAAAAGGAGACATTACTAATTATACCAGAGAAATTCAAAGGATCATTAGAGGCTACTATAAGCAACTAAGGTCTGAAGTAATTTAGCACCTTTATTTTCAGACCCAATATTCACACTAAGATCCCTTACCAGAGTTCAGTTTGTTTAGAATGTGATCCCCAAGGCCAGGGGGTGAACCCTTAATGTGTATAGGGGAGGGAGGGAGATGAGTCCGACTGATCCAGCTCTTTCAATAGCTTGCCTTTAGTTAATGGCCTCGATGAATGCTACGGGTTCTCTTTAATGATGTCTTTCGTATAATTTGGGCAGTGTTTTTCCTTTCTTATGCTTCTTTGACACGTAGAATTTCTAAGTATTAGAAAATTTTTGCTGATTTATGCCACCAAATTTGGGGTAATTTGTTACCAGTAATATTTAAGCAGAATAAAGACACCTAGGCACACAATAGTAAAACTGCTGAAAATACAAGAAAAAAAGAGAAAATCTTAAAAGCAGATAAAGAAAAAGATACATTAAATTCAAAACGATAGCAAACAAAAACTTATTAATAATATCAATATAAACTATGAAAATTACAATATAATGTAATATCTTTACATCGCTGAAAGTTTCTGGCAACATACAATTCTGTATATTCTATAATGAAAGTGAGATAAGAATATTTATGGACAGATAATTTATAATCAGCAGACCTGCACTAAAAGAAATACAAGAATAGAAAATATTAATAGCGGCATTATTCATAATAGCTAAAAACTGGAAATAGTCCAAATGTCTCTGAATGGGTAAAAAGTAAACAAAATGTGGTATATCCATGCAATGGAATACTATTCAGCAAAAAGGAGTGACCTACCGATATATGCTAACAAAAAAAGATGACCCCTAAGAATATTATTCTAAGTTAAAAAAAAGCCAGGCATAAAGACTACATATTGATTTTATGTATATAAAATCTCCGTAGTAGGAAAATTTATGAAGACAGAAGGCAGAACATCACTGGGGCCAGAAATCACCTGTATGAGAACCCTTTTTAGGACAAATTGCTCTAAACTGGATTGTGGAGATGATTTCAGAACTCTATAAATTTACTAAAATTAATTGAATTGCTTGCTTATAATGGATGAATTTTATGTTATAAAAGTATGCCTTAATAAAGCTCTTAAGCAAACTAAGGAAACAAAATGCTTGAAAATAAAATCTTAGAGGAAAAAATATACCAGGAAGGTACTACACTGTACTAAAAGACATCTTGGTCACAATACTAGTATCCATCCAAATACAGTGTATGTAAATTAATGACTATTTTTCTAATATTTTTTAAAAAGTATTAAAACTTTTAAGTACTTTATTCTAACACTATTTTAGAGTATATTCTATCTCTTGGGCAGTAATTATTCACTGACATTGCTCCTAAAACGTTGCTACTAATTTTCAAAAAAAGTTTCCCCAATTTTATTCGTATTTTCCTCTTGCATAGTGTTTCCTTATTAGTCTCAAAATGTCTAATTATAGAAAGAGTTCTGGTATTTCTATTTTAGAAAACACAAACTAAAGCTCAGAGAAGTGGAACAAATTTTCCAAATGTGACTCTGGCAGATTTCTTAATTATGATGATCAAACTCAATATCCCTTAGTCACATTGCCTTCCTGTGCTGAACTAGATATATTTTCAATTCAGATATAAAATATAAAATGAAAATATTTATTGTTTATCCTCTCTCAATTGGCAAAAACATAGAATATACCTATAATCACCATCCATATCAAAAGAAAGTTAAATCACACTGTATTCTGATAGATATATTACCCTCAGTTTTTCTGGTGTGTATCATATGTGGGTATGGGTGTATTTATTTTAAATGTGTAGCCATCCACTCTTGGATGGCATAGTAAAGAGATTAGAGACATAGCCAAATGCACTCTGGTCCAGAGCTATAAACAGGAGATGACTCCAAGGGGAGCCAACCTGCCTAAGATAACAATTCAGTAGAGTAGTATTATCTGTCAAGCCATAATTACAAATATCTTTATAGCCTTGTTTGAGAGACTTTAGTAATTCTCCTAATCAGTCTCAAAAATTATCCGTGGGATCTGAACAAAGCAGCAGAGGAAACATTATGCACACTTTATAACCAATGCTTTCTTCCAGAATGAAAATCAAAGGTTAGCTTCCCACTCCCTAATTCAGTTGAAAGATGGACAGAAAGAGAAATCAACCACTGAGAGTAATAGCTGCACACATGTTATATAAGTTAAGTATCCATAGATTTTGCAGGGAAGGGATTCTAAAGCTATTAAGGCAAATTAGAAGAGGACTATTACCTGACAGAAAGGCCTAGCTTAAAAGAAATTATTATTTTTCCCATCAGGTACTGTTGCCTCAATGGGGTAAAAGTTCATTAGTAACATTATTATTTTTCATTAAAATGTAATTGATCAATAAAATTGTACATAATTATGGTCTACAGCATGATATTTTTATATATGTATACATTGTGAAATTATTAAATCAAGCTAATTAACGTGTACATTACCTCATATACTTATTTTTCTGTGGTGAGAACATTTAAAATCTACTCTCTTAGCAATTTTCAAGTATACCATCATTATTATTAACTATAATAGCCATGTTACACAATAGATATGCAGAATGTGTTCGTTCTAACTGAAGCTTTGCACCCTTTGATCAACGTCTGTCCCCATTCCATGCCTCCTTCAACGTTAGTAACATTATTAACATATTGACTAGTGTGCTACGAGCTAAGAGAATTTTAGAATCTGTATGTTATACTAACAAAAATCTCCTCATCTTAATTTTTCAGATACCACAGGATTAGTTTCGACAATGTTGACAGTCATTTCTAGACACTAAAAAGAATGTCCAGGTATTTCTAAACACAATAGCTTCAGCATGGGTCTTATAATATTGACTTCCCTATTCCACCTCAAACTCTGCCTGAAACTAGCCAAAGCTGTAAGTGCCTAGAACCATTCCAGTGTTTGGAGATAGAGGACAAGTGCTTAATCATTTCCATTCCAGGATATCTTCTAATCAATAGCTTTAAATACACAGAAAATACTAACTGAAATCCACACACCCAAGCTTCAAACATAAACATGAATAACAATTATCTAAATAGAATTCATCAACTCTCCCTACCATCAGGGTCCTTTCCCAACCTTCCAATTACCATCAGCAGTCAATTCCCCTCTCCTCCCAGCTTGATTGCCCTTCATAGTTAATCAAACATCTGCCAATTCCTCCTCTGCAACAGTCTGTGGTCTGGGAATGACCTGCATCAGAATCACCATGAGTGCTTGTTAAAATACATATTGCGGTGCCCTGCTCCAGACCTACTGAATCTGAACATCTACAAAATGATCCCTAGAATCTGCATTTTCATTCACTCCACCAGTGATTTTACCATACCTCAGAGTTTCAGAATCATTCATCTGAGTCTAGATTTTCAAATACTTCTGCCTCTTCTCTAGTCTGGGTCCTTATTGCTGCACATCAAGAAGCCGATAATGGTCTGCCAGCTTATCTCTATCCTCTAGTGCCTTCTCCAGTCCACCTCACATACCACTGTGCAAAAACCTCAACACTCTTTTCATCAAAAATCCCTTTTGTTTGAAATGTTTAGTTAGTTCTTTTTTAATCTTACTTAAGAAAAAACTCAAACTTCCCCACTGAACATTTAAAACCTTCTGTGAAAGGATTCCAGTGTGTCTGGCTCACTAATATTTCTCATCACTCCACTCTAGGGTCGCACTGATCACTTCAGATCAGACTAAATGGCAACCTTATTTCTTACACATCCTCCTTTTTCTCATCTCCACACCATCCATCTTTCTGTTCATCTGCTCTATGCCTCTCCATAGTTTTCCAAAATTTGATACTTCACACAAGAAAGAAATCCAGAATCACCTGCCTTAAAGTGGTAGGGAAGACACTGAAATGTCATGAGTTAGTACAGTTTTTAAAAATCCTAGTAGTACTAGGCACTGCTAAGTCATTTGGAGCACATTTATCTAATAAATGTGAAATAACATAGCCAGATACTGGATACATTACAAGAACTCAATCAAAACTAATTTATTTACTTCACTCTACTGTTTATTTTGTAGTATTGCAGTTATGATCTTTGTTGGCATATTACCTTTTTAAGTAATCTGTTTCTATGGGAAACAGGCTCTAATTTTTATAGGAAACCCATTTCCTATGGTCTTGTTGGGGCTGACATCTCTCCATTATCACAACCACTGGGGTGGGCACATGACGCAGGACCAACAAAATCAGGAGTATTCCATCCAGCTAGACACACAAACACCAAGCTGAAGAAACTGGTTCAGGGATTGGCATTTCTCCCAAGTCAATCAGTTACATCTCTAGAAATTTTGTTGGACTCTGAAGAAGTGGACACTAATCATTGAAACTGCTGGCTTTGCCTTTGAAGTAAGCGTAGAGGTACTAGTTGTCCGCTTGATTACCATGTTAGAAAATTTGTCCCAAAATTTAACTAACTCAAAGGCAAGTAAGATTCAGAAAGGGAAAGGTGATGTCTTCACAGCATCACTTTTTACTCCTGAATCCATCATGCCTGACAGCTAACGGCAAACTTTTCATTTATTGGAGATAATAAATTTCTTTGGAGTTCAAATGGTTTCCACTATTTTTCTGTCACTTTTAAACAGGATATCTCTGATACAAGAATAACAGGAATTGATGTGTGACAAGTAACATAATTTAAATGTGAAAGGGATTGAATCAATAAAGATGAGGACCTGAGAGGTGAAGGAAGTACCTGGATGAGACATTGACTTGCCTCGCTTTACTTTGAGAAAGAGTGCACTATTGGTTGTCTCATAGTTTCACTGTCTAATATTTCCATTGTCAGGCAGTGGCACTTTGAAATAATGCATACAAGAAGTAAGCTTGTTGTTAAGTAGCCAAGTAATGAATGGTAGTAGACTGTGATAACCATGCTTTTTGTCTGTTCACCATGCTTCTCATTCTCTTCTTGTTACACAGCCTTTCTTTTTCATGGAAAGCCCATTTTATGGCACTTCACATTGCATCCCCCATTCCCACAAGGATTAGTTTATGATCCAAAATGGGTGAATCAGAGCACCCTAAAATTGGTCACAGGGACATTCAGGGATGGCACATAACCTAGGACAGACTAATCACAACCTTCCTTGGGGCTTTAGCTGCAAGTAACAGGGGAAAAGAAGTCATATTTTTTTGTATTGAAACTGCTAGCTATGAAGATAAAATGAGTATATAACTTTCCTTCAATGGCCAACCCTACTACCATTCAGGAAAATACGGCCTGAAATTAAAGCCAACACAGGAAAAAGAAGAGAAGACGAATGGAGAGAGAGTAAGTGGCCTAATGGCATCCATCTAGCCAGAGGTAGCTTTGTCCTCTATATTTCTAAGCTGTGTAGACCATAAACCCATTTTCCTCAAACTAATTAAGCTGAGTTTTTGTCATTTGCAACTGACAAATTTGATCAGTGCTTACATGTCACCTCACAAATATTCTACAGTTTTCTCAGATACATTAAATATATTTCTTCTAACTTAGCAGTAATCCCTTTGAGAAAAAGAAATCATATCATTGATTTCTTTTTTTTATCTTTCTAGCTGTAATAGAACATTAGAACCCATTACATGGAAATATGGGAGAAAAGTTAACAAATTAATTTATAACAAATGTTTACACCATCTATTTTTTCAGTTTTCTAACCCTATTTAATTACTTACCTCCAAAAAAAAAAAAGTACTTAAGGATACATTATTCCAGGCAGAATATACAAGTAACTAATTGGATTCCAATCCCTTAGAAGCTTTTCAGAGGTCTACAGCTTTTATATTAAAAACCCATTTCAAATATTACAATTCTTCTTGAAATGTGAGGATTTCAAACTCACAAAATAACTGAACCATTGAGCAGTAATTATAGCACATTCACCAGTGTCACATGAAAACCTTTTTTCAGTGTCTTTAAAAGAATGTATTCTAATGCAGTATTTCGAGTTCAACCATCAACCCTGTATGATGATTTAAGAAGTATTTACTGCCATGGCTCTGTTCTCTTATATAAGCTTGGTTTAATAATTATTATTAATATGCAAAAGGTCCAATACAAAATATTAGTGAACTTAGTGAGGGCACTGAATGGTGGCTGTGATGATTACTTTTACATGTCAACATGACTAGGTTAAGGAATAGCCAGATAGCGGGTAAAACATTATTTCTGAATGCGTATGTGAGGTCTTTCCAGAAGGGATTAGCATTTGAATCAGTAGATCAAAGATGACTGAGTAAGATCCACCCTCACCAATGTGGGTAGACATCATCTAATCTGTTGTAGATCCAAATAGAACAAAAAGGTGGAGGAAGGGTGTCTTGGTTCATTTTATGCTGTTATACCACAATTCCTGAGACTAGGTAATTTATAAAAAACAAAACTCTATTGGCTCACACTTCCGGAAGTTCAATACTGAGGGGCCGACATGTGACACAGGCCTTCTTGCTGCATTATTCTATGGCAGAGGTGAAAGGCTCAGAGAGTAAACAAGAAAGAGACAAAAAAGGGGCGAACATGTCCTATTATATGAAATCCTTTTAAAAGCTTCCTGTGGCCTTACCAGAAGCTGAGCAGATGCCTTTGCCATGCTTGTATAGCCTACAGAACTGTGAGCCAAATAGACTTCTTTTCTTTATAAATTACCCAGCTTCAGGTATTCCTTTATAGCCACACAAAACAGACTAATACAGACATTAATCCATTAATCAGGGCAGAGCCCTCATGGCCTAATCACCACTTAAAGTTCCCACTTCTTAATAATGTTACAATGGTAATTAAATTTCAGCATAATTTTAGGGGCTGGGGAGACAAACATTGAATCCATAGCAAAGAGCAAATTCATTCTGTCTTCTGGAGCTGGGACATTCGCCTTCTCCTGTCTTCAGACACTGGAGCTTTCCTAGTTCTCAGACATTTGAACTTTGAATTCCAGGACTTATATTACAGGGACCCCCAGTTTTCAGGCCTTAAGACACAGACTGAATTACACCACCAGCTTATGTGTGTGTGTGTGCATGTGTGTGTGTGTGTACCTTCTATTGGTTCTGTCTTGCTAGAGAGCCCTGACTAGTACAAGAGCTCTTTAATCACTTCCTAGAGCCCCACATCCTAATACCACCATTATCGGGGTTAGGATTTCAACATAAGAATTTTGGGAGACACAAACATTCAGACTGTAGCAGTAACCAACTTTCTCTCCCTTCTTATTATATTTTGAAAGATGTTTCTGACTTTTCATATTTTTCTCTCTTGAAATCTGCTACTTTGCTTTATATCTTAGAATAATTTATAAAGTTAAATATTTACTTGCTTTAAATAAATGCATTAGCTATTTACCTCCCCTCTGCATCAATAAAATAAAAAAACTTCACCCAGAGGTGAATAGTTTGGACAGAACATTGTATTAAGAAATTTACTGGGAATTCCAAGGCTAAATAGTCTCTGCCCAGAGATCCTTAGGGATTTTTCCAGTCAGTTCCACTCATTAAATATATACTCAATATTAGGTGACAGATCCAGACCATTACCCATAAATCACCCATGCATTTGAAGAAGAGAGTGTGGGATGGTGGTACTTGAAGTGTAGAAGTAAAAGGCACAATATCCAACAGGTTGCTAGAGAAATGACTGAAGGAAATAGGAAGGGAAAGGAAAGCTTAGCCAATGAAATCTCACTTCTATGGGATTTTCCTTAAATTCCAACATTGTCCCTCCTCAGATCATATCCCTGGGCCTACTATAGCAAATGAAATAAGTCTTCTCACATAACAAGGCAGATACAAAAAATGTAATGAAATAGGAAGGACAGACACTAAGATGTGAAATAGCAATGCCCGTGGTCCAAAGATTTACAAATTGCTTCTGAGAGTTTGCATCACAGCAATTTTCACTCACTTTGAAGGTTTCTTAAGGGCAAATAATTTTTTCCTCCTCTAGCAAACAATTTCACTTGCAAAAGGACAAAGGTATACTGTGTACATCCAGACACCAAAGCTAATAAAGCAAACCTGATAAAAGGAGGTCTGGAATTGAATCTCTTCCAAATGATCTTGTTCTCTCCACTGGGAAAAAGCACTTAGTGTATTAGTCACACATTAGCAGACTATGCATGCAGAAATCATCAGTAAAGAACTAATGCCTTTAAATAAATATCAGAAACCTGAGACTAAAAGAGAAATATTAATAAAGATACTGGGTTGTTTCCTTGCTCACTTCAATATTATTATGGAAAATGTTTGACTGACTTCTGTCTTTCAAATTTAGGAGATCAGATCTATAAAGAAAGACAATAAAGACATCTACCACTTAAAGCCACTGAAGCACTGTAAGGGGTTTTTTGAAAGACAATTCTAAAATGAATGTTGCTGTTGTTTGAGCAATGGCCTATGTCACTTTCTGATATTATCCATAGAGAACTATCTCATAGTCAGGTTAAAGCAGACTGAACCCCACTTAAGCAAACATTGAATATTAAAGTTAGTCTAAGTTTAACTTATGCTGGCAAATACAGTTATGGCAAAGTGATAATTGCCAGATCACTAGAAATATCACATAACACACATATTTCCACCATATAACTCCTATTAGCAAAACAGTATATAACAGAAAATCTAAAATTAGAACAATTTTGCACAAGGATATAGAGTATGCATTCTGAATCCTTTTTATTTTGGATATCATATATTGGGCCACTACCAAATAAAATATTTTTTAACTTTTCTTCTTATTATTAACTGTATGCAAAATAAGGTACACAGAGAAACATGCTTAGCATGTGCTTACTACTTTTTGCTGCAGAGCTGATAACGGCATTTCTCGATAAAATGATGTGTTATGATAAGCTATAATACACTGCCTGCTAGAAATGGCCAATAATTATAAGAAAACATTTTCAGATTCACTATTAATCAGTGAAATGCACACTAAAACATATATTAGATGCTATTTTTCACCTGGAGAATTGGGGCATATTTAAAAGCTCAATAATACCCAGTGTTGGTGAGGGTGTAAAGAAACAAATATTCTTCTGCCCTACACTTGGCAAGGGAGGCAGAAATGGGCTACATGTCCAAACCTTTAAAAATATGTACACTCTTCTTCAAGAATTCCATTTCTGGAATTTTATCTAAAGAAAACAATCATTCAAGAGTTCAAATGTCTACTGCCATAGTATCGTTAAAAAGTAATAAAAATACTCAGGGAGTGGTGGCTCTTGCCTGTAATCCTAGCACTTTGAGAGGCCGAGGCAGGCAGATCATCTGAGGTCCGGAGTTCGAGACCAGCCTAACCAACATGGAGAAACCCTGTTTCTACTAAAAACACAAAATTAGCCGGGCGTGGTGGCGGCTGCCTGTAATCACCTGTATAAATTAGAATAATTTATAAAGTTAAATATTTACTTGCTTTAAATAAATGCATTAGCTATTTACCTCCCCTCTGCATCAATAAAATAAAAAAACTTCACCCAGAGGTGAATAGTTTGGACAGAACATTGTATTAAGAAACTTACTGGGAATTCCAAGGCTAAATAGTCTCTGCCCAGAGATCCTTAGGGATTTTTCCAGTCAGTTCCACTCATTAAATATATACTCAATATTAGGTGACAGATCCAGACCATTACCCATAAATCACCCATGCATTTGAAGAAGAGAGTGCCTCAGGAGCCTGAGGCAGAAGAATCACTTGAACCCAGGAGGCGGAGGTTGCAGTGAGCCTAGATTGCGCCACTGCACTCCAGCCTGGGCAACAAGAGGGAAACTCCGTCTCAGGAAGAAAAAATAATAATAAAAGTAATGCAGCCAAAAAACACATGAAGAAATGCTCATCATCACTGGCCATCAGAGAAATGCAAATCAAAACCACTGTGAGATATCATCTCACACCAGTTAGAATGGCAATCATTAAAAAGTCAGGAAACAACAGGTGCTGGAGAGGATGTGGAGAAATAGGAACACTTTTACACTGTTGGTGGGACTGTAAACTAGTTCAACCATTGTGGAAGTCAGTGTGGCGATTCCTCAGGGATCTAGAACTAGAAATACCATTTGACCCAGCCATCTCATTACTGGGTATATACCCAAAGGACTATAAATCATGCTGCTATAAAGACACATGCACACATATGTTTATTGCGGCACTATTCACAATAGCAAAGACTTGGAACCAACCCAAATGTCCAACAATGATAGACTGGATTAAGAAAATGTGGCACATATACACCATGGAATACTATGCAGCCATAAAAAATGATGAGTTCATGTCCTTTGTAGGGACATGGATGAAATTGGAAACCATCATTCTCAGTAAACTATCGCAAGAACAAAAAACCAAACACCGCATATTCTCACTCATAGGTGGGAATTGAACAATGAGATCACATGGACACAGGAAGGGGAATATCACACTCTGGGGACTGTGGTGGGGTCGGGGGAGGGGGGAGGGATAGCATTGGGAGTTATACCTAATGCTAGATGACACGTTAGTGGGTGCAGCGCACCAGCATGGCACATGTATACATATGTAACTAACCTGCACAATGTGCACATGTACCCTAAAACTTAGAGTATAATAAAAAAAAAACATTAAAAAAAAAAAGAAAAAAAAAAAGAGGTTTTATAAAAACTGGATGCCAAATGTTGTTAAATACAGCTCTATATCTATTAATAGAATAATAGATATTTTCTCCTCTAATTTGTTAAATATAATACATTTTATTTATTGAATTTTAAGTATTAAACCATTTTTGCATCCATAGAATAAGCATAACATGTTCATTATGTATGTTATTGTACTGGTTTTATTTTACTTCTAAAATCAGTCTGCTAATACATTATTGAGAATATTTAAAAAAAAAAAGTAATAAAAATAAAAGTAAAAAAAAAATAAATGCTCAATGTGAAAATGTGGGCTTCTTTTTTTTTTTTTTTAGTACTTATTTTTGCAACAAGATGTGTTCTTTTCCTACCCAGAAAAACAAATATTGATTTCTTTGGAAAATATCTGAGAAATACAATAGTAGTATAAAAATTGCAACAAAATGAAACAGGGGGAGAGAAAGCAAGAGAGAAAGGAAGGAAGAAAAGACAACCCACAACATTCTGCACAAGTTCTTTAAATCTTAGATTTTTTACCAAGGCATAATGTTTGTAAATGTGCCTTCAAAAATCCATAGCCCTTCTTCACTTAGAAGCATTTAGTACCAAATAGTTCATATTACAGCTGAGAGAGATTAGAGGCTTATGTCATGTATAGAAGTACAGGACCTGTGTCTCCCAATTCTCATATCCACTCCATACTACACAGACCCTGCTTTATCCCACTGCCCACCATCTTACTCACTCCAATACTTTCTAATTCGTTTCCTCTCTCTCTCTGTATTTATCTATCTACCTATCAATCCAAATACCTACTTACCTACCTACCTACTATCCACCTTGCTTTTTACCTACAGATCAACTTACCTATGTACTCTCTCCATCCATTTTCATTCCATCCCAGCACTGTTCCATTCCCCCACCTTCTCTAAAAAATTCATTTTGACTAAATGAATGAAATTGTACTTTCTAAAAAAAATTATAAGCACAATGTGAAACCATTGCAGCTGTCTGGTAGGAGGCTACCATGGTAAAATTATTTTATGAGAAGCATGTGAACTACAATGGGAACAGGAATAGAGGTGGGAGAGACCAAAAGAATCTGTCATGAGGCTACTGCAATTAACTAGTCATGTGTAACTTAGTCTGTTTGGGCTGCTACAACAAAATACCATAGACTGGGCATTTTATAAACATAAATTTATTTCTCATAGTTCTGGAGGCTGAGAAGTCTAAGATCATGGCATCAGCAGCTTTGGTGTCTGCTTTCTGCCTCCTAGATGGTTCCCGTTACTATTTCCTCATATGGTGGAAAGGGTAAGGCAGCTCTCTTGGGCCTTTTCTATAAGGGCATTAAACCCATTCATGAGGGCTCTGTCCTCATGACCTAATCGCCTTCCAAAGGCTCCATCTCCTACTGCCATTGTGCCTGGAGTTGGTTACTGCAGGTGGGTTCGTGATCTCACTGACTTCAAGAATGAAGTTGCGGACCTTCGTGGTGAGTGTTACAGCTCTTAAAGATGGCATGGACCCAAAGAGTGAGCGGCAGCAAGGCTTATTGTGAAGAGCGACAGGACAAAGCTTCCAGAACCTGGAAGGGGACCCAAGGGTTGCGCTGCTGGCTGGGGTGACCAGCTTTTATTCCCTTATTGTCCCCTCTCATGTTCTATTTCTGTCCTATCAGAATGCCCTTTCTTCAATCCTCCCAGCAATTGGCTACTTTTAGAATCCTGCTGATTGGTGCGTTTTACAGAGCGCTGATTGGTGCGTTTTACAATCCTCTTGTAAGACAGGAAAGTTCCTCAAGTCTCCACTCAACCCAGGAAGTCCAGCTGGCCTCACCTCTCACCATCACATTGGGATTAGGTGTCATTATATAAATTTGAGGGGAACATAGCATTCAGACAAGAGCAATAAGGCAATACGAAGAATGCATGACATCAATAAAGTTTGTGTGTAATCCACTTACATAAGGATATGAGGAATGCTACAAGGGGTTACACATATAGATAAAGAGATGATAATTGCCACCCCACTGGCAGTTTTTATCTAACAAAGTAGCAATAAAAATAACCACAGTTTTTTGTGTCTGTTATGTACCACAACTACAGCTGGACATTTCATTTTCTCTGTCTCCAACCTCCAATTTACAGAGAAAGAAACTGACACTACAAGAAATTATTTGCTTAAGATCACACAACTAGCAACTGGCAAAACTGAATTAAAATCCTGCCTTAAACTCAAAGCCTTTCTATTATATGGCAATTCCTTTCCATGAATTACACCAAAGGCTTAGAGATATTGATCCTCTGACTTCTTTTGATAATCTACCTTCCATGAAGAAATATAACAAGTCTTGAACTTCTATTTTATGTTTTTATTAATTTATTAATATTAAAGAAATATTTAAGCATGTACAATACTCATGTTCCTCAGGGTACTCAAGTTCACTATCTACTGGTAAAATTCCTATAGGGTCTAGCCAGTGCTGCATACATAGTAAGAATGAAATCACACATTTTTGTTTGGCTCATTAGCGCCTCCTTGTATTTACCTTAAAATCACTGGTTCAAGATTCAATCCAAATCCTAGTTTTGCCATTCTTTCCTATGCTTTTTTTCAGATTTACAGTTGCCATTGCTTATTTTCCACTATTTTATCTGAAATTCCCCCATTACCTTGGTTTTCTCAGTGACTTTTTCTTCATAAGCTTTGTGTGCCTTTTATTATACATCGGGACTAGAACTGCATACTACATTATTCTAACATGTCAAATTATATATATATATAAAAATATATATACACACATATACACATATACATACACATATATATGACATATGTTATATATATATATATATATGTTTTACCTAAGAGAAGACAAGTACAAGAAAATTCCTAAAACTATGTTGTATAAATACTTGAGACAGAATATAATTCAGCAGTCCAAGTATCAATTAGCTGTTTTATCTGGATAAAGATTAACTCTAAAATTTCAGTTATCTTTTCTGCCATAATTTGTACTGTGGTAAATATGCCCAACTCTCTTGCAACTAGTGTTCAAATTATGATTTAGTTTTTATTATTTCCATTAGACTACCTACAAGGACTTGAATTCTGAACTAAACTAAACTGGAGAAAGGTAGGCACAACACATCCATTTGCTGGTGTGGATTGTGGCAGAGGCAATATTTCTCTGCAGCCAGTAACTGTTGCAGCAACTTCCATATTTAACAAGAAACTGAGGTAGAAGCAGCAGTAACTTTGTAGTCCATTTCTATGGTGTGACACTTTGGGAGTCTATTTCTTCAGGTCAAAGATTCTATATTATATTTAATATTCAGTAATATATTCCTTTGTATTTAACCTAGCTACAGTGGACTCAGTTCTTTGCTACTAAATGTTTTTATCTGTATATTTAACTATTAGAGTAGCATATAATTCCTGAAATATTATTTAAATATTGTTAATTTTTTATGCTGCTAGCTATTTTTCCAAAATGAAAATTGGAAACAACTGACAGAAATCTACATTTAGAAGTAATTTTCTTTTCTTCCCAGAAGATATTCATTTCTTACTGAAGCTCCTTCTTATAAACAAGATCACCTTGAGTTTTTTTTGGGTATATGCTGAGATGGAATAGGATAGGGGCCATTCAGTCTGTTCATCAGAGGTGGGGGAGTGGAATGCAGAAGAATCCTGTGTCCCTTCTCAAGATGGTCTCTGGCATTATGAATAAACAATTAGGAAAATTTCAAAATTGACATGTGCTATTGCATCATGGTGCCCCTTTGCAGTGGATGTTTTCCACGTAGTCACTGGGAAGTCAAAAACAGCTTGGTTTGCAGAATCTTGAGAAATATTGCTCTGATGTTGCCCATAGCATTTTGGGAACAGTTTGTGCAACAACTTAAGTTGGACTCCCCAAAATAAACTTGTTTCCATGTGTATAGCAGTTATAAACACGAGCCTCCATCTAACCACCCAATGCAATCATTTTCAGAGTTCAGATACTATAATGGTTGTAACATTATGAGATTACACATCCTTCATCCTTAGTTTAGCGATGCTTGTCATCAGTAATTTAGTATTTTTTTTCTTCTCATGAGCTTTGCATGTTGCAACATAAACACTTTCCCATTAGCACTGGATAAATTCTAGGTGGATTCAGGCAGAGCAATAACCTTAGCACCAGGATTATCACTTAGATAAAGTGCTCTTCCAAATTACATCTGTCCTACTTGCTAAATGAAGGAACTGTCTAGTTGTCTAACTAAACCCTAATTTTAAAAGGTGTTTTCCAAAAAGAAATGGCACTTATCATTAGATGATCCTATCCATAGGTAAAGAAATAAAAGACATTAAAAAATATAAAAGCCATATCTAGTAAGAAAAATGGAAGCAAAACATATACTCAAGCCAGGTTTGAAATAGTGTTTACTTCAAACCTCTGTGTCTTCAGTGGTTATTTGGTGTAACTTATTTCAATTTGGGTCCAACAAACCCCTCTTCTTTCTTAGGCTATGGAGGTTGCTATTATCTGAATATTTGTGCCTCTCTAAAATATATATGGTGAAACTTTGGGGGTGGGGATGTTGGGAGGTGATTAGGGCTCCGCCCTCATGAATGGGATTAGTGTTCTTATAAAATAAGCCAGACAGAGTTCATTTGTCCTTTCTACCATGGGGGGACAGAGCTAGAAGGAGCCATCTATGAAGCAGAGAGTAAGCCTTCAGCAGACACCAAATCTGATAGCACTTTGATTTTGGACTTCTCAGCCTCCAGAACTATGAAAAATAAATTTCTGTTGTTTTTAAATTACCCAGTCTATGGTATTTTTTATATCAGCTTGAAAAAAGTAAGATAGAAGCATTAATGGGTACTTAGAGACCTGTCTTTGGTGAAATTTGTTAACTGTTACAACACCCCCACCAGCATTAAGAAGAAGGAGAACAAGAAGAGTAGAAGGAGGAAGAAGAATAGGAAGAAGGAAAAAGAGAGAGAAAGGGAGGGATAAAGGGGGAATGCAAAGGAATTTGCTTCCTTGAGGAGTCCAACACTAACAACAAGCCTGTATCACTTGAAGTATATCAAACCCTGAAAGAGTAAAACATAATCATTTAAATATTTACAGGCACAAGCCTGGTGATGGACAGGCCTGGCTGATCCTCGCTGCTTGTAGAACCACACTGACATGTGGCTGGAACCTCTGAAACACCAAGACGTGCACTTCCATCTGTTAAAGCCTACATCCCAGTTCATCTCTGACCCTCATGAATAAAACAAAGGAAACGCACAGATGAAGCAGTAAGTGCCTAGGTTATTATGAATGACCTCAAATTAGAGTTATAAAACAAGAAAGTATTTCTCTATTTGAGGAGTATTGTAAATCCTGTGCAATATATCGTTTCATTCCTTCAGTTTAGTAGAATCTGTAAATAAGAATTGGGCCCTGCTCTGTGTGAGCATTTTTTGCATCACTGATCAGAAAACAGGATTTGCACTTAACCTAGTTACAAGACTTAAAATATTCTAGCTACCTATCCAGACACGTACTTTAAAATGCTCTGAAATTCTGCCATCTTGTGGGAATTTAGAAATACAACAAATGACTAGGTTCAAAGTTTCATGCTTTACATAATTTAAAATGCTGTACCATTGTAAGCATGAATGAACAGGCCTTTAATAATAGCATCTAACATGCCAACAAAAATTTGATTTTCCTTATTCTTCTTATTCCATATTTAATAAAAAACAAATTTCAGTTACCCTTAACTCCATTTATCTGGACCAAGCAAATTCATAATTTGAAATAATTTAGACCTGGTAGGAACTTAAAATGAGTTATAATATTTTCCCTATTTTTTCTTATATAGTTGGTCCCTGAGCAACACAAGTTTGAACTGCATGAGTCCACTTATATGCAAATTTTTTAAATAAATATCTTGATTTTATTTGGAGATATGTGACAATGAGAGAAAGCTTGCAGATGAACTGCATAACCTAAAATATCAAAAAAAGAGAAAAAGTTAGATATGTCAGAATGCATAAAACATATGTAGATACTAGTATGTTTTATCATTTGCTACCATAAAATATACACAATTTGTTATAAAAGTTAAAATTTATCAAAGCTTAAGCACACAAACATAGACCATACAAGGCATCATTCACAGTCGAGAGAAATGTAAAAAAATGTAAAGATGCAGTATTAAATCATAACTGCATACTATGAAGTCTAGTGCATACTCTACTACTGTAATAATTTTGTACCCACCTCCCAGTGCTATTGCAATGGGTGAGCTTAACTGTGGGAAATATCTGTAAAATACTGTGTGACCCTAATAATCATCTCTGTGTAAGCAGTTAGTCTCTCCAGTAAATTGAATGACACAGTAAAAACTGACATCTTGCAGCTCTCGTGCATTTTTCATTAGTGCAATACCATAAATCTTGAATAATACCATGGAACCCATATGAAGTGCCACTAGTGATGCTGAAAGTGCTCCCAAGAAGCACAGAAAAGTCAAGACATTACAAGGAAAAGTTGAATTACTTGGTATGTACCATAGATTGAGATTTGCAGCTGCAGTCCCTGCTATTTCAAGATAAATGAATCCAGCATAAATACCATTGTAAAAAAAAAAAAAGAAATTTGTGAAACCATCACTGCAGCTATGCCAGCAGGTGCAAAAATCTTGCAGTTTTGGGGAAATACCTTTTTATCTCATATTGAACATGCAGCTTTTATGTGGATACAGGATTGATATAAGAAAGGCATATCCATAGGCTCTAATATGATTCAATAAAAAGTGAAGTCATTATATGACAATTTAAAGCAAAAGGAAGGTGGGGGATCTAAAGCTGGAAAATTTAATGCCCACAAAGGATGGTTTGATAATTATAGAAAGAGATTTGGCTTTAAATCTGTCAAGATATAAGGAAAAGCAGCTTTTGCTGACAAAGAGGTGGTAGACGAATTCCCAGATGGCATTAAGAAAATTATTTGAGGAGAAAGGATATCTGTCTGAACAGGTTTTTAATTAAGATGAAAGTGCCTTATTCTGGGGGAAAAAAAGCCACGAAGGACATTTACTAGTAAGGAAGAGAAGTGAGCATCAGGATTTAGGCAGGAAGGAATAGACTAACTCAACTGTTCCGTGCAAATGCAGTCGGGACTACCCTTATCCTTAAAGCTGCTAATCCTTGAGCCTTGAAGGGAAAAGATAAAGACCAGCTGTCAATCTTCTGATTGTACAACAGGAAGGCCGGGACAAGAACTCTTTTTCTGGATTGATTCCGTTGATGCTTTGTCTGTGAAGTCGGGAAGCAGGAAGTACCTTGCCAGTAGAAAACTCCCTTTTAAAGTCTTTTGATATTGGACAATGCCCCTTGCCACCCAGAACCCCATGAGTTCAACAGCAAAAGCATCAAAATCGTCTACTTGCCCCCAAACACAAGATCTCTAATTCAGCCACTAGATCAGGGGGTGATAGGGATCTTTAAGACTCATTACACATGGTACTCTATAAAAAGGATTGTCAATGCTATGGAAGATAATTCTGATAGATTATGAAAGTCTGGAAAAATTATATCATTGAAGATGCTATTATCATTATAGAAAAAGCTGTGACAGCCATCATGATCAAAACAATAAATTCCTACAGAAAAAAACTGTCCAGATGTTGTGCATAACGTCACAGGATTTATGACAGAGACAATCAAGGAAATCATGAAAGAGATCGTAGATATAGCAAAAAAAAAATGTGGGTGGTGAAGGATTTCAATATATGCATCTTGCAGAAATTCAAGAGCTAATAGACACCACACCAGAGAAATTAACAAAAGACAACTTAATGGAGATGAGTGCTTCCAAATCGATGCCACACAATAAGGAAGAAGATGAAGAAGAAGCAGTATCAGAAAACAAATTGGCTCAGACAATCTGGCAGAAGGGCTCCATTTATACAAGATGACTTTTGACTTCTTTTACCACATGGAATCTTCTATGATACAGGCATTGATACTAAAGTAAATGGTTGAAGAAGGATAGGTACCACACAGAAATATTTTTAGAGAAATGAAAAAGCAAAAAACTCAGACAGAAATTAAAATGTATTTCTGTAAAGTTATACCAAGTGTGCCTGCCTTTCCTACCTCCCCTTCCACCTCCTCCACATCTTCTGCCTCTGCCACCCCGAGACAGCAAAACCAGCCACACCTCCTCCTCCACTTCCTCCTCCTTATCCACCTCCTCTTCAGACTACTCAATGTGAAGATGATAAGGATGGGCCAGGCGCAGCGACTCAGGCCTGTAATCCCAGCACTTTGGAAGGCCGAGGCGGGTGGATCACCTGAGGTCAGGAGTTCGAGACCAGCCTGACCAATATGGTGAAACCCTGTCTCTACTAAAAATACAAAAATTAGCCGGGCGTGGTGGCGCTCTCCTGTATTCCCAGCTACTCGGGAGGCTGAGACAGGAGAACCGCTTGAACCTGGGAGGTGGATGTTACAGTGAGCCGAGATTGCACTGCTGCACTCCAGCCTGGGAGACAGAGTGAGACTGGCGAAAAAAAAAAAAAAAACGAGGTGGTAGAAGGAAAACATTAGGCACAGCTCTCCTACCAATATTACTGAGCTGTGATAATATCTGTGCAGTAACCTGTGGACAGCCTCATGGCTAGTGGAAAAGAAGCACCTGGAACCCATTAGAGGCATTCATCATCTTCATAAAACCTGACCCCAAAGCAATTTTTAATTTGATGAGATTACTCCCAATATCATAGGAGGTGTACACCCAACTGTGATATTGTTCTTACTGTCCAGGAGGGGAGAGGATGATATTACTTCCAATATCGCAGAGGGTGTACACTCCTATGTGATACTGTTCATTCAACCCAGAAGGGGAGAGGATGATATTACTGCTAATATCGCAGAGGGTGGACACCCCACTGTGATATTGTTTGTATTATCCTGGGGGGGAGAGGATGGTATTACTTTCAATATCGCAGATGGTGTACATCCCTTTGTGATATTGTTCGTAATATACAGGAAAGGAAGGATGATACTACTCCCAATATCACAGGAGGTGTACACCTTCTGTGACATTCTTCATAATATCCTGGGGGTAAGAGGATGATATTGCTCCCAATATCGCAGGGGGTGTACAACCTTCTGTGATAACACCCTTCTGTGATATTGTTTGTAATATCCGGGGGGGAGAGAATGATATTACTCTTAGTATAGCCAGTGATGTAAACCCTTTTTTGTGATATTGTTCCTAATATTGAAGGGGGGAGAGGATGATATTACTCCCAATATTGCAGGGTGTGTACAACCCCCCGTTATATTTTTCATAATATCCTGGGGGGAGAGAATGATATTACTCCCAATAGCGCAGGTGGTGAACACCCCCACTATGATATTATTCTTAATATCCAATGCGGGAGAGGAAGAATTTACTTTCAATATCGCATAGGGTGTACGCCCCCACAGTGATATTGTTCCTAATAACCATGAGGAAGGAGATAACATTACATTCAATATTGCAGGGGGGTACACCCCCCGTGATATTGTACCTAATATTCAGAAAGGGAGAGGATGATATTACTTCCAATATCTCAGCAGGTGTTCACCCCCTATGTGATATTGTTTCTAATATCCAGGGTGGAAAAGGATGATATTACTCCCAATATTGCAAAAATGTACACCTCCCACTATGATCTTGTTCATAATATCCAGTTTGGGAGAGGATGATATTTCTCCCAATAATTCAGGGGATGTACACACCCCTGTGATATTGTTCCTAATATCCACGGGCGGAGAGGATGATATTACTCGCAATGTCGCCAGGGGTGTACACCTTTTCTGTGACATTGTTGCTAATATCCAGAGGTGTAGAGGATGATATTACTTCCAATATCGCAGGGGATTTACACCACCCCATAACATTGTTATTAATATCCAGGGAAAGAGAGGATGATATTAATCCCAATATCGAGGAGGGTGTACACCCTTCTGTGATATTATTCCTAATATCCAGAAAGAGAGAGGATGATATTACTTTCAATATCATAGAAGGTTTATGCAACTCTTTTATATTTTTTCTAAAATTTAAGAAGAGCGAGTTTAAAGCTAGGGGTGTACACTTTCCCTGTAATATTTTTCATTATATCCAGGAGGGGAGACATGATATTACTCCAAATATCGCAGAGAGTGTTCACACCCCTACGATTTTTTATAAAGCAGAAGGTGTACACTCCCTGTGTGATATTATTCCTAAAATTCAAGAAAGGAGAGGATGATATTACTCCCAATATCGCAGGGCATGTACAACCCCAATGTTATATTGTCTTTATTATTCAGGGGAGGAGAGGATGATATTACTCCCAATTTAGCAGGGAGTGTATGCCCGCCCCTGTGATATTATTTCTAATATTCACTAAAGGAGAAAAGGACATAACTCCCAATATCTCAGGAGGCGTACACCCTCTTTGTAATATTATTCCTAATATTGAAGAAGGGAGAAGAGAATATTAGTCCCAATATCGCAGGGGGTGACACCCCTCCTGTGTTATTGTTCCTAATATCCAAGTGAGGAGAGGATGATATTACTCCCAATATCACAGGGGTGTACTCCCCCCGTGATACTGTTCATAATATTTAGGGGGGAAAAGGATGATCTTAAGCCAAATATCGAAGAATGTGTACACCCCCTCTGTTATATGTTCTCTAATATTCAAAGGAAAAGAGGATATTACTCCCAATATTGCAGGGATGTACAACCCCCCTGTGATATTGTTTAGTTTATAATATTTAAGGGAGGAGAGGGTGATATTACTCCCAATATCGCAAAAAATGTACACCCCCGTCTGATTTTGTTTCTCACATCCAGAGAGAAGAAAAGGATATTTCTGACAATATCACATGGGGTGTAAAACCTCCAGTGATATTGTTCATAATATACAGGTGGAAAGATGATATTACTCCCAATATCGATGGTCGTGTACACACCCTCTGTGATATTTTTCCTAATATCCACAGGGGAAGAGGATAATGTTACTCCCAATATCACAGGAAGTGTACACGCCCCCTGGAAAATTGTTCCTAATATCCAGGGAAATAGACGATGATATCACTGCCAATATCCTAGGGTGTGTACACTTCCCCTATGATATTGTTCCTAATATCCAGTGGGGGAGAGGATGATATTGCAGGGGGTGTACACACGTTATGTGATATCGTTTCTTATATCCAGGGAGAAAGAGGAGTATACTATTCCCAATATCACAGGGGGTGTACTCCCTCTTTGGTGTATTGTTCCAAATATCCATGGGAACAGGGGATTATATTACTCCTAATATCACAGGAAGTGTACACGCCCCCTGGGAAATTGTTCCTAATATCCAGGGAAATAGAGGATGATATTAATGCCAATATCCCAGGGTGTGTACACTTCCCCTAATATCCAGTGGGGGAGAGAATGATATAACTTCAAATATCACAGGGGGTGTACACCCCTTGTGTGATATTGTTTCTTATATCCAGGGAGAAAGAGGATGATACTACTCCCAATATCGCAGGGGGTGTACTCCCTCTTTGGTATATTGTTCAAAATATCCATGGGAAGATGGGATTATATTACTCCCAATATCGCAGGGAATGTATATCCCCCCCAGTAACATTTTTCCTAATATTCGGTTGGGGAGAGGAGGATATTACTCCCAATATCACATGGGATGTAAGATGCCCCTGTGATACTGTTCCTGCTATCCAAAGAAAGAGAGGATGATAGTACTCCCAATATCTCATGGGGTGTACACTATCACTGTGATATTGTTCATAATAACCAGAATGGGAGAGGATAATGTTAGGCCCAATATCGCATGAGGTGTGCAACCCCCCTTTGATATTTCTCCTAATATCTAGATGGGGAAATGATGATATTACTCCCAATATTGCAGTGGTTGTTACCCCAACCGAGATATATTACCTAATATCCAGAAAGGGAGAGAATGATATTACTCCCAATAGAGCAGGAAATGTACACCCCCTTCCCCAGGATATAGTTTTTAATATCCAGGGATGGGGAGGACATTACTTCCAGTATCACAGGAGGTGTACACCCGCCTGTAATATTGTTCCTAATATCCAGGGGAAGGAGCGGATGATATTACATTCAATGTCGCAGAGGAGGTACACCCCTTTCTGGCATTTCCTAATACCTAGGAGGGGAGAGCATGATATTACTCCAAGTATCGCAGTGGGTGTACACGATTCCTGGGACATCGTTCCTAACATATAGGAAGGGAGAGGATAATATTACTCCCAATATTGCAGGCGGTGTCTACTCCCCACCCCGTGATATTGTGCCTAATATCCAGTGGGGGAAAAATGATACTACTGCCAAGATCTCAGAAAGTGTACACTCCTTTTGTAATATTGCTTCTAATATCCAAGCGGGGAGACGATAATATTACTATCAATATAGCAGGGAGTTTACACCCCCCACTGTGATATTTTCCTAATATCCGGGGGGAAGATGATTATATTACTCTCAATAACGCAGGGAGTGTACAACCCCACTGTAATATTGTTTTGGATATTCAGGTGGGGAGAAGATGATATTACTTTCAATATCATAGTAGGTATGCACCCCCACCCTGTGATATTGTTCCTAATATCCAGAGGGAGATAGGATAATATTACTCCCAAAATCCCAAGGGTTGTATAACCCCCTCTGATATATTTCATAATATTCGGAGGGGGGGGAGATGGTAATATAACTCTCAATATCGCAGTGGGTGTACACACGCCTGTGATATTGTTTGTATTATTTCGGTTCACAGAGGATTAAGTTAATCTCAACGTCGAAAAAGCACCCCCTCTCAAGACACTATTCCTAATAACCATGAGAAGAATGGTTGATATTCTTTCTAATATCGCAGAAGATGTAAACCCCCTCTGTGATATTTTTTCTAATATCCAGAGAGTGAAAGAGGATGTTATTAAACTCAATATCGCAGGTGCTGTACACTTTACTGTGATATTGCTCATAATTTCGAAAGGTGGAGATAATATTACTCCCATTATTGTAAAAAAAAAAAGCTGTGTAAAAAGCCTCCTGTCATATGGCTCGTAATATCCAGGGGGCGAGGGGGGTGATATTACTCCCGATATGGCAGGAGGTGGACACACCTCTGTCATATGGCTCATAATATCCACGGGGCGAGAGGGGGGTAATATTACTCCCGATATGGAGGGAGGTAGACACCCCCCTTTCATGTGGCTCTTAATATCTGGGGACGAGATGGGGGTGATATTACTCCCCATATGGCGCGGAGGTGCACATTCCCCTGCGATATTGGGGGTAATATTATTCTCTCCTCTCCTGGATATTAGAAACAATATTCCAGGGGCGGGCGGTATAGCTTTTGTGATATTCAGAGTAATATCCTTTCTCCCTTTGATTTATAAGAACAATATCACAGTGGGGGTGTACAACTCTTGCCACATTGGGAGTAATATCATCCTCTTCTTCCCTGGATAGTAGAAACAATATCACAGGGGGTGTGTACACCCCTGCGATATTGGGAGTAATATTATCCTCTCTCCCACTGGATATTAGGAAGAATATCAACGGGGGCTGTGTACACCTCCTTCAATATTTAATGTAATATCATCTTCTCCCTCCCTGGATATTAGGAACAATATCACAAAGGTGGTGTACACCTTCTGCAATATTGGGAGTCACATTATCCTCTCTCACCCTAGGTATTCAGAACAGTATTACACGGGAGGTGTACCTCCCTGCGATATTGGGAGTAATATCGTCCTCTCCCCCACTGGATATTAGAAACAATATCACAGAGGGGTGTGTACACGCCCTGCAATATTTTCAGTAATATCATCATCTACCACGCTGCATATTTGGAAAAATATCACAGGTGTTGTTTCCACCCAGTGCAATATTGGGAGTAATATTGCCCTCTATTTTCTGGATATAAGGAACAATATCACAGGGAAGGTGTACACCCCTTGCGATATTGGCAGTAGTATCATCTTCTCTCTTGCTGGTTATTAGGAACAATGTCACGGTAGGAGGGTGTATATCCGCTGTGTTATTGTGAATATAATCATTTTCTCTCCCCCTTGATATTAGGAACAATATCACAGGAGGGGTGTACATTCCCTGCGATATTGGGAGTAATATTATGCTCTCTTACTGTGGATATTAGGAACAATATCACAGAAGGGGTGTACACCCTCTGCAATATTGGGAGTAATATCAACCTCTCCCCAGCTGGATATTAGAAGCAATATCACAGGGGGTGAGTATACCCTCTGTGGTATTGAAAGAAATGTTCTCCTCTCCCCTTTAAATATCAGAAACGATTTCACAAAGGGAGTGTACCCCCCTTACAATATTAGAAGTAATGTCATCTTCTCTTATCTGCATTTAGAAACAATGTCACAGGGGAGGTGTACAGCCCCTGCGATATTGGGAGTAATATTATCCTCTCCCCACCTGGATATTAGGACCAATATCACAGGAAGGGTGTACAACTCCTTCGATATGGAATGTAATATCATCCACTCCAACCCTGGAAACTAGAAACAATATCACAGACGGTAGTACACCCTCTGTGATATTGGAAGTAATATCATTCTCTCCCACCCCCTGGATATTAGGAACAATATCAAAGGGGGGTTGTGCACCCCCTGCAATATTAAGAGTAATATCAACCTCTCCTCACTTGGATACTAGGAGCAATATCACACGGGGTGTACACCCCTTGCGATATTGAGAGTAATATCATCCTCTCCCTCCCTGGATATTTGGAACAATATCGTAGTGTGGGGGGGTGCACATTCTGCAATATTGGGAATAATATCATTTTCTCTCTCCCTGCGAAAGTGTACACCACCTGCAATATTGGGAGTATTATTATCCTCTCTTCACCCTGGATATTATAAATAATATCACAGGGGGTGGGTATATCCCCTGTGATATTGGGAGTAATATCCCCTTCTCCCTAAATATTAGGGACAATATCACAAGGGGGATGCGTACACCCCCTGCGATATTGGGAGTAACATTATCTTCTCCTCTTCTGGATTTTAAGAACAATAACACAGGGATGTTTACATCTCCTGCGATATTGCAAGTAATATCATCCTCTCCTTCCCTAGATATTAGGCAGAATATCACAGGGGGATGTGTACACCCTCTGCAATATTGAGAGTAATATCATACTTTTTTGGATATTAAAAACAATATCACAAAGCGATGTGTACACCCCCTGCGATATTGGGACTAATATTCTCTCTCCTTCTGGATATTAGAAACAATATCACAGGGAAAATCTACACCCCCAGCGATGTTGGGAGTAATACCATCCTCTCCTCTGGATATTAGAAACAATATAACAGGGAGGGTGTACACTGCCTGCGATATTATGTGTAATATCCTCTCCCCCTCTAAATATCAGAGAAAATATTACAGACGGGGTGTACACGTACTGCGATATTGGGAGTAATATCCTCTACCTGCTGGATATTATTAACGATATCAAAGGGGGATATTAGGATATTAGGAGCAATAGCATCTTCTTCCCCACTGGACACCAGGAACAATATCAAGGTACGTGTACCCCTGCTGCGATATTGGGATTAATATTATCCTCTCACGTCCTGGATATTGGAAACAACATCACAGCGGGGCTGTACAGCCCCTTTGATATTGTAAGTAATATTGTTGTCTCCCACCCTGGTTATTAGGAACAATATCACAAGAAGGCTATACATCCCCTGCGATATTGGGAGTAATATCATCTTCTCTCCTCTGGATATTAGGAACAATATCACAGGAAAGGTGTATACCCACTTCAATATTGGAAGTAATATCATCCTCTCCCCGCCACCGGAATATTGGGAACAATATCATGAGGGAGTGTACACACCATGCGATATTGGGAGTGATATCATCCTCTCCCCCTCTGGATATTATAAACAATATCTCAGAGGTGTTGTACATTCCCTGTGATTTTGGGAGAAATAACATCTTCTTTCCCCCTGCATATTTGGAACAATATAATAAAGGGGGTGTACACCCTTTGCGATACTGGGCTGGATATTAGGAATAATATCAAAGGGGACATGTACATTTACTGAGGCATTGACAGTAATATCATCGTCTTCCCCCTTGGATATTAGAACAGTATCACAAGAGGGTGTACACCATCTGCGATCTTGAAAGTAATATCCCCTCCCCCACTGGTTTTTAGGAACAATATCACAGGGGTTGTACACCTCCTGCGATATTGGGAGTAATATCACCCTCTCCCCTTTTGGATATTAGAAACAATATCACAGAGGGGTTATACACCCCCAGCTATATTGACAGTAATATTATCTTCTCCACCATTGGATATTAAGAACAATATCACAATGGGGGTGTACACCCCCTGAGATATTGGGATTAACAACATTCTCTCTCCCCTTGAATATTACAAACAATATTATAGGGGTGAGTGTACACTTCCTTTAATTTGGGGATAAATATCATCCTCTCTTCCACTGGATATTAGAAGCAATGTCACAGGATTGGTATACACCCCCTGTGATATGACAGTAATCTCATCGTCTTCTTACCTGGATATTATTAACAATATCACAAGTGGATTCTACACCCCCTGCGATATAGGAAGTGATATCATCCTCTGCCCTCTGGATATTGGAAACAATATCACAGGGTGAGTGTACATTCCCTGTGATATTGGGAGTAATATCATCCTTTGTTTTACTGGATATTAAGAACAATATCACAGGGGGGTGTACACCCCCTGGGATATTGGAAGCAATGTTATCCTCTCTTCCCCTAAATACGAGGAACAACATCACAGGGAGGTGTACACCCCCTGCGCTATTGGGAGTAATATTGTCGTCTTCCGCCCTGGATATTAGGAACAATATTACAAGGAGGGTATACAGCCCTTGCGATATTGGGAGTAATATCATCCTCTCCTCTGCTGGATATTAGGAACAATATCACACAGGGGGTGTACACCTTCTCCGATATTGGGAGTGATATCATCCTCTCCCCCCACCCCCCGATATTAGGAACAGTAGTGCAAAGAGCGTATACACTTCCTGCGATTTGAGGAGTAATATCATCCTCTCGCCGCCCCCGCCCCCTCCCCCCTGGATATTAGGAACAATATTACAGCGAGGTATAGAGTCCCCATGCTATTGGGAGTAATATCCTTTCACCCCCTGGATATTAAAAACAGCATCTCAGGGTGGGTATACACTCCCTGTGATATTGACAGTAACATCATCTTCTCCCCTCCTTGGATGTTAGGAATAATATCACAAGGAGGTTGTACTCCCTCTGCGATATTGGGAGTCTTATCAGCCTCCTCTTACTTGGATATTAGGAACAATGTCACAGGGTAAAGGTACAACCCCTGTGATATTGAGAGTAGTATCATCCTCTCCCCACCTGGATATTAGGAATGATATTGCAGGGAATGATATCGCAGGGGACACAATTCCTGGATACAACTTCTCGATATTGGGTGTAATATCCTTTCCCTCCCTGGATATTAGGAACAATATCACAGGGGGTTGTACACCCCATGTGATATTGGGAGTAATACCATCTTCTTCCCCACTGGACATTAGGGACAATATTATAGGGATGTGTACAACCTCTGCGACATTGAAATTAATATCATCCTCTTTCCCCCTGGATATTAGGAACTGTATCACAGAAGGTGTGCACACCCCCTGTGATATTGAGAGTAATATCGTTCTCTCCCTTTCTGGATATAAGGAAGAGTATTAAAGGGGTGGTTTACACCTTCTGCGATATTAAGACTAACACCATTTTCTCCCCTCCTGGATATTAGGAACAATATCACAGGGGTGGTGTATACTACGTGCAATACTGGAAGTAATATCATCCTCTACCCCATGGATATTAGGAACAATATCACAGGGGTGTACTCACCCTGCAATATTGGGAATAATATTATCCTCTACTCCCCTGGATATTAAGAACAATATCACTGGGGCAGTGTACACCTCCTGTGCTATTGGGAGTAATGTCATTTTCTCCATCCTTGGATATTAGGAACAATATTACACAGATGGTGTACACCTCTGGCGATATTGAAAGTAATATCACCCTCTCCCTCCATGGATATTAAAGACAATATTACAAAGAGTTGTTTTCCCCACCTATGATAATGGTAGTAATATCATCTTTTCCCCACCTGAATATAAAGAATAATATCACAGGGGGTGTGTACACACCCTATGATATTGGGAGTAATATTACTCTCTGCCCCCCTGGATATTAGGAACAATATCACAGGGCAAGTTTACACCCCTCGCGATATGGACAATGATATCATTGTCTCCCTTCCTGAACAATATTAACCACATCACAAGAGGGGTGTACACCACCTGCAATATAGGGAGTAATATCATTCTCTCCCTTCCAGATATTAGAAACCATATCACAGGGGGGTGTACATTCCCTGCAATATTGAGAGTAATATTACTTTCCACCTTCCATAGATGAGAAACAATATCACAGAAGGATGTGAACACCCCCTGTGATATTGGGAGTAATATCACTTTCTCTTCCCCACTGAATATTAGGAACCATATCACACGATGTGGGGGTGGTGTACATCCCCTGAGATATTGGGAGCGATATTGTCATCTCTCCTACTGGGTATTAAGAACCAGAGTACACAGAGGGATGTACTCCCTCTGTGATATTGGGAGTAATATTATCCTCTCTTCACCTGGATATTAGGAACCATATCACAGAAGGGGTGTACACCCCCTGCGATATTGGGAGTAATTTTATCTTATTTTGCCCTCGATATTAAAAGCAATCACACAGGGGTGGGTGTATACCACCTGCGACACTGGGAATAATATCATCGTCTCCCCCCATGTATATTAGGAACAATATCACAGGGGGGTTGTACACCTCATGTGCTATTGGGGGTAATATCCTCTTCCTCGCTGGGTATTAGGAACAATATCACAGGCGGGTGTATACCCGCTGCGCTATTGGAAGTAATATTATTTTCTCCCCCTTTGATATTAGGAAAATATCACAGTGGGGTCTACACTCCCTGTGATATTGTGAGTAGTATCATTCTCTCCCCCGGGCATATTAGAAACAATATCACAGAAGGGGTGTACACCCCCTGTGATATTGGGAGTAATATCATCCTCTGCCATCTTTGATATTAGAAACAATATCACAGTGGGGGTGTACCCCCCCTGCGATATTGAAATTACTATCATAGTCTTCCTCCGTTCATATTAGGAACAATATTACAGGAAGGTGTACAACCCCTGCGATATTGGGAGTAATATCATCCTCTCCCCACCTGGATATTAGGAATAATATCACAGGGAACGTGTACACCCCCTCCGATATTGGGAGTAATCTAATCCTCTCCCCTCCTTGATATTAGAAAGGATATCACAGGGGGAGTTTTCAGCCCCTGCGATTTTGAAAGTAATATTATTTTCTCCCCCTTGGATAGTAGGAACGATATCAGATGGGGGGTGTAAACCCCTTGTGATATTGGGAGTACTATAATCTTTTCCCTTCCTGAATATTAGGAACAATATCACAGCGCGGGGGGTGTACACTCCTGCGATATTGGGAGTAATATTATCCTTTCCCTCTCTGGATATTAAAAACAAGATCACAGTATTGTGTACAACCCCTGAGATATTGAAAATCATACCCTCTCCTTTCCCTGATGTGAAAAAGAATATCACAGGGGAGTGTGTACACCCTCTGTGATATTGGGAGAAATACCGTCTTCTCCTTTCTGAATATTAAAAACAATATCACAGGGGGGTGTACACCCTTTGCGATATTGGGAGTAATATCATCCTCTCCCCCTTTGAATATTAGGAACAATATCACAGGAAGGGTGTACACCCCCTGTGATATTAAGAGTAATATCCTCCTCTCCCCCACTGGATATTGAAAACTGTATTACAGTGGTGTGTACACCAACTGCGATATTGAGAGTAATATCATCCTCTACCCCTTGGATATTGGTAACGATATCACCGAGGTTTGTACACCCCCTGCAATATTGCGAGTAATATCATCCTCTCCTTCTTTGGAACAATATCATGGGGGTTGGGCGATGTATACTCCCTGCCATACTTGGAGTAATATCATTTTCTCCCTTCCTGTATATTAGGAACAGTATCATAGGGGGGGTTGTACACCCTCTGCGATATTGGGAGTAATATCACGATCTCCCCCAGTGGATATTAGGAACAATATCACAGACAAGGTGTACACCCCCTGTGATATTGGGAGTCATATCATCCTCTCCCAACCTGGATATTAGGGACAATATTACAGAGAGTGTGTACACCCCCCTACGGTATTGGGAGTAATATCATCCTCTCCCCCTTTGGATATTACGAAGAATATCACAAAGGGGGTGTAGACCCACTGCGCTGCAATATTGGGAATAATATCACACTCTCGTCTCCTGGGTATTAGGAACAATATCTACAAAGAAAATGGACACCCTCTTTGATACTGGGATTAATAGCATCCTCGCTTCCACTAGATATTAAGAGCAACACAACAGGGCGGTTGTACACCCCCTGTGATATTGGGAGTCATATCATCCTCTCCCAACCTGGATATTAGGGACAATATTACAGAGAGTGTGTACACCCCCCTACGGTATTGGGAGTAATATCATCCTCTCCCCCTTTGGATATTACGAAGAATATCACAAAGGGGGTGTAGACCCACTGCGCTGCAATATTGGGAATAATATCACACTCTCGTCTCCTGGGTATTAGGAACAATATCTACAAAGAAAATGGACACCCTCTTTGATACTGGGATTAATAGCATCCTCGCTTCCACTAGATATTAGGAGCAACACAACAGGGCGGTTGTACACCCCCTGTGATACTGAGAGTAATATCATCCTCTCCAGCCCTGGAAATTATTGATAGTATCACAAGTGGGGTGTGCACCCCCTGCGATATAGGGAGTAATATCATCCTCTCCCCTTTTGATATTAGGAACAATATAACAGGGGAAGTGTACACTTGCTGCGATATTGGGAATAATATCATCGTCTTCCCTACTGGATACCAGGAACATTATCACAGGGAGGTGTGCATGCCCTGAGATATTGAGAGTAATATCATCCTCTCCCCCCATGGATATTGGGAACAATATCTTTGGGGGCGTGTACACCTCCTGCGATATTGGGAGTAATATTATCTTCTCTCCCCCTTGATATTAGAAACAATATCACAGGTGGTGTGTACACCCCCTGAGCTGTTGGGAGTAATATCATCCTATTTCCCCCTGCATCTTAGGAACAATAGTACAGAAAGGGTGTACACCCCCTGTGCTATTGGGAGTAATACCATCCTCTTTACCCCTGGAAATTGGGAACAATATCTCAGGGGGGTGTAGAGCTTCTGCGATATTGGGAGTGATTACATCCTCTCTTCCCATGGATGTTAGAAACAATATCACAAAGGGGGGGTACACCCTCTGCAATATTGGTCGTACTATCACCCTCTCCCAACCTGGGTATTAGGAACAATATTATGGAGGAGTGTACAACCCCTGCGGTATTGATAGTAACATCATCGTCTCCCATTTTGGATATTAAAAAAACAATATCACAAGGGGAGTGTATACTGCCTGCGATATAGGGACTAATATAATTATCTCCCCACCGGATATGAGGAACAATATCACAGGGGGAGTGTACACCACCTGCGACATTGGGAGTAATATCATTCTCTCACCTCATGGTTATTAGGAACAATATCACGAAGAAATGTACACCTCCTGCGATATTGGGAGTAATCTAATATTTTCCCCACCTGGGTATTAAGGATAATACCACAAGAAGGGAGTGTACACTCCCTGCAATATTGAGAGTAATATCTTCTCCCTACCAGAATATTAGGAACAATATCACTGGGGTGGGTATACCCCTGCAATATTGGGAGTAATATCCTCTCCCCTTTTGGATATTAAAAACAATATCTCAGGAGGGGTGTACATCACCTGCGATATTGACAGTAATATCAACGTCTCCCCCACTGGATATTAGAAACAGTATCACGAGAGGAGTGTACACCCCCTACAACATTGGGAGTAATATCATGCTCTCCTTCCTAGATATTAGAAGCAATATCACAGGGTGTGTGTACATGCCCTGTGATATTGGGAGTAATGTAATCCTCTCCCCACTAAATATTAAGAACAATACCACAAAGAGGGTGCACACTCCCTGTGATATTGGTAGTAATATCATCCTCTCATTTCTGGATATTAGGGAAAATACCACAGAATGTGTGTACTCCCCCAGCAATATTGGGAGTAATATCAAACTTTTCCCTTCTGGATATTAAAAACAATATCACAGGGTGGGATGTACACCTCCTGTGATATTGGGAGTAATATTATCCTTTACCTTCCTGGATATTACCAATAATATCACAGAAGGGGTGTACATCCCCTTCAATATTGGCATTAATATCCTCCTCTCTTCCACTGTATATTAGGAACAATACAACAGAGGTGGTTTACAGCCCCTGCGATATTGACAGTAATATAATTGTCTCCCCCTTTGGATATTATTAACAATATCACAAGAAAAATGTACACCTCCTTCGATATAGGGAGTCATATCATCCTCTCTCTGCTGTAAATATTGGAAACACTATCACAGTATCACAGGGTGCGAGTGTACACTTCCTGCGATATTGCGAGTAATATCATTCTCATCTTTTCTGGATATTAGGAACAATATCACAGGGGAGTATACACCCCCTGCGCTATTGAGAGTAATGTTGTCACTTGCTTCAAATATTAGGAAGAATATTGGAAGAATGGTCTACACCCTGTCCGATATTGGGAATAATATCTTCCTATCTTCCTCTGAAAATTAGAAACAATATTACAGGGGGGTGTACAACCCCTGCGACATTGGAAGTAATATCATCCACTTCCCCCTGGATATTAGGAACTGATCACAGGGGACGGTGTACACCTTCTCCGATATTGGGAGTAATATCATCCTCTCTACCCTGCCTCGATATTAGGAACAATATCTCAGGGGTGGGATACACTCTCTGCAACATTAAGAGTAATATTATCCTCTCCTCTTCTAGATATTAGGAAAAATATCACACGAAGGTGCACACCGCCTGTGCTATTGGGAGTAATACCATCCTCTTACCCTCTGGATATTAGGAACAATATCTCGGGGGGGTACAAACCCTGCGATACTTTCAAAAGTAATATCATCCTCTTCCCCCTTGGATCTTATGAGCAGTATTACGAGAGAGGTGTACACCCCCTGCAATGTAGGGAATAATATCATCCTCTACCCACCTGGATATTATGAACAATGTAATAGGGGGGTGTACACCCCTGTGATATTGAATATAATTTTCTTTCCACCTGGATATTACAAACAGTATCACAAAAGGGTGTACACCTCCTGCGATATTGGGAGTAATATCGTCCTCTTCCCGTCTGGATATTAGCAACAATATCACAGGTGGTTGTAGCAGATGATATTAAACCCAATATCACAGGGGGTGTACACCCCCTCTGTGATATATGTTTTAATATTCAAAGGGGAAGAAGATAATATTACTCTCAATATTTCAGGGAGGGTACAACCCCACTGTGATATTGTACCTAATATTCAGAAAGGGAGCAGATGATATTACTCCCAATATATCAGCGTGTGTATGCCAAACGTATGATATTGTTCCTAATATCCAAGGTGGAAAAGGATGATATTACTCCCAATATGGCAGAAGATGTACACCTCCACTATGATCTTGTTCATAATATCCAGTATGGGAGAATATGATATTTCTCACAATATCGCAGGGGATGTAAACCTTGTCCCCCCGCCGTGATATTGTTTCTAGTATCCACGGCAGAGAGGATGATATTACTCCCAATGTCGCAGGGGGTGTACACATTTTCTGTGATATTGTTCCTAATATCCAGGGGTGTAGAGAATGATATTACTACCAATATCGAAGGAGATTTACACCCCCCACCGTGATATTGTTATTAATATCCAGGAAAAGAGAGGATTACATTACTCCCAATATCGAGGAGGGTATACACCCTTCTGTGATGTTATTCCTAATATCCAGAAAGAGAGAGGATGGTATTACTTTCAATATTGCAAGGGGTTTACACACCCCCTTTTATATTTTTTCTAATATTTAAGAAGGGCGAGTTTGATATTACTCCCAATAACGCTGGGCGTGTACACATTCCCTGTAATTTTGTTCATTATATCCAGCTGGGGAGACATGATATTACTCCAAATGTCGCAAAGAGTGTACATACCCCCTGTGATTTTGTTCCTAATATCGAGGGAGGTAGAGGATGATATTACTCCAAATATCGCAGGGGATGTACAACCCCCCATGACATGGTTCCTTATATCCAGGGTGAAAGAGGATGAAATTACTCCCTATATGGCAGGGGGTGTACACCCCCCTGAGATATTGTTTCTAATATCTAGAAAGGGAGAGGATGATGTTACTCTTAATTTTGCATGGGATGTATACCACCCCTGTGATATTGTTCCCAATAACCAGTGGTGGGAGGGAATGATAATAATCCTGCTATCCCAGGATGACATTACACCCAATATCGAAAGAGGTGTACAAACCTTGTGATATTGTTCCTAATATTTAGATGGGAAGAGGATAATATTACTTCCAGTATCGGATGGGGTATACACCCTTCCTGTGATATTTTTCATCATATTCACGAGCGGAGATTATATTACTACCAATATTGCGGTGGGTGTATAACCTCCTTGTGATATTGTTCCTAATATCCAGGGGTATACACCTCTGCAATATTGGAAGTTATATCATCCTCTCCCCTCATGGTTATTATGAACAATATCACAGAGGGATGTACACCTCCTGCGATATTAATAGTAATATCATCCTCTCCCCATCTGGATATTACAAACAATAACACAAGGGGGGGCTGTATAACCCCTGTGATATTGAGAGTAATATAATCATCTTCCTCTCTGAATACTGGGAACAATATCACAGGGGTTGTACAACCCCTGGGGTGTTGGGAGTAATATCCTCTCAACCCAGAAATATTAGGAACAATATCACAGAGGAGGGTGTACACTTCCACAGAGGGGTGTGTACAAACACCCTCTTTGATATTGTTCCTAATATCTAGGAGGAGAGAGTATGATATTACTCCCGATATCTCAGCGGGTGGACACCTACCCCCGGGATATTATTCCTAAAATACAGGAAGGGAGAGGATGATATTACTCTCAATATCACAGGCGGTGTACACCTCCCCCCCCCTTAATACTGTTCCTAACATCTAGTGGGGTAAAAATGATACTACTTCCAAGATGACAGAAAGTGTACACCCCCCTTGTTATATTTTTCCTCATATCCAAGGGGAGAGACAATGATATTACTGTCAATATCGCAAGGGGTGTACTCCCCCACTGTGATATTTTTCCTAATATCGGGGGGGAGAGGATGATATTACTCCCAATATTGTAGGAGATGTACACCCCCCTCTAATATTGTTCCTAATAATCAGGGGAGGAGAGGATTATATTACCCTCAATATCGCAGGGGGTGTGTACACCCTCACTGTAATATTGTTTTTGATATCCAGATAGGGAGAAGATGATATTGCTCCCAATAATGCAGGAGGTGTACACCCCCTCCCCGGTGATATTGTTCCTAATATCCAGAGGGAGAGAGGATGATATTACTTTCAGTATCACAGGGGGTGTACACCCACTGTTCTATTGTTTTTAGTATCCAGGAGAAGAGAGGATGATATTACTCCCAATATTGCAGGGAATGTACAACCCCACTGTTATTTGTTTTTCATATCCAGCGCAGGAGAGGATTATATTACTCCCAATATACTGGGGGGTGTACACCACCCCTGTGATATTGTTCCTAATAATCAGGGGAGGAGAGGATTGTTGATATTATGATTTTGATCTCTACTAAAAATACAAAATTAGCCAGGCATGGCGGCTCATGCCTGTAATCCCAGCTACTCAGGAGCCTGAGGCAGGAGAATCGCCTGAACCTGGGAGGTGGAGGTTGTGGTGAGCCGAGATCGTGCCATTGCACTCCAGCCTGGGCAACAAGAGCGAAACTCCGTCTCAAAAAAAAAAAAAAAAGAGAGAGAGAGAGTGATATTACTTCTAGTATGGCAGGGGATGCTAGGAACAATATCACAGGGGGTTGTACATCCCCTGATATATTGGGAGTAATATCCTCTCCCCCTATGGATATTGGGAAAAATATCACACGGGGGTGTAACCCCCTGCGATATGGGGAGTAATATTGTCGTCTCCCGCCCTGGATATTAGGAACATCACAAGGAGGGTATACACCCCTGTGATATTGGGAATAATATCATCCTCTCCTTCCCTGGATATTAGGAACAATATAACATGGGGGAGCGTACAGCCTTTGCGATATTGGAAGTAATATCCTCTCCCGCCCTGGATATTAGGAAGAATATCCCTGGGGGTGTTTACACCTCCTAGGATATTGGAAGTAATATTATCTTCTCCCCCTCCTGGATATTAAAAACAATATCACGGGGGTGGGGTGTGCACCTTCTGACCTATTGCAGGGAGTTACACCCCCCCCCCATGATATTGTTCCCAATATCCGTGGGGGGAGAGGACGATATTATTCCCAATATATCAGGGGATGTAAAACCCCCTGTGATACTGTTCCTAGTATCCCGTGTGGTAAACGATGATATTATTCCCAATATCGCAGCGAGGGTACATCCCCCCGTGATATTGTTCCTAATGAGCTACTGGGAGTAATATCCGGGGGTAGGGAGTAGAGAATGATATCACTCCCCATATCGCAGGGGGTGTACATCTACCTATGATATTGTTGCTAATATCCAGGGGGGAAAGGATGATATTATTCTCTATATTGCAGGGGGTGTACACCCCTCTGTGATATAATTCCTAATAGCCAAGAGAGAAGTGGATGTATTCCTTCCAATATTGCAGGGGTTGTACATCACCCCGTAATATTGTTTCTAATGTTCAGAGGGGGATAGGATGATATTATTCCTAATATCGCATGGAGTGTGTACCCTTCTTGTAATATTCTTCCTGATATTTAAAGAGGGTGACCACCTTCTGAGCTATTGGGAGTAATATCATCCTATTTCCCCCTGCATATTAGGAACAATATCACAGGAAGTTTGTATACCCCCTGCTCTATTGGGAGTAATATCATCTTCTTTACCCCTGGATATTAGAAACAATATCTCAGGGGGGTGTACACCTCCTGTGATATTGGGAGTGAAAACATCCTCTCCCCCCATGGATATTAGGAAAAATATCACATAGGGGTGTACCATCTCTGCAATATTGGGCGTAATATCACCCTCTCCCAACCCAAGTATTAGAAACAGTATCACTGGGGGTTGTACACCTCCTGCGGTATTGACAGTAATATCATCGTCTCCCATTTTGGGTATTAAAAACAATATCATAAGGGGGGTGTACACCGCCTGTGATATTGGGAGTAATATAATCCTCTCCCTCCTGGAAATTAGAAAAAATATCACAGGGGGTTGTACACCACCTGCGACATTGGGAGTAATATCATCCTCTCACCCCATGGTTATTAGGAACAATATCACGAAGAAATGTACACCTCTGCGATATTGGGAGTAATATAATATTTCCCCACCTGAGTATTACGGATAATATCACAAAGGGGGAGTGTACATTCCCTGCGATATTGAAAGTAACATCATCCTCTCCCCACAAGAATATTAGGAACAATATCACGGGACTGTGTACACCCCCTGCAATATCGGGAGTAATATCATTCTCTCCCCCGCTGGATGTTAGGAACAATATCACAGGAGGGGTGTACACTCCCTGAGATATTAGGAGTAACATCATCCTCTCCCCCTCTGGATATTAAAAACAATATCACAGGGGGTGTACACCACCTGCGATACTGACAGTAATATCAACATTGGATATTAGGAACAGTATCACAAAAGGGGTGTACACCTCCTGCGACATTGGGAGTAATATCATGCTCTCCTCCCTGGATACTAGAAGCAATATCACAGAGGATGTGTACACCCCCTGCGATATTGGGAGTAATGTAATCCTCTCCCCACTAAATATTAAGAACAATATCACAAAGGGGGTGTACACCCCCTGCTATATTGGTATATCATCCTCTCACCCCTGAATATTTGTAAAAATACCACAAGGTGTGTGTACTCCCCTAGCAATATTAGGAGTAATATCAACTTCTCACCCCTGGATATTAGGAACAATATCTCAGGAGGAGTGTATACCCCCTGCGATATTGGGAGTAATATTATCCTTTACCCTCCTGGATATTAGAAACAACATCACAGAAGAAGTGTATTCCCCCTTTGATATTGGGATGAGTATCATCCTTTCCACTGGATATTAGGAACAATATCACAGAGGTGGTTTACACCCCCTCCGATATTGACAGTAATATCATCATTTCCTTTGGATATTTTAACAATATCAAAAGGGGAATGGATATCCCCTGCAATATAGGGACTGATATCTTCCTCTCCCCTGCGGATGTTAGAAACAATATCATGGGGGGGGGGCGGCGTGTACACTCCCTGCGATATTGGGGGTAGTATCATTCTCACATTTTCTGGATATTAGGAACAATATCACAGGGGGGTGTACACCCCTTGCACTAGTGAGAGTAATATGTGGTCACCCGCTTTAAATATCAGGAAAAATATTGCAAGAAGGGTACACACTCCATGCGATATTAGGAACAATATCATCCTATCTCCCTCTGAATATTAGGAACAATATTACAGTGGGGGTGTACATCCCCTGCGATATTAGAAGTAATACATCCACTTCTCTCCTGGATATTAGGAACTATATCACAGAGAAGGTGTACACCTTCTCTGATATTGGGAGTAATATCATCCTCTCCCCTCACCTCTATATTAGTAACAATATCTCAGGGGTGGGGTATGCCCTCTGCGACATTAAGCGTAATATCATCCTTTCCCCTTCTAGATATTAGGAAGAATATCACACGTGGTTGTACACCCCCTGTGCTATTGGGAGTAATATCATCCTCTCACCCCCTGGATATTAGGAACAATATCTCAGGGGGGCAGATACAACCCCTGCTATATTGGAAGTAATATTATCCTCTCCCCACGTGGATATTACAAACAGTATCACAGAGGGGTGTACACCCCCTGCGATATAGAGAATAATATCATCCTCTCCGCCTCCCCGGATATTAGCAACAATATCGTAGGTGGATATACACCCCCTGCAATATTGGGAGTAATATCATCCTCCACCCCCCACCCTCGGATATTATGAACAATATTACAATGGGAATGTACACTCCCCTCGATATTGGGAATCGTATCATACTCTCCCCTCCCTGGATATTATGAACAATATCACAGGGGATTGTACACAGCCTGAGATACTGAGAGTAATATCATCCTTTCCTCTCCCTGAATATTGCGAACTATATTACAGAATGGTGTACACCCCCTGCAATATTGAGACTAATATTACCCTCTCCCAGCCCCAGATATTATGAACAGTATCACGGGGGGTGTACAACCCCCCGCGATATTGGAAGTAATATCATTTTCTCCCCCAGTGGATATTATACACAATATCACGGGGGGATACTCCCCCTTCAATATTGGCAAAAATATCATCCACCCACCCCCTGAAAATTACAAACAATGTCACAGGGGAGTATGCAATCCCCCAGTTATTGGGATTAATAACATCCTCTCCCTCCCCAGAATATTAAGAACAATATCACAGGGGGGTGAAGACTTCCTGCAATATTGGGAGTAATATCATCCTCTACTCCCCTGGATATTAGGAACAATATCACAGGAGGGTGTAGGAACCCTGCGATGTTGGGACTAAAATCATCCTCTGCCACCCTGGACATTATGAACAATATCATAGAGGATGTACACACAGGATGTTTACGATATTGGGAGTAATATCATCTCCCCCCTGGATATAACGAACAATATCGCAGGGGGTTGTACACCCTCTGTGATATGGGGAGTAATATCACCCTCTCCCTCCCTGGATATTACAAACAATATGGCAGGGTTGTTTACATCCCCTGAGATATCGAGAGTAATATCATTTTCTCTCCCCTTGAATATTATGAACAATATCGCAGAGGGGTGTACACACCTGGCGATATGGGGAGTAACATCATCTCCTTTCCCCATAGATATTATGAACAATATCGCAGGGGTGCGTACACTTCCTTCGATATGGGGAGTAATATCTCTCTCTCCACCCCGCCCCGATATCGCAGTTGCATGTATATTCCCTGAGATATGAAGAGTAACATTATCCTCTCTTTCCCTGTATATTACGAACAATATCTCGGGGGGATGCAATATGAAGAGTAACATTATCCTCTCCCCCTTCCCCGGATATTACAGACATATCGCAGGGGAATGTACACTCTCTGCAATATGGGGATTAACATTATCCTATCCCTGTCTAAATATTACGAACAATATCGTATGGGGGTGTACACCCCTTGCATTATGGGGAGTAACATCATGCTCTCCCCTCCTGGAAATTACAAACAATATCGTAGTGGGGGGTGTACACCCTCTGGGGTATGGAGAGTAACATCATCCTCTCCCCACATGGATATTATGAACAATATCACAGGGGGATGTACACTCCCCGGGATATTGGGGGTAATATCATCCTCCTTCTCCCTGGATATTATGAACAATATCACAGGGTGGTGTACGCCTTGTGTGATATTGGGAGTAATATCATCCTCTCCCCTTATGGAAATTGCAAACAATATTGGGAGTAATATCATCCACTCCCTACTGGATATTACAAAAAATATTAAAGGGGGTGTACACCCCCTGCAATATTTGGAGTAATATTCTCATTTCTGGATATTATGAACAATATCACAGGAGGGTGTACAGGCCTTGCAATATTGGGAGTAATATCATCCTCTCCTTCCCTGAAAATTACGAACAATATCACAGGGGGGTGTATACCTTCTGCGATACTGGGAGTTGTATCTTCCTCTCCCACCCGCTGCTTTTGTATTTTATAGGGGCAGGATTTTTTTGTAGGGGCAGCCAATCAACCCTGAGCTGAAATTGTACAATGATTGTGAATATGATGAAGAACAAAATGCAGATCTTACAGGTGTAATCTTTAAAGAGACACCTTTAAAAGGAGCAGAACAACAAAATGTTAAAAGAGAGTTAGGGATGATAACTACCTGTACTCTCTTTCAGATTCTAGAATGATGTTTGGTTCATATTAGCTAACAAAAATAAAATTAAATCTTAAAATTTTTAAAAAAGTTTGCTTTATGTAGTATTTCTTTCTCTCATTTTAGGGCTGTAGTTAATTGTTGTCTATCTTAAAGAAAACCTCAGGGGCCGGGCGCGGTGGCTCACGCCTGTAATCCCAGCACTTTGGGAGGCCGAGGCGGGTGGATCAGGAGGTCAGGAAATCAAGATCATCCTGGCTAACATGGTGAAACCCCGTCTCCACTAAAAATACAAAAAAATGAGCCAGGTGGGGTGGCGGGCGCCTGTAGTCCCAGCTACTGGGGAGGCTGAGGCAGGAGAATGCGTGAACCCGGGAGGCGGACCTTGCAGTGAGCTGAGATCACGCGACTGCACTACAGCCTGGGCGACAGAGCGAGACTCTGTCTCAAAAAGAAAAAAAAGAAAACCTCAGAAAATTCTAAAGTCAATTTACATTTATCATTAAAAAACACGTTAGTTATTACTGAGATAAATTTTCAAAATGTACATTAAATAAACAAATAATCACATTAGTGTATGTAATCTAAACCTAAAATAGGAGCCTAGATGTAGAAGACAAGAGACACTAGAACAATATTTAAAATTAGCCATCAAGGACCCAGGCACTTACAAAAATAATTAGCTGATGTGATAAGCCCTGTTTCAAAAACAAAGTCAACAAACATCTAGACCAGGAGTGCTCTGGTCTCACTAGGAGTAAATTCACAGGTCTGAATCTCTCCATTGGATAAATAAATAAATAAATAAATAAATAAATAAATAAATAAATAGAGCTTTCACTCTAAGAAATATCAAAAGCATGAAAATTTACTTTTTCTTGTTTCTCCTAATGTCTTCTACAAGTCTACACGTACAGGAGCTTAGAAGAGAGCCCGGCACATAGCGCGTGCCCAAGAAATGTTGTTTACAATTATTATATCTTCAAAATGCAAATGAATCAAAAATCTAGATTCTGCAAATGCACAGAAATTGAGAGGCCAGAGAGAGAAAGGAGTGGGTAAGCATTTAATTATATAGTTAGCTCGATGAACACTGTTAACTTTCTCTCTCAAAAAGTCAGATGGAATCTATAAAGTAGCTTGACATACAGAAATCCAAGATTTGATACTTTTTGTTCTTCTCTCCAACTATAACTATTTAAATAAATGAAATAGAATAAATATCATCATAGATCACCAACAAATTTTTGTATTTTTTGTTGTTAATGAGGAAAACTTCCCTTGGGATAAACCATTATTTGAAACAGAAAGAACTTGAATTCCACCACAGGTTAGGAGATGAAAATTATTTGCATTGTATGTGGGTTGCTAAGAAGGAAGCATCAAATTAAATTTTCTACCAAATTCATATTTGCTGGGTTAGTTCCTTTTCTCTCCTATGGTGGCTATAAAATCCATGCTAATTACCCATCAACCTCACAGGGATGAAGCCAGGAGTAAATGGCAAGGAAGCAGCTGGAAACCTCTGAGTACTGCATATAAATGGGGACAGGAGATTACCCCCACTTGATCTGGCAAGACTGGGCCAAAGCCCTGGGCCAAACCCTTGCATCCCCAAGAGACTGCCAACAGGAGCACCAGCTGCACTTTAAAGCAGAAAGTCTAGAACAAGAGCCCTCTGGGAGCAGACAAAGTGTGTAACCGCAAAAAGTAATATTCAGCCTACCAGGGAGTAGCCGTTTCCCAGGATCAACAGAAGGCTAAGAGGTTCCAAATTTCTTGTGAAAGCAGGTAATTTAGCCACAGATTTTTGTCTATCATGGTATTCTTTGACGTTTTTTCTTCCAACATTAGCAGTCACAAATAACATATTGAATGCTTATTATGTAATTGTCATTCTTCATTCATCGTCTGATTTAATTCTCATAACAATTCTGTGAGATAGTTGTTTTTATTATTCCTTGTTTATAGAAGTAATGGAGACTGGAGAGATTAAGTAACTTGCCCAGGGACTTGTAAGGTGGAAAGCAAACTGCAGACATAGAATTATCTCAAGAATTTTCTTTCATAATCATGATGGTTCCAAGATTTTCCATGACTTTCATTTAATTCCCAAATATTTCATTATTATCTTCTTGCCTTTCTTTCTTAGTTACTATCTGCTCTCTGACTACTACAAGGATAGAGCACATATGCGTGTGTGCATGCACACACACACACACCATGCAACTATTAACCAGTTCCAACCTTGGGCTGTGTTAATGCCAGGGAAGCACCCTAAGGGGGCAGTAATTTCCTGTCTCAACTTAGAAAGATGTGAGCCATGGTTCTCTCTATTCAATATGCATAACCTAAAGAGAAATTTCAGAATGTGCCCACTGGGAAAGGAAAGACTTTTTGAGTTTACTCTGAAGGCCTTGGCAAAAATCCAAATATTTGAATTTATTTTGTTTCTCTTCTGAGACTGTGAAATGCTTTTAAGTGTCTGCTAAATTTTGCTCTAATATATAGCAGTAGGGAGGTGCTTCATCTCCCTGGAGTCACTGGAAAAGCTCACAGAAGCGAGTTTAAGAAACAAACCTGAAAAGTGGTACAAGTCAAGCCTGTCTCTCCTCAGAGGCATCTGCAGGCTGTAAAGTGTGCTGACAGGAAATTCAGCTACCCACACGACTTTACAGCAGCTACTCAAACCAGTTTTACATTTATCCTGTGACCAGAGAGGAAGAGGAAAGTAAAAAACATTAAATGTCCTTTGCTTGGCCTCTCATACTGTTTCAAAGCATGAATGCTTGTAAAGTTGTTTAGATATCAAAGCAGACAATATGTGCTGGGTTTTATCTTGAAGGAAAAAAGAAAAATAATGTTTTGGGAATAGAGAATCTTCCAACAAATATATCTCCCATTAATGGTTTTAACTCTGGAGAAATGTTAGTCCTTATAGGATCATCAAATAATCATAAAGTGAAAATACATACTTAGATGAACAAAGACTGAAATTCATCTGTTTCACTTTTTTTAAACAAAGGGCTCCTAACAGTTCTCAGTCAGCTGTTACAATGTTTAATCATAATTTGGGCAAAAATAAAAATCTCCCTTTCTAAATGAATTCTTCTCTTGCTTCATATTAAGCCCACTACTTGTCTTTCAATCCCAGTGGAGATAGATGATAATTGGACACAATCTTTTTCACAATTCCCTTTCAATAGCTTGAAAACAGTTATGAATCTTCATCTTAATTTTTTAAACCCTCAGTATATTGACTCTCTTATAATTCATTGTCAAAATGTCCATTACTATATTTCCTCTTGATTCTCTCACTTCTCTAGAAATATACTAAAACACAAAGACCAATATTAGAGCAATTTCCTAATAAAAGTTTGAATACAAATAAATATCCTATAATACTTGTTTCTAGCTCTCTAATATCAACTACTTCTAATAGCTTTTAAAAGTAAACACTGTTAATCACTTATTGATTTTGAATTTATGATTCTGGTAAAGTGACTTACTTGTTCTACCTAGTTTGGGATAGTTTCTTTGGACATTTTATATCAGGATAAATTAAAAATATCTGTTATATGAAATTATACTGCTCCCTAAAGGTTAATATCAAATTGACTAAATATCTCTTCAATTTATGACATGACACATGGAATTTTACACATTTTCCCCAAGGTATTAGGAACTTAACCAAAATAGTGTCATCAATAATTGGATAGGAACAACATCAATTCAATCATCTGGAGAATTATAAAAGCTCAGATGAGGAAGAGCCCTTTAGAGGCAACCTAGTACAAACTTCCCACTCTGAAATGAAAATGAAAGAACAACAGATGAAATATCTTGATCAGCTCTTAGTGATCCAGGCCTGATCCCCAGGCTCGGTTCTTCCCATGTAGTATCCCTTCCGCTCTGTTCCACAGCCAATTCTCATTCAGAACACCAGAAAAATATGCTGTTATGGTTTGTTCTATGTTATTTTTCCTGCTTTTCAGCCACAGAAACACCTTTGTCCTTTCCCTGACTCTCTTTCTTCACCTAGGTAACCACTGTCCATTAATTAATTCAGCAAATATCCATTGAGTTACTCAATGAATTCCAAGAGTATTGCCAAACCAAAGAGTAATACAATAAATTGATGCAAGTGTAATAAAAATATATGCTAAGGAGTTCTCAGACCCTTTTACCCTTTTCACACAGGGCTAAGTTCACAGGCCTGAAAATCAAGATGTCCAAGGTAGGGATAGGTAAAGCAAGAAAAGACTGGAGATACTGTCTAAGGAAGAGGGCTGTTACTGAGGATAAGTGGATTAAAAAGCCTGGATTAAAATATGTCAAATAAGAGAACTGTAGAGCTTGGTTATGTGGCATCAAAGAGAAGTCTAGTCCATTTAACAGTTCCTGATTGTTTCTGGATTAAAAAAAGGAAATTTTGTTTCTTAATTTCCTTTCTATTATCTATGTCACATCTTAGGCTAATTAATGCAAAACAATATAACTAAGTTATACAACTTATGAAATAGATGCATGTCACACCTAAGGAATTATCCATAAGATATATAAGCTTTGATCCACCAAGAAACTATTCATTCAATGACTATGTATTTTGTATCTATACAAAATTTTCTGTTCTTTCTAGTACCAAATGTGATCATTATAATAATTCTGTTACTTTTATTACATTCATCAGTCACATGTGACATTCCTGACTATAGAGTTCTTTCTACAAGTGTAATTTACTAATATCTACTAACAATCTCACTAAAAACAGCAGTTGTTCAAGGAAAACATTGCCCTTTATAATACATGTACAGACATCTAGGAATACATCAGACATGTGCATGTTCAAGTATGTATTACAAATAAGTCATGGGGTCATGAAACTTGGCAAGGTGATTTATTTTTATTTATAATGCTATGTAGAAGACATATTTCTAATTGTTGTCACAACTTGAAATATGTACTTCTTATTTTTGTGTTATCACATAGTTTATCAATTACTATCAAGCACAGGATATCTTGAACCTTTCATATATTATTGAAATATTTTCCTAGTTGCAAACACTGTGTGTATTGGAAACAGCATGGGGCAAACTGCCGCTTTTAAACCATCAGATCTCATGAGAACTCACTTACTATCATGAGAACAGCATAGGGGAAATTGTCCCCATGATCCAGTCACCTCCCACCAGATCCCTCCCCCAACACATGGAGATTACAATTCCAGATGAAATTTGGGTGGGAACACAGAGCCAAACCATATCAGTGTGCTAAAAATAGATGATGACATCCATGTAAGACACCTTCATTTTCAGTTCATCTCTCTTCAAATAATTTGTCACCCTTTATAACATGTGAACAACTAGATTGAATACTGAGAGAGAATATACAAAGGAGGCTTTACTCTGTACCTCACTATTATTATAGCTTGATTCAATGTAGAATTTTCTACAAACAAAACCCTAGAATTAGAGAGACAGTGAATTTCCAAATCATCGTGTCATTGTCCAGAGCCACTACCGAGGCACCAGAATAGGAAGTGAGTGGTTCTGATCCCTGAAGCATGATTAATGATCCTGATGTCACTGGCTATCTTTCAGCATGCAGTGGCCACATACTGCAACGCAGAGGCTATAAAAAGTGCTCTGCAGATATGCATTACCTCAGTTCATCCTTCCACAGACCCTGAAATGCAAGTAAAATGTAAGGCTGAAATTGGCAGATTAGTTCCATGCCTGTATAGTAATCTCAGCACCGGCTTGAGACACAGGCTACTCTGAAAACAATCTATGCTAACCTCAGGCCCAGCTCTCTCTTTTGGTAGTGAGTATAATGAAGTAACAGGAGCTCTTGAAAAGTTCATTCTTCAGAAAAATGACTTTCATTGCCTATGTGCTTGTCACTATGTTAAGTGTAACACATAATTTTTTTTACTTACTTTTACAATGATCCCATTAAGAATTGAATTCTTATTAACATTTTACAGATAATGAATAAGAGTCAAAAAGTAAAATAACTTTAATAAGGACAAATGTAAGAGCCAAGATTCAAGCCCCAGTCTGTCTGTGTTTCTGTGTTTTTTTCCATAGCATCACAATGCTACAAATAAAAGGTTTAATGCTGTGAAATAGTATTTGTTTTCAAAACTGCAATATAAAAAATAAGTGTTTTAATTTTTTGCAAAGTTATATAATAGTAGTATTTTTTGGAATTGTATGTGTACCCAAAACATTTTTTTTCTTTTTGAGAGCATGCCACTCAAATAAGAAACTATTCCATCTCAGTTAACTTATGTGGGAAAAATAAAAAACACACATTTCAATGAAATGATGAAAGGAAAAAGAGAGTAGTGTTTTTAATTTATGAAGACATGAGTACTACCAATTGTTTAGTTATCAACCTAAACAATTCTGGAAAATAGAATTTATGAAGTTTACTTTCCCTTAAAACAAAAATAAACGGTCAAGTAAATAGATGTAATATAGGGGAGTTAGTATCCTTCCCCTACCCTCCCTGTAGAATCATACACATTAACACATCTTTACTCATTGTGAACCCTTTTCAGAGACAAAAAAGACACAGAAATCTGAACCAAGAGGCAGGCCTGTATTGAGATAAATGTCATGTCAACTGATCTGAAACTACTGGAAACACTAGCTTAGGAGAATGTGAATAAAATGGTAAACATTCCACTGAAATAATCATAAAATTTATAAATCAATATACATTAAGAACATAATAACTTACATAAAACCAAAGTGAAAAAAAAAAAACACAGAGAGGCTGCTTAGTTAATCATCGCATTATTTTTCCTGAGTATTGACATCGTACCCAGAATAAGGTAAACTTTAAAACCACATACAAAGAACATGACCTGGATCTTCAATCCTTTTACAATCTAATCTCCAGGCTTTCAACACAAGGATATCAAAATATATGATCACAAAATATTTAGTTTAATTCCTTCAATGCACTCAGTGTGGGTACTGTATTAGTCTGCATGGCCTGCCATAACATAATAGCACAGACTGGGTGGTTTAAACAACAGAAATTTTTCTCATAGTTCTGGAGGTTAGAAGTCCAAGATCAAGGGACCCTCAGAAGTGGTTTCTGGTGTGGCTTCTCTTCCTGGTTTGTAGACAGCCACCATGTCAGGGAGGGAGCCCTCTGATATCCCTTCTTCTTTTTATAAGTACATCAGTCCTGTTGGATGAGGACTCCACCCATATAAGCTTATTCAACGTGAATTTTTTCCTTAAAAACCCTATCTCCAACTACAGTCACATTTTAGGTTAGGGCTTCAACCTATGAATTTTGAAGACACAGTTCTGTCCTTGACGGGCATCCAATTCCATGTGAACAAGAAATTTCAGTTATATAAAATAATACTCGCCAGATTATTTAGTCAAAATACAGCAAGGAGCCAAAGAGGTTTTGGGGGAGTCTAAAAATACTAAGCACAGTGCATTGAACTAGTCAGGTAAATGTCAGTATTAATTGCCTTGACATATAGTATAATATACTAAAATAATTGTTCCTAAGAGTACTTTTGAGGTACACCTACACCCTCAGGGACAGAACATTTAATGAAAAGTTCAATAATTACTTCTGGTCAACTTATCAACCATGATTATTCACAGAAAGCAACTTTTGATCTCTCTGACCCCTGCACTGGTTAAAGTTGTAGCTCACCCAAAATTGTGTGCACCACCATTCTGCTATGGATCAGAAACCATGTACATATAACAAGCCTGAGTTCTCAGTGAGGTGACTTTAAGACTGTTGTAGGCACTGACTCCATGTAAAGCCTGAAAAGATAATATCTGACTGTTGTGTCTTTATTTTGCTTCTTTAGAATATTTTCTTTATCATAATAAAAGCCCTACCATGAAAACAATAACATTTGTATAATAAAAAATGTGTTTCCTGAAGCATTAAGAACAAATCCATGGACAGCCAAATAACCCATCACAACTCTCACTAATGTGAGTAACTGTGGAAAACAATCCCAAAGAGAAAAAAAGTTTTAGTTCATGTTGCTTTTCCAAAATTGATACTCCAAACCACTTGAGCATCACTGGTGCTTTAAGCATGTCTTTTCATTTCACTTGAACATTTAGAATATTCCAAACATTGTTATAATTAGTTTTTAAAATGAGACCAGGAATTAATTAGAAATTTAATCATTATTTCAAGATAGCTTAGTTATTATTTTTTTACCTTTTAGGTAATGCTTATAATTAACTTTTTCTGCTTCCCTTTCATGAAATATTTTATAAGTTAGCAGGACATTTTTTAAAAACAGACTTCTGTTCTAATATTACTATGCTAAACTAATTACAATATGAATTTATTTCATAATTATTTACCATTTTTATTCATCCTCAGGGTACTGAATTATAATTAATTCCACTTCTCTTTCTCTAATAGATTTATGTGTATTATCATATATATTAAATTTTCAGTTCTGTATTTTTTTCATTTTATTGCTTTGCACACTGACAATGTGCACTTCATTAAAAACATGTAATCCCTTAGCTGCGATCAAGGCATAATCGCAAATCTTTATAAGATAATAACATGTATGTTCACATTTTATTACAAGAGCCCCCTATTCTACTTGAAAATTCTGGCGTTCCTATCTTCTTAAACTGTAATATGAGAATAGGATTTAAGAATCTCATGCAAAACTAATAATAAGCACATTTGTCCATTTTTTCACCTCCTGCTAGTTCTGTTACTCTATTTATTTTTGTCAATGTGATATTTAGACTAATTTAAATAATTAACACAATATACGGAAGGACTCCAATTTTTTTTCTCCAAAAGTGATGAACATTTTGTGATAGATAAAGCAATAACAATCTGCTGTTAAGTTAGGTTCTTTGACCCAGTCCAACTTTCCAGAAGATGTTTTAATACAAATAAGTCAAGACACAAGTTTAGACTTGAGAAATTCAAAGTGCAAAATTCAGTGCAGGAATGAATAGTTGGACAGTTAAGTCCTTTTCTCAGGTAATAAATACTTCACAATTGCTATTATCCTCTCCTTTGTCCCTCACAAATTTTGATAACATTCTCCTAATTTGTCCAGACACACAGTCCCTTTGGGAGCTCTCAGGATAGCAGTACCATACAAATTTGACAGGTTTTTGTTTTGTTTTATTTTGTTTTGTTTTGTATCAGCATGGCAGGGGGTTGGGAGATGGTGGTGATGGTGAGCAAGGGGTATCAGATGGTGAGGGAGGTGGTGAGGGAGGGAGGTGGTGGTGAGGGAGGGTTGGTGAGGGTGGGATATGGTGGTGGTGGTGAGGGAGGGGTATCAGAGGTTATAGAGGACAACTAACTAAAAGCATTCTGCCAAAGTTTGCTGGAATTTGCAGTGAAAAGTAATCTTTGTGTAGTCAGGTCACACATAAACTGCTTAGGACCATAATCCAAAAAATAAGACCAGGAAAATAAATTGGATTTGTAAAGTTGTACTTTCTGCCAAGTAAGTGATAACTAGGTTTGCTAAAAATTATTTTCTCCTGTTTAGAGCCTGTTCTGCTCTGTTTGCACAGATTAACTTCTTTACCCAAACCTAAGTCCAAAGGTAAACTAAAGAGTAAAAATACTCAAAATAGTCAACAACTCAATATTTCTGAGATTTTTAAAAAACAACCCCTGAAAGGTAAACTTCCTCAAGTTTAGAACACTTTTGCTTTCTTCAATGTTCTTGTAATCTAAAATGAGACTTTTGGGTAGGCACTTCCTCCTATCTTCTTACACTCTTGACTGTCAACCCTCTTACTGTCTCAGTTCTTTCCCACTCTTTCTCTGTCCTTCTTGTACATTTGATGTATAAAGTTTCTTGTTCCTGCTAAATCTATTAAATTAGGACACTAAACTCTTTGGGTCTTGAACTATCCAATTCTTTTGAGCTTCATGAAGGCAGAGGTCTTATCTGTTGCTTGTACCAACATCATTTCCAGAATGTAGCAGTAATATAAATAAAAATGTAATGGTCCTACAATCTCAACTATAACTTAGCTTCTACATATAAACATAGAGGGTCCAGTTTTGCAAAGCACTTACAGAAGCTTAGATAGCATTCTCTCTGGGACATCTCGCCTGAAAGTTCAATATATATTTGTCAAATGCATGAAAAAAAATACAGTAGCTCCTATTGTATGGTGACAATGCCTCCAGCAAAACAGTACAAGAACTATGCGGTGGAAATGAGATTATATCTAGAACTGGGTCTGCATCCCTACTTTGCCGAAGAACCCAAAGTTAGAACCTGTGATAGGGAGAATAATGGCCCCCTAAAGATATTCACACTCTATTACCCAGACTTTACAATATATTACTTTGCATAGCGAAGGGGACTTTTTAGATGTAATTAAGATTAAGGTCCTTGAGATGGAGAAATTAGCCTAGATTATCCAGTGGGGGGAATCTATGCAAAATCCGTAAGAGAGGAAGGAGAACCTTTAGTTTCTTTTTGTTGTTGTTGTTTTTGCTTATTTTTTATTTTTTTTAAAATTATACTTTAAGTTCTGGGGTACATGTGCAGAACAAGCAGGTTTGTTACATAGGTATACACGTGCCATGGTGGTTTGCTGTACCCATCAACCCATAATCTACATTAGGTATACTTTCACAAAGAAATTCAACAACAGAAAGAGGATCAGAAAAATGCTACACTAATGGCTTGAAAATGGAAAAAGGGGGTCTTAAGGCAAGGAATTTGGATAGGCTCTGCAAGCTAGAAGACAGGAAAGAGGAGTCTCGCCCAGCATCTCAAGAAAAGGAATACAGCCCTGCCGACACCTTAAATGTAAGATAGTAAATCTGTATTGTTTTAGGCCACTACATGTGAGATAATTTGTTATGGCAGCAACAGGAAATTAACACCATTCCTGAGGCTGCCTTCCCAAAGGCTGCATTCCTAGATGCATCTGGTGTTTCTTATAATAAATTCAAATGTTTTCTTAATAAAACAACCAAAATAACCACATCAATATAGGTACTGATTCTTAATTTTGATAAACTTCTCAGCATATTAAGCAACAAATTCAAATACTGACTGAAGATTTCCCCTCACAAATAAGATATCTTTACCTATATCTTTTTATTCTACTTACTTTGGAGGGAGATTTATTAAGCCTAAAAAAATTAAATTATTTAAGCTTGCTCAGAGATTTAATAGAATGCAAATTATATTGATACATCTTTCTTCTATCAACATGTTATTTCTGTTTAGTATGAATAATATATGTTACTAATAAACATAAGAAGTACAACTTTTCTATTACATTTCAAATTAAAATTCTCCAGTTTCTCCTTACCTCCGCTGAATGCTGAGGGTGTGCTGAGAGAGTGTCAATGTGGTGTGCAATCTTATCCTTACTCTTATGAAAGCTCGGTACTATTATGTCAAATTTATGATTAGCCTATAAAAGGGATTGCTTCATTGTCCTACTAATATCAAGGGTCCAGAAGATATTCTAATATTTTGTTTCATGACAAAAATATATCATAAAAGTTTTTCCAAGTAATTACCTCCTTCTAATAACTGTTACATAAGAAAAACCTGAGCCAGTTATTTCAAATTCAGTTCAGTCCTTTAATTTGATTTGAATGGAATAATTGTGTAACACACGATACCCAGTAGAAGAGTCATGTGTTACACAATATTTTCTTCAAATCAAATTAAAGAACATTTCCACTGAAGGAGTTTCATGGACAACATCAAGATACCTGAATGCTGGCTTTCATCATCAAGTGAAAACATTTCCTTAAAATACCCACTCAATGAATACAGAGGCAAATTCTTTTTTTTGTGTTTCCTCATATTTGTTACATCATGAAAAACAATTCACAAGTTCTTAAGTCTATAAAACATGACTATTCAGAAAAACTGGGATGTTGGGCGGATCTCCTTATCCCACTTCATTTGAAGGATCATGAAGCTACCACAGGAGGTGAGGCTGCCATAGAAAGGTGAGGATAGGGCACAAGGGAAAAAAAAGTCACAGTTTGGGGGAAGAAAAAAAGCCTTCCCTCAAACAACACAATACCCAACTCTCCCTCAGAGATAGGAGGGAGAGTAAATCGGACTGAGAGGATCTAAACTTTAGACCTCAGGAGCATTTGGATTAGGAGAAGGGTTGAGATCCAAAATTGGAAATGTGGGTAGTAAAGGAAAATCTGTATAATGAATACTGAGACCCTCAGCCCCCATCCCTTGTCTTCCTTCCAAAAAGGATGTGCTGTCTTACGCTCTTTAAGCAGGGGCCTCAGGGACTTCCAGGGTAAAAAATCCTACAGATTTTGATACTGTAGGTTACCACAGTAAAAATGCCAGCTTGTCAGATGCAATCGCCTCATGGCTAAACTCACTTGTCAAAAGGACCTGATTCTCCATAACCAACCAATATTTTTTTAATTATTTTTAGAGACAGAGTCTGGCTTTGTCAATCAAGCTGGAATGCAGTGGCACAATCAAGGCTCACTGCAGCCTCAACCTCCTGGGCTCAAGCGATTATCCTGCCTCAGCCTCCTGAGTAGCTGGGTGTATAGGCATGCACCACCACACCCAGCTAATTCTTTTTATTTTTTGTAGAGACAGTGTCTGGCTATATTTCCCAGGCTGATCTTAAACTCCTGGCCTCAAGCAATCCTTCTGGGGCCTTGGCCTCCCAAAGTTCTGGGATTACAGGCATGAGCCACAATGCCCAGCCCCAACCAATATTTTGAGGAACAAAGAGCAAGGGTCATTAGAGCTTTGTGAAAATATTCCAAAATAAAAAGAGCCCCAAACAAAAAATTTTTAGTAGCGGCTACCTATGAAGATTTAGAAGGGGAAAAGGAAAAAGAGACTTATTTTACCCCTTAATATGCAGTTCTGTATGCTTTGGATATAGTTTCAAGAAGCATATGTTAATTTAGTTTAAAAATTAAGATGCATACAACTGGCTAAAATAAATCTGTTTTTGCTTTCTTGTCTGGTGACTATAATGGCAGAGAAGAGCCAGTCAAGCTTCAGGTAGGAAATTCTCTCCGCACTTCTAGAGCTAGGTACTGTGTACTCTCTAGCATCTGTCAGAATCCGGGGTCTCACAGAAATCCACTGACTCCAAAACCACCACCACTTAGTCCCTCAGCAATTTCATAACACACTAATTAGTATACTGTATTTTCTTTCTTTGTGCAGCAGATGGTATTCAAAGACAGTTTGCAAGCCTTCTGCCTTCCAGAAAGAATTGATTCAGCTTAATTGGCTTCATGAATTGGTTATCAAGGGACAAGATGAAGACAAAAATGATATTATGACTAGACTTTCCAGTTGGTGAATATAGAGTAATCAAATTATTCCAAGCAGTCATATAAGATTTTCCTGCATGCACATGGAACATTCCACAGTAGAATAGCCAGATTAACCATCCCTGTGGGAACAGACAGTCCAGACTCAATTTATTATGACTCTGAGTTGATTTTTACTAACAACATTAGTGTTATAAAACAAATCATCAAACGCTGAAATATTATACTAATTCAATGAGCTCTTTAAACCAATTTACAATTGGCATGTCAAATTGTATATTTATCAGTTAAAAATAAGCATGTATTTTCCTAATTTTATATATTTTGCATACTAACAATTTGACTTTTATATTTCTCTATTAGTGAGGGTAGGCCAATTGCTGTAATAAACAAATCCAAATTATATAATAGCTCAAGGATAAAATAATTTTTTCTTACTCAAAGTTCAAAGCAGGTAGATGAGCAGCTCTCTCTGAAGAGAGATTCAAGTATCAGCATCCTTCCTTCTGGTGGCTACACAATCTGTAATGTGCAGCTTCCAGAGTCACAGGGCTTGTGTGCAACATGCTGCAAAAGAGGAAAGGGCCTGGCATGTCTTGCATACGTATGCTGTCTATATAATTTGTCTAAACTGGGCTACTTTAGGGAGTGAAAGGGCCACTAATTCGGCTTGACGAAGTATAACCTGTAACTGTCCTAGGCACAGTAAGATGACTACAACCCTATGCATGGTAGGTTTTATGAATCAGGCCCTGGAGCAGTGTACAGCATTCCTTTTCAAATCTTAATTCATCATATGGTCATGCCCAACTACAAGGTAGACTGAAAAACATGGACTTGACATGTCATCAGCAAGAGAGGAATGTAAATTTGATCAAAGCTAGTCAGCCAGCCTGTCTCTGATACTCTTATTTTTGCCACAATGAATTACTCTACTTCCATAGCTAATAGTCTACCTAAAAGGACTCACTCATTCAATAATGAGACAAAACCCCTATTCTCATGAAGTTTATATTCTAGTGTGGAAGACAGTGACAAACCAACATGTAGAGTACAATGTCCAGTAGTTATAAATTCCATGAAGCAAAAAACATGTTGAGAAGTAGGTGCTTTTGAGATCAAATACTCAGGGAGAGAGCCTCACTGTAATGTAGAACAGAAGTCGGATACGTTTTAGATAAAATCATCAGGGAGAGCCTCACTGTAATGTGGGTCAGGGACTTGAATAAACTATGAGAGGGAGCTACTTGAGTATTTGTAGGAAGAGCTTTCCAAGCAGAGAGATTAAAATATATTTTTATAAAAGTACCAAATTAGTCAAAACATTTTCTCTTGTATTTTAGATAACTATAATACATAGTGAATTATGACTCACTATTGTGTCATATATTCAAGATATTGTTAACACAAAATCATACTTCATTTTTTAGTCTCCCTGAGAAATTATAACTAAAATTTTTCATACAATTGTCTTTATTTTTAAGCACAAAATTATTTTATTTTAAACCCTTATAGTAGAAAGTCATTACAATATGCATTTAAAACAACTGACAACACTTTAACCTCTTCATTACTTTTAGTTGTGAGTATCAGAAATCCAACTCAAATTAGGTCACGCAAATGCAGGGACTATATTGGCTCACTGGACTATATGAAATCTTGACTCAGGAACTTATTATCTCTATCATCAAGATTCTTTCTCCATTCTTATCTTCATTCCTCTCTGCATTATCTTTTATCTCTTACTTCAGATGGCATCCTCCATTTCTGTGGAGGAAGTGATTGGCTTATATTATCAGTAATTCAGTTATTTTTCAGTTTCCAGATTATATCATCCTACTACAGCAATCCTAAAGAAACTAAAGGACTTCTCACTCTTTTGTATATAACACAAAGAAGTGTTCTGACTGACTTTACTGAGTCACATGCCCACTTCTTGTACTAATCACCATGGCTAGGGGGTGAGAGTTCCATTGGTTAGAGTGGCTGAAATCTAGTTTCCCAAAATAAGATGAGTACTGTTAACAGAAGAAGGGAGGAAGTATTACTGGACAGACAAAAACAATCATTATTACAAATGCTGTCCATTCAATGAAAAGTATTGAGTATTACATACTATGTGGCATAGACATCAGAATAAGAATCAGGTGGACTTGGGAATGAACACTGGTGCAGAGATTACTATTAATAGTTGTGTGACTTTGGGCATGTTGGTAAATGTCTTTAAGCTTAGATTCTTCATCTATTAAATTTTAATAACAATAGGACCTATCCCTTAGTTGTACAAATTAAGGGAGCATTTAGAAAGTGCTCAAATAATAACTGCTCTTACTTTAATTTCACGTTTTTCAATGAATTCTCACAACAGTCCCATGAAACAGGTAGTAATAGCGCTAATTACAGATGAAGAAAATGAAACTCAGGAGAAGTTCAATTACTTTACCCAAAGTCACATAGCTGGTAAGTGGCATATCTAGGATAGATAGGGTTCAAATTCCATGTCTGCAGGATTCCAAAGACCATATTCCTTCCACCATACTACATTGCCTTAACCATTACATAATTCTTTGTAGTAAACTTAAGAGACTATTGAAGTACATAGAGTTATTTTCCCCTAAATTAAATGGTATGTTCCCTACCCCCATGCTTTCATCCTAGTAATCTGTCATTTCTTTCTACTGCCTGTGAGCCTGTGATCATGGAAAAAATGACATGGTTAAACAGAGAAAAACAGCTCACTGTAGACAAGTGATATCAGAAATTCTGCAATTGGAGAGTATTTTATTTGCTTCAATTTTTAATTGCTACAAATGTGCAATGTTCTAATAAGACAGCTATTACTATGGAAAGCCAAAGTTTGGAGACCTGAACTCAAAGCCCTGTTTTAGTATCTGAGTCTCAGTTTCATCATTCGTAAAAACTGAAAAGCCACCTACCTTACAGAATTGAGGTGGTGATTAAATGATTCATGGAATGTGGAAGTGTTATGTAAAGTATAAAATGCTAAATAAATATAAGGCATATTATTGATAATAAGCTTAAGAATAAAACATTGGTGAACAGTGAATGTTGCTGCCTGATCGTTCCTCTGGAAGTTTTGTCTCAGAGGGGTGCCTGGCCTTGTGAGAGGTCAGTCTGCCCCTACTGGGGGGTACCTCTCAGTTAGGCTACTCGGGGGTCAGGGACCCACTTGAGGAGGCAGTCTGTCCGTTCTCAGATCTCAAGCTGCGTGCTGGGAGAACCACTACTCTCTTCAAAGCTGTCACACAGGGACAGTTAAGTCTGCAGAGTTTTCTGCTGCCTTTTGTTTGGCTATGCCCTGCCCCCAGAGGTGGAGTCTACAGAGGCAGGCAGGTCTCCTTGAGCTGCAGTGGGCTCCACCCTGTTGGAGCTTCCCAGCTGCTTTGTTTACCTACTCAATCCTCCTCGGCAATGGCAGGTGCCCCTCCCCCAGCCTCCTTGCTGCCTTGCAGTTTGATCTCAGACTGCTGTGCTAACAATGAGCAAGGCTCTGTGGGCGTAGGACCCTCCGAGACAGGCACGTATATAATCTCCTGTGTGCTGTTTGCTAGGACCGTTGAAAAAGCGCAGTATTAGGGTGGGAGTGACCCAATTTTCCAGGTGCCGTCTGTCACGCCTTTCTTTGATAGGAAAGGGAATTCCCTGACCCCTTGCGCTTCCTGGTTGAGGCTATGCCTTGCTCTGCTTCAGCTCACACTCAGTGCGCTGCACCCACTGTCCTGCGCCTACTGTCCGACTCTCCCCAGAGAGATGAACTCGGTACCTCAGTTGGAAATGCAGAAATCACCCATCTTCTGCATTGCTCACCCTGGGAGCTGTAGACTGGAGCTGTTCGTATTTGGCAATTAATTCAAGATGGATTAAAGACTTAAATGTTAGACCTAAAACCATAAAAACCCTAGAAGAAAACCTAAGCAATACCATTCAGGACATAGGCATGGGCAAGGACTTCATGTCTAAAATACCAAAAGCAATGGAAACAAAAGCCAAAATTGACAAATGGGATCTAATTAAACTAAAGAGCTTCTGCACAGCAAAAGAAACTACCATCAGAGTGAACAGGCAATCTACAGAATGGGAGAAAATTTTTGCAATCTACTCATCTGACAAAGAGCTAATATCCAGAATCTACAATGAACTCCAACAAATTTACAAGAAAAAAACAAACAACCCCATCAAAAAGTGGGCAAAGGATATGAACAGACACTTCTCAAAAGAAGACATTTATGCAGCCAACAGACACATGAAAAAATGCTCATCATCACTGGCCATCAGAGAAATGCAAATCAAAACCACAATGAGATACCATCTCACACCAGTTAGAATGGCGATCATTAAAAAGTCAGGAAACAACAGGTGCTGGAGAGGATGTGGAGAAATGGGAGCACTTTTACACCATTGGTGGGACTGTAAACTAGTTCAACCATTGTGGAAGTCAGTGTGGCGATTCCTCAGGGATCTAGAACTAGAAATACCATTTGACCCAGCCATCCCATTACTGGGTATATACCCAAAGGATTATAAATCATGCTGCTATAAAGACACATGCATACATATGTTTATTGCGGCACTATTCACAATAGCAAAGACTTGCAACCAATCCAAATGTCCAACAATGATAGACTAGATTAAGAAAATGTGGCACATATACACCATGGAATACTATGCAGCCATAAAAAAGGATGAGTTCATGTCCTTTGTAGGGACATGGATGAAGCTGGAAACCATCATTCTCAGCAAACTATCACAAGGACATAAAACCAAACACCACATGTTCTCACTCATAGGTGGGAATTGAACAATGAGAACACATGGACACAAGAAGGGGAACATCACATACCAGGGCCTGTTGTGGGGTGGGGAGAAGGGGGATGGATAGCATTAGGAGATATACCTAATGCTAAATGACGAGTTAGTGGGTGCAACATACCAACATGGCCCATGTATACATATGTAACAAACCTGCACGTTGTGCACATATACCCTAAAACTTAAAATATAATAAAAAAATTTTTTTAATAATAAAAAAAAGAATAAAACATTTTATCAGATTCTTAAACTTTAGTATAAGCCTGTTTTAGATACTGTCCCAAGAGTTGCATTTGAAAAAAGAAAAAGCCTGGACACTCAAAATTTAAGTCAGAGAAAAGAAAAGCAAGCTCTGAAGTAAAGAAAATGCAAGAAAAGGGGAGCCTGAAGCCACCAGAAGACAAGTAATCTTTCAAAATTCTGCCTATGGCCTTGGCAGTGCCTACCTTCCTATATATATAAAACACAAATACTCAATTATGCAGGGTTAAGAAGGAAAGTTCTTCTCAAGCACTCTCACACAAATTTAACCAAACTACAGCTAATTTAAAAAAGTACAAGTTCAGAGGCAATTTATAGTATATATTAAAACATCCATTTCAACAGGCGAACTTTGTGCATTTGCAAATAAAGACATTAACACCAATAAATTGCTTTGGATACAGTATTGTCACTTGCATGCTATATTAATTTACTGCACTAATTAACTTACTGTCTCACACCAAATCAACATGCCCTCTCTGGGATGAACTCATATTAACATGGACTATATATGACCCACCTTAACTCTTTGATAAGTGCTCTTCAATATACAGCCAGTTATTTCTAAGAATTTTCCTGTGATACCAAAATTTTTATTATACAAACCATCATTCCAATGTGAATGATGCTAGTTTGTTTTATTTTTAGCATTTTTAATTCAAGTGCCATCAGTCCTGGATTTGAAGCCTTTCTTCATTACTTTTATTTTTTACAAATACAGAAAACAAAGACACACTAAACCTGTTTCACAGATCACAGTATTATTGTAGTAACAGAGATCTCACAGAATTGAAGAGTAAGATATACAATAGCCATCCCTCATGATGTAACAGTCTTGCCAATGCACCACAATGTAGCAGTCTTTAATTGTGAGGTATCACTCAGAGTTCTTTGTCTGATGACCAAGAGAATTAAGGAGTGTGGAATCAAAGGGTAAGGTTGGAGTGAAAGTTTAGTAAGTGAAAGAAGAAAGCTCTCTGGTACAGAGAGGGGACCCAGAAGAGGGTTGCCATTTTTACAGTTGAATGCAAAGGCTTTTATATCAAAAAAAAAAAAAAAAAATGAAGGCTGGATGTCTCATTTGCATAAGGTGTGAATTTCTGGTAGCTCCACTTTGTCCTCCCAGTGTGCACGAGGGCCCATAGCTTGAGTTACTCCATATTGCTTTGTTCCCCTTACTGCGCATGTGTTCCCCTTACTGCACTTTGTTCCCCTTACTGCACGTGTTAGGGGATGGAATTTTCCGTTGCAGAGATGTCTGGGCAAGTCACCTGTGTAGGCTTTCTTATCTATGCAGCTGTGGGCATGTCCTAGGCAAGCTCCCCTGTGCAAGTTCCCTTATCTGTGCCTGGAGCTTGAGTTTTCAGGCTGTTCTTTTGCTTGAAAGAATTCAACCAAGGATCCACCCAAACTGCCTGACTGACCAGTTTCTTTCTTTGTTCTCTCTCATTCTCCCCTTCAGGGGTAGAGACCCTAACTTCTGTTAGGTAGGTGGGGTGATGATACTACTGGAGAAAGGTGTTGTGAGGGGAACAGCAGCTAGGTTTCCTCCTGGGGCTGGTCTGGGGGTCCTTGGATAAAAGGCACGTCCATGTGTGGTTTTATTTGCATTAGCGTTTGGAGCTTGATAGCCTTTATGTGAGAAGAAACAATTTCGGTTATTAGAGGATATGTATTAAAATGAAACAAGGGTGGAGGGTAAAGACAACTCAAGGCTGCCAACACAACCAGATCGCTGGTGACTATAGTTATGTCTACCAAGATTTGAATGCATGGGGCTTGGCTTTGGTTAACTTCCTTAGTTTTATTTTTCAAACAAAGAAACCTCCAGGTTATGGGCACCCTATTTATTCCCATTAACAGGCAGGATTTGCAGGATAATTGTCCAGAACTTGAATATTGATCCAGATTTTTACATTATTCATCCCTTTTTGTTTCTTCTGAGCTGCAGCCAGAGATTGCTGGTTGGTTACAGGAATAAGCAGGGTTAGTCTAAAACGTAGGCAAGAACTTTAAAAAACTAATGAGATTAGAATTTAATGATAAGCATACGATAATTTTTCTCTCTCCAATTATCATTTTTGTTAAAAACAAATCATGATAGAACTGAGTTGTTTGTAAACTACACTTTAGTTTTATACTTGGCCTTATTATTTGCATAAAGTGCAGCAAGAATAATTATTTTTACATAAGCCTTTTAAATTGGCTTTATGGAACTCTGTTCCACAAAGAATCTCAGATAGAACTTTTTAAAGTCCAGCCCAGCCATGGGTTTGTATCCTCAAATACCTATGAGTTAGGTGAATTCCTATTTTTTTGAGGTCCCAAGAACAAAGTGTTCCTGGGCCTATTAGAAAGTGATAGTATTTACTCACCACAGATTAGCAATCCTGTACAGAGAGTGTGTAGACAAGGTATCAGGCAAGTTTTCCCAAGGGGCTTTTATTAGCTCTGCAGGCTAACCTTGATTCCTTAAAGGGAATCAACCATTTTCTCCAAATGCATCCTGTTGCAAAAGAAAATGGATTCTTATTGCACTGATGCAAACAACCATATTGCCATAAGTCAAGAATACTCAAAAAGAGTTTCCAAATTCTGGAGAAGCCAGGCAGAGAGAAACAAATAGTCCCCAAATTTTGTTCACAGGAGTATAACTTAGTCAATTATTAGAAGCTATAGCTAGCTTAAAGGAAAAGTTTCCTTGACTCTGAAAAACAAAACAAGGATAAGCAATGTTTTAAGCAAAAAATTTAGAACAATTACTTCAGTTTCCTATCAGCTCAGTCTATTTCTTTAACTCTTATTCTGCTTGATATTCATAACCACTTCAGCTTTTCGTGAGTTGTGTACATTTTTCTTTTATCAGAAAACTGCATTTGAGAGCACTTGTTAAAGTCCTACAGTTGATCATAAACCATCTTTTGAAGAGAATTAAAACAAGACAACAGTTGTCTGTAAATGACAAAATTTCCAGGGTTGTTACAGGCAAGAATATGATTGGTGAAGACATTTGGTTATTTCTGTAGTTACAATAGCTTAACATAATAAACCTAATTATCATTGACAGCATATGTTCAGACATTAGAACATTAGATATCCCATATGATTTTGGAACATATATTAATATTATTTACCGAAATAAAAACTGAAGAAGATTACACATCACTGTGGCAATCCCTTGTATCTAAACATGTTAAATAATCCTGTTTACCTCTTTTCTGGATGCTCCAGAGGCCCTCTGTCACAACCAAAAGCTAGGCATCAGGAGAGACAATTTTGAAACTGAAATTTAATTTTGGGGAGACTGTTAAATTTAGACGTATAAAAACTTGATATTATGAAATATAATTACAGATTACTATAAGTTATTTATTTTCCCAAAATGATGACTCAAAAATTTAAAAAGGCAAAATCCTTTTATTAGCCTTTACTATTACATGAAAATCCTTTTCAAGAGGGAGAAAGGCAAACTTCACCCTTGCATTAGTTTACTATTAGTGTCAACCCCAATTTTTAATGAAACCTTATAGAGAATTCTATCTAATCTTAATCAGTTTGACTGAGGTGATATTCTTACAAACCTTTCATAAACCTTTACAAATTTTGATAAAGAGCAGAATTGCATCTTAAGAAAACCTTACTGTTCTTTTATTTCAGTGCTCAATTTACAAAAATCTTATAACACCCTTTTGAATTTGGTCAATATGTCCACACACACAGTTTCCTTTGCAAGATTAATTTTTACAGTCTCTCCACAACTTGCTTGAACTTTCAGCTGTATTTTATCTAATTTAAGACAATCTTTTAACCCTAGGCAAAATTTACATTTTCATGTTTACTTATAATCTTTTACTAAAAACATATTTTACTGTTTTTACACACCTTGCATGTAAATCGAATTTCAGTAGTCTCAATTACATGTTATAATGGTAACTTCTAGCATTTTTTAACTTTAATGTAAAACCTGGTATGTTGTTTTAATTATATACTAGGTGCAGATAAGTCCTGAATCTATCCAGCATAGTTAGGGGCATGGTTAATTTCACATGTCCCATGGCTTGCCAAGTTGTAAAGCAGGCAGTTTACAACCTTGAAACATTTAGCAAGCCTAGTATCTGACATACATGATTTAGACCCCCTATTTACATTTTGACAAAATTTGCATTTTACCAATTATCTTTAAAACTATTTTTATTTCTTAAATATTAAAGTCATGTGAACTAAAAGACATTACTGCTTTTATCTTTCCTATAAAAATATTTGATTTAAGCATTTATTTTTCTTTAAGCCAATTAATTAGAGCTCTTTTTACAGATATCACACACAACACATATATAACTACATAGACAAACAGAAGAAGATCAAGTAGTTATAAGATTTTTCATATGTCAATCTCCTAATTGGATTATTGGCCTCTGGGAAGGGTCCATTAAGAGCAGGGCTTAAAAAGCATGCAGTTTCTAGGGCCTAATAAATAGGTATAGCTGGAAGACAAAAACAGATTTTTATCTATCTGCCTCTAATTCCTAGGGTTCCACAAGGAAAACAGAGGTTTCTCCCAAAATGGAATCCATGGTGCATCTTCCGTTTTTACCAAAAAGCCCCAGGCCATCAGAAATTATCTTAGGGCCTTCCATGCATGCACCAAGAGTGGCAAGACAGAGTGGAGAAAAGTAATTCAGTCAACTGAGAAAGAAACCTTTTCCAGAAAAACAAGATCCAAGAAGAGAAAAACATAAAGGTCTTTTAAATATACCTATAACTTGGATATCCACTTTTAATTAAGCTGAGTGCTCTTTAAGAAAATCCTTTTAAATTCATTGTTACCCAACTTTAGGCACACCAAAAAGTTAATATTTCTGACTTTTGAACTTTATCAAAAGTAATCTCACAGGTGAAACCAACAAGACTCCATTAGGTTATGACTAAACCTCGAGTGTACAACGTATTTTCAAAGGGGTGATAAGCAGCTTTTACAAAACCCAGAAGTTTTGGCTGGGTGTGGTGGCTCACGCCTGTAATTCCAGCACCTTGGGAGGCTGAAGCCGGCAGATCATGAGGTCTTGGCTAACATTGTGAAATCCCGTTCTCTACTAAAAATGCAAAAAAAAAATTAGCCAGGCATGGTGGTGGGTGCCTGTAGTCCCAGCTACTCAGGAAGCTGAGGCAGGAGAATGGTGTGAACCTGGGAGGCAGAGCTTGCAGTGAGCCAAGATCGCACCACTACACTCCAGCCTGGGCAACAGAATGAGACTCCATCTCAAAAAAAAAAAAAAAAAAAAAAAACCAGAAGTTTTAAAGGCAACTTAGAGAGAGAAAGATTTAAGAAAGGAAGTTAGCAGTTGTTCATGGAGGGGGAAGAGAATTAGCAAATGGTAAAAGTCACATAGCTATTAATTTGAAAGTATTCATTCCCCAAGCCAGGATTGAACCCGTGCGCCATTGTAAAATGGCAAAGGCTAAAAAAAGTACTGTGACATGGTTACAGGTCACACTCAAGTATGTAAAACAAGACGGAGGCCTGCAGCAAAGGTTGTTACTGACAACTTTACCAGGCTATCTTGAAGTGAGGGCTTACATGGAGTTCCAGACCTGCATTCCATTCCAAGGTATCCCTCTTTCTGCCTTTTTTATGTGTTTCCTCTCCCTTTCCAGGGCCTCCTCCTGGTTCCTATTATAAAAGACTGAAGTGGCTACCCTTAGGAGGTTTTCTAACGTGCCATCTGGTCCTATAGCCTGATTCTGAAGCTTGCTTCTGATGTCAGGGGCCACCTGAGTAAGCTTGTCTTTCAAGATTAGCTGTCCCTCAATTGAATTAGGAGATAAGTGTGTTTTACCAAAGCCCTCTCAGGCTTTCTAAAAAGACTGAGAGATTTTCATCTAGCTTTTTATCTATCATTGATAGCTTAGAGTAGTTAACAGGTTTGGCTCTGGTCCTTTGTAAGCCCTCTGATATACACATCTGAAAGTGTTTTCTTTTCCACTCATCTATGGGATTACTAGGCTTCCAATTAAGGTTTTCAAGGGACACTGCCTCTCTTCCTACTGGGAATGGGGATTCTGTCTCTTTCTCACCCTCTTTCCCCTTTTTGACTCTTTCTTTTTTGACTGGCTATGGGAGACATGCTGTTCATCTCCAGATTTCTCTGCTATCTGTAGGGCTGCCTCTTTCTCAGCAGCAGTTAGAATTTTAAGAGGATATGGAGAAATAGGAATGCTTTTACACTGTTGGTGGGACTGTAAACTAGTTCAACCATTGTGGAAGACAATGTGGTGAGTCCTCGAGGATCTAGAACTAGAAATACCATTTGACCCAGCCATCCCATTACTGGGCATACACCCAAAGGATTATAAATCATGCTTCTATGAAGACACATGCACACATATGTTTATTGCAGCACTATTCACAATAGCAAAGACTTGGAACCAACCCAAATGTCCATCAATGATAGACTGAATTAAGAAAATGTGGCACATATACACCATGGAATACTATGCAGCCATAAAAAAGGATGAGTTCATGTCCTTTTTAGGGACATGGATGAAGCCAGAAACCATCATTCTGAGCAAACTATTGCAAGGACAGAAAACCAAACACTGCATGTTCTCACTCATTGGTGGGAATTGAACAATGAGAACACTTGGACACAGCGTGGGGAACATCACACACTGGGGCCTGTCGTGGGGTTGGGGGAGGGAGGAGGGATAGCATTAGGAGATATACCTAATGTAAATGATGAGTTAATGGGTGCAGCACACCAACATGGCACATGTATACATATGTAACAAACTTGCATGTTGTGCACATGTACCCTAGAACATAAAGTATAATAATAATAATAATAATAATAAAAGAGTAATATAACATCATTCCAAGAGAGTTTAAATACTTGGGGTAAATCCTGGAAGGCCTCTATGTGTGAGTGAAGTTGAAGCTTGCCTAAAGAAAACTTGAAGCAAGTTTTCTTGCATCAAGCCATGGGCAGGCTTGAAGACAGGTTGTTACTTATCTAGAAAAGAGAGGAGGAGAAGGCATCACTTAGCCTCCTTCCTCCTTTCAGGGTGACCCAGGGTGTAGAAAAAGATAGAAAGGGTGTCCCCCTTCTCCTCTTTTCTCCAATCTCCTTTGGGTCCTGGCAACTGACGTAGGTGCTACCCATGGATTCAAGCATGACCTTCACCAATAGATCTGGAGAAGCTAGTCAGCATAAATAGTCATGTTCACCTGCTTGAGGCCCTAGCTCTCCGCCCTGCTGGCTTCCTGGACCCACTTGGCCCATAAGGCTCTTGAGATTCTTAGGGCCCCAGGAGAGATTGTGCAGTAGTTGAATTTGGGAAAGACCCTTTGATGGAGGGAGTGTCTTAACTCTATCCTTACATCCTCTTACTACTGCGTTGGCAAAGTTATAAGTTCCTAGAGAATGGAACCAATTGACTTCTAAACATAAGATCCCTTTCTTGCTTAGATGTCAAAGTAGCTGGATAATGAACAGGTGCCTCAAATGAATGTAAGAATTGAATGGCTGTCTTTCCTCTGATGGGGATAGCACTGAAACAAATTCTGTCTTGCTAGGGTAGCTTCCTCCCAGCTGTTGAAAGGGGAATTTTCCTGTCTACAAACAGGGCATGGAGCCTCATCACAGAGAGGGACATAAAAGAGAAAGGAATCAGGGAACTAGAGGTTTTGTGCAAAGGGCCAAAAAGGATCCCCACAGAGAAAACTCCCATCCTAGTAGGTGGCACTGTAGGGTTTGAAATGTTAGGTAAAAACTCTGACTTCAAATTCTTTTTCCAGGCAAAGGTTAGAAAGAGAGATTTGAGCCTTAATAGGTTGTCCCCATAATATGCTGCCCAGCAGAGGAAAATTAATTTGTCTCATAGAGGGATTGCTAAGATTCACTGAACAATGCTGAGCTCTTACATAGACTATAAAAAAAAAAGTGAAAGAAGGGTATTTTCTTTGGGTGAAATATTCCCCTATACAGTGCCATGAATGTCTATTATTGAGAAACAAAAAGGCCCTTGTTAGATGAAAGTTAAAGCTGAAATCCTGAAGTTACCCCATCTCTAGAAAATCGCAGAAGCAACAATTCTTTGAATTACATTCCTAGTGACTAAGGCACTTGCTGACTTTTCTTAACAGGAGTATCTCCCCAGGCTGTGAAAATACCTACAACATTGCATATAAATAAGGGATAGGAGACATAGTAGCCATGAAAAGAAGGAAGTAAATGCAATTAAAAGGTCTGAAAGTCCTCATGGCAACACCCTGAGGGGCTGTCAGGGGCTGGAGTTAGTTCAGGGAACTGCAGGCAACACCAAGGTATAGCCTTAGCCAGATGCCCTCAGTTGCCCTAGGACCTCCTTCCAACCTCACATGATGGCTAGGTCCTTCATGAAAGGAAACGGGAATGAAACAGAGTCAACATTCCCACCACATGACAGCGATGGGGAATTGACAAAGTCCTCTCCAGCAAGCCTGTCCCCTGAGTCTTGTAAGGCTGGCAGCCATGCTATTCATCTTTAATTGGCTGATAGGGACCCACTATTTTGTTTAATTTAAAAATCTGAGGGTGAGAAGCCTTGGAAATGAAAGTTAAGAGTTGGAGACCCACTCCTACTCACCCTTCTAATGTTTCCTTTCTCAGACAATACACCAAAATGTTACAGTCTTACCAATGCACCACAATGTAGCAGTCTCATTGTGAGGTATCACCCAGAGTTCTTTGTCTCATGACCTAGAGAATTAAGGAGTGTGGAAACAAGGGTGGGGTTGGAGTGAAAGTTTACTAAGTGAAAGAAGAAGGCTCTCCACTGCATATAAAGGGCCTGGAAGAGAATTACCATTTTTATGTAAGGTTTTATAAGATAATGATGGGGGCTGAGCATTTCATTTGCATAAGCTATAAATTTCTGCTAGCTCCATCCCATCCTCCTAGTGCACATGCTGACCCTTAGCTTGAGTTACTTCATATTGCTTTCTTCTCCTTACTGCACCTGTGTTAGGGGATGGAATTTTCCATTGTGGGCATGTCTTGGCAAGTCACCTGTGTAGCCTTTCTTATCTGTACAGCTGTAGGCATGTCCTAGGCAAGCTCCCCTGTGCAAGTCCCTTATCTGTACCTGCAGCTTGAGTTTTCAGGCTGTTCTTTTGTTTGAAAGAATTCAAGCAAGGACCCACCCTAACTGCCTGCCTGACCGGTTTTTTCCTTTCTCTTCTCTCAGTTGAAACAAAAAGGGAGTAGAGATTATCTCTGCTTCTTTTTGTCACTGCTCTTCCACTTTGCTCTAGTCCTAATATTCTCTTTCTTTCAGTTACTTATCTGAGTTAGAACTCAATATGGCCAACCCAATTGAATTTCTCTATGACTTTTATCCCAAGTGCCTGTGACAAACTTATTACAAATTCGTAGTTAAATTCTGGGGTAGATGAAAGGAAATCTGATTGGCTCTGCAAGTTCTAGTTGATTCGTTTCCCTTGGGAAAGTGGTTCTTTCCAGATCTAACCAGTTATGATCAGGAGAAATACGTGGCAAAATATGACCACTTGGCCTTCCCATTCATCAGAGATTTCAAACAGAGGCAGTTCATTCATATCAGGCATGGAGCCCATCTAATTTTAAAAGGCAGAGTAAATATAGAACTTCTCCCTTCATCTCCTAGAATTCACCTAAAAGCAACCAGATAAAAAGAAAACAAAAATGCATATACATAGTCAACAAAAATTAGAGACAATTAAAGTAAAAATTAAAAAATAGATGAGAGTGGCATCACCAAAATTGCAGACTAAACACAAGCTGGCTTCACACCAACCCCCCAAAAAACAAAACAAATATCTACACACCAAGATTATCACTGGCAATAACCCTCAACTCAAATCTGAGGATGAGCCAGTTCCTAGGGCTACAGAGAAGTGAAGAAACTCCAAGGTGATGGATAATTGTTTCTGCCTCAACCTAGGAGAAGCATCACATGTGCCTGAAGAGAGAAAATCCCCCAAAGGTAGCCAGAGACAAATGAGAGTAGTGAGAATATCATCCACAGCCCTTAAAATTCTGCTCTCTTTCTCAGACAAAGGAGATGCCATATCAGAGTGGCTGTTTAGCAGCCCTATGCTGTAGGAAGTACATTCCATGAATCCCCTGGGCACAAGCCCCTAGCCAGCCTTCCCACATAGCCTGGGATCACTTTGGGATCTCTCCCATCTGGGACAAGCAGTGCTCTGAACATTTGCTAATGCCAAGGCAAACCTTGGTTTAATGTGCTATCTTGTGCCCAAAAAGAGGCAGTGATCTAGCATGAAATAATTCAACAGCTATGTTCCAAAGAATTTCTAAGTAAACATATCCAAGGAAACCAAACAAGACAGAGAAAATTGGAATAAATAACTAATCCTCCAACGCAAACACACATCCATGCATCTACGAGAAACAACACCAACAGAACCATGACTTCCCCATACACACGAAGCAAGAAGCCAGTGACTGACCCTAAAGAGATGGCAATGTGTGAGCTCTCTGATTAAGAGCTCAAAATAGATGTTTTAAGGAAACTCAGAAAGCCCCAAGAAACACAGTCAAGCATTCAAAACTTTATCTGATAAATTTAACAAAAGATCAAAATTTTTACAAAAGAAAATAGAAATCCTGGAACTGATAAATACATTTTCTGAAGTAAAAAAAAAAAAAAATGCACTAGAGGTTCTCAATAGCAGAATGGATTAGCAGAGAAAAGAATGATTGAGCTCAAACACAGACTATTTGAAAATACACAGTGATAGGAGAAAAAAGAATGAAGAATGCCTACACAATATAAGAATCTTATAAGAACATTACCTCAAAAGAGTGAATCTAAGAACTATCAGTGTTAAAAAGGGAGTTGAAAAAGAGCAAGGAGTAGAAAAAATATTCAAAGAAATAATAACAGAAAACTTTCCAAAACTTGATAAAAATATAAATATCCAGGTGCAGGAAGGTCAGAGATCATCAAACAGATACAACCCAAATAAGGTGATCCAAAGGCATATAATAACTAAACAATCAAAGTCAAGAACGAAGAGAGGGTCCTAAAAGCAGCAAGATAAAAATAGGCAAATAATCATATAAAGAACTCTAATTAGTCTGGCAACAAACTTCTCAATGGAAACCCTTCAGGCCAGGAGAGAGTGAGAAGACATATTCAAAGTGTTGACAGAAAAAAAAAAAACAACTGCTGAGTATGCTGTACAAAAGCTACCTTGACACATGAGAAATAAATAAGCAAACAAAAGCTGAGACAATTTATCACCACTAGACCTGTCTTACAAAAAATGCTAAAGGGAGTCCTTCAATCTAAAAGAAAAAACACTAACATGAAAAAAAAATTTTGAAAGTATAAAACCCACTGGTAAAACTGAGTTCACAGACAAACTGAGAATATTCTAATACTCTATTGTGGTGTGTAATTCATTCATATTTCTAGCATGAAGAATAAAAGACAAATCTACTGAAAGCAATAATAGCTGCACACTATTAAGAGATAGGCAATATAAAAAGATGTAAATTAAAAAAACAAAAAGTCAAAATGTGGGATGATGAAGTTAAAATATAAAGTTTTTTTAGTTTTTCCTTTGTTTTATTCTATTCTTTTGTGATCAAAGATAAGTTATCATTACTTTAAATAACCTGTTATAGCTATAAGATATTTTCCATAAACATTATGGTAATCACAAAGCAAAATGCTATAACAGGTATAATAGATAACACTAGAAATAAAAAGCAATGAATTAAAACATACTACAAGAGAAAATCACTTAACTACAAAAGAAGACAATAAGAAAAAAGAAAGGAAGAGAGGAGCCAAAAATACAACCAGAGGCTGGGTACAGTGGCTCACGCCTGTAATCCCAGCACTTTCAGAAGCCAAGAAGGGCAGATCACCTGAGGTCAAGAGTTTGAGACCAGCCTGACCAACATGGAGAAACCCAGTCTCTACCAAAAATACAAAATTAGCCAGGTATGTTGGCACATGCCTGTAATCCCAACTACTCAGGAGGCTGAGGCAGAAGAATCACTTGAACCCAGGAGACGGAGATTGCAGTGAGCCAAGATCAAGATCATGCCATTGCACTCCAGCCTGGGCAACAAGAGCAAACCTCCGGAAAAAAAAAAAAAAAAAAAAAAAAAAACCACCAGAAAACAAGAACATAGGAGGTAAAATAGACTACAAAACTAGAATACTGTTAAATAGGCAAGGAAGATCACAGTATGCTGATAGCAAGTTCAATACAGCAAGAGTATATGGCAATTATAAATATATACGCAGCCAACATAAAACAACTAAGTTTATTAAGCAAACATTAATAGGTCTGAAGAGAGAAACTGACTGCAATATAATAATAGTATGGGACTTCAACACCTCACTCTCAGTAATGAACAGATCATCCAAACTGAAATAGGAAAAGAAACATCTGAGTTTGGCTACACACTAGACCAAATAACCCTAACTGACATTTACAGAACATTTAACTCAATTGGTGCAGAATATACATTCTTTTCATCAAATATAGAACATTTTTCAGAATAGACCACATGTTAGGCCACAGAACAAGTCTCAAAAACTTTAACCAATTTGGAAAACGTTTCAAAATGTCATCCATGATAACTTTCTCAACCTCTCTAGAGAGGCCCACATTCAAATTCAGAAAATGCAGAGAACCCCAGTAAAATACTCCAAGAGAAGATCATCCCAAAGATGCATAATCATCAGATTCTCAAAGATCAAAATGAAAGAAAAAATGTTAAAGGCATCTAGAGAGAAAGGCCAGGTCACCTACAAAAGAAAGCCATCAGATTAACAGCAGACCTCTCAGCTGAAACTGTACAAACCAGAAGAGATTGAGGGCCAATATTCAACCTACTAAAAAAAAAAAAAAAAAGGAATTCCAAACCAGAATTTTATATCTGGCCAAACTAAGCCCAATAAGCGAAGGAGAAATAAGATCCTTTTCAGACAAGCAAATGCTGAGGTAACTTGTTACCACCAGAACTGCCTTACAAAAGCTCCTAAAGGAGGCACTAAATATGGAAAGGAAAGACCATTACCAGCCACTACAAAAAAACACTGAAGTACACAGACCAACGACACTATGAAGCAACCATAAAAACAAGCAAAATCACCAGCTAGAATCACAATGACAGGATCAAAACCACACATATCAATACTAGCTTTAAATGTAAATGAGCTAAGTGTCCCAATTAAAAGACAGAGAGTGGCAAGTTGGATCAAGTACCAAGACCCATTGGTACACTGTCTTCAAGAGACTCATCTCACATGCAGTGACACACATAGGCTCAAAATAAAAAATTTAAAAAAAATGGAGGACAATCTACCGAGCAAATGGAAAACAGAAAAAAAGAAAGGGTTGCAATCCTAGCTTCTGACAAAACAGACTTTAAACCAACAAAGATCATAAAAGACAAAAAAGACCATTACATAATGGTAGAGGGTTCAATTCAACAAGAAGATCTAAGGATCCTAAATATATGTGTATCCAACACAGTAGCACCCAGATTCATAAAGCAAATTTTTAGAGACCTTCAAAGAGACTTAGACTCCCACACAATAATAGCAGGAAAATTTAACACCCCAGTGACAATATTAGACAGATCATTGAGGCAGAAAATTAATAAAGATATTCAGGAACTGAACTCAGCACTGAATCAAATGGACCTGATACATATCTACAGAACTCTCCACCCCAAACAACAGAATATACATTCTTCTCATTGCCACATGGCACTTACTCTAAAATAGATCACATAATTGAAAGTAAAACACTCCTCAGCAAATGCAAAATAACTGAAATCATAACAGTTTCTCAGACCACAGTGCAATCAAATTAGAACTCAACATTAAGAAATTCATTCAAACCACACAACTACACAGAAATTGAACAACCAGCTGGGAGCGGTGGCTCATGCCTGTAATCCCAGGACTTTCAGGGGCCGAGGCAGGTGGATCACAAGGTCAGGAGATGGAGACCATCCTGGCCAACATGGTGAAACCCTCTCTCTACTAAAAATACAAAAATGAGCTGGGTGTGGTGGTGCATGCCTGTAGTCCCAGCTCCTCAGGAGGCTGAGGCAGGAAAATCGCTTGAACCCAGGAAGCAGAGGTTGTGGTGAGCCGAGATTGCGCCACTGCACTCCAGCCTGGTGACAGAGCGAGACTCCGTCAAAAAAAAAAAAAAGAAAAAGAGAGAGAGAGAAAGTGAGAGAGAGGGAGAAAGAGAGAAAGAAAGAGAGAAGAAAGAAAGAAAGAAAGAAAGAAAGAAGGAAGGAAGGAAGGAAGGAAGGAAGGAAGGAAGGAAGGAAGGAAGGAAGGAAGGGAAAGAAAGAAAAAGAAAGAAAAAAAAGAAAGAAAGAGAAAGAAAGAAAGAGCGAGCCTGGTGACAGAGCAAAATTCCGTCTCAAAAAATAATAATAATAATCAAAACATCTAAGAAATATGGAATTATGTAAAAAGACCAAATCCATGACTCATTGACATCTCTGAGAGAGGGGCAGAAATCTAGCAACGTAGAAAAGATATGTGAGGATATCATCTGGGAAAAATGTCCTCAACCTCACTAGAGCAGCTAACATTCAAATTCAGGAAGGGTGGAACTGTAAATTAGTTCAGTCATTGTGGAAACCAGTGTAATGATATATCAAAGAACTTAAAACAGAATTACCATTCGACCCAGCAATTCCAGTATTTGGTATATACCCAAAGGAATATAGTTTTACCATAAATACACATGTACACATATGTTCCCTGAAGCACATTAGCAAAGATATGGAATCAACCTAAATGGCCATCAATGGTAGACTGGATAAAGAAAATGTAGCACATATACACATGAAATACCATGCAGCCATAAGAAATAGTGAGGTCATGTCTTTTTCAACAACATGGATGGAACTGGAGGTCCTATGCGAACTATCACAGGAACAGAAAACCAAATACTACCTGTTGTCACTTATAAGTGAGAGCTAATCGTTGAGAACACATGAACCCAAAGAATAAAACAACATACACTGGGGCCTACTTGAGGGTGAAAAATGGGAGGAGGATGAGGATTTAAAAATTACCTATCAGGTTCTGTGTTTATTATCTGGGTGATGAAATAACCTGTGCATCAAACCCCCATGATATGCAATTTATATATACATAACAAATATGCACACATACCCTTGAACCTAAAATAAATTTTTTTTAAAAGAAAACACAAAACAAAACAGCAGATGCAAATGTGATTTCATCAGTAGTAACATTAAACTTAAATGACCTCCAGGCAAATGACAGAGATAGGCAGAAATACCTGTCAATCATGAATGAGATAAGTAAAAGAGAATGAAAGAATATGATCCAATTACATGCTTTTAAATAAAATAAACACTTTAGATTCAAAGACACTAAAGGAATTAAGGTAAAAATATTGAAAAAATATATTATGCAAACAGCTACCAACAGAAATAGAGTCACTATACTAACATTAGGCAAAATACACTTTAACACAAAAATGCTTAATAAAGAAATTTTTAATGACAATAAGGTCACGCCATCAGGAAGACATAATAATTATAAACATTTGAGCCTAATAACAGAACACCCAAATACACGAAGCAATAACTAATGCAATTGATGGAAGAAATATACAATTTAACAGTAACAGCTGGAGAATTCAAAACCTCTTTCTCAGTAATGGATAGAGCAATTGGCAGAAGACCAACAAGGAAATAGAAGACTTGAACAAAATGTTAAACCAACAATACCTAATAAATGTGTATAGGACACTCACCTACCAACAGCAAAATATATATATTCCTCTCAAGTGCACATGGAACAACCTCCAGATGGACCATATGCTAGGCCATAAAACCAGTTTCAATGCTGCTTCTACTTCATAATTTATTCTTAATCTATCATAGTTTTCTATTTCTTCATGATTCAATCTTACATTTCATCTGTCTAGGAATTTATCTATTTCTAGGTTTTCCAAATGATCAACATATAGTTGTTTATAGTAGCATTTAATAAATTCATTTAATTTCTGTGGTATCATTGTAACATCTCCTTTTTTGCCTCTGATTTTATTTATTTGGGTCTTCTCTCCTTTTTCTTAATCTGGCTAAAGTTTTGTTGATTTTGTTTATCTTTTCAGAAAACTAACTTTTCATTGTGTTATTTTTTATTTTTAGTCTCAATTTTATGTATTTCTGCTGTTATCTTCATTATTTCTTTTCTTCTACTAATTTTACGTTCAGTTTGTCCTTACTTTTCTAGTTTTCAAGATGTATCATTAGGTTATTGACTTGAAATCTTTCTACTTTTTTGATGTAGGCATTTATTGCTATAAAATTCCCTCTCAGTACTGCTTTTGTTCTATTATGCAGGTGTTTGTATGTTGTGTTTCTATTTTCATTTGTTTCAAGAAACGCAGTAAAGAAAGTTGCAGGATCAGAAAGCAACAAATAAAAATCAGGAGCATTTACATATATCAACAGCAAACAATCTGAAAAAGAATCCAAGATAGTAATCCCATGTATAATAGACAAGAAAAAAAATACCTAGGAATAAATTTAACCATAGAAGTGAAATATTTCTCCAGAGAAAACTATCAAACATTGATTTAAAAAAAATTGAAGAGGACAGAAATAAATAGAAAGATATCCATATTCAAGGATTGGAAGAATCCATATTGTTAAAATGACCATACTACCCAACATAATCTACAGATTCAATGCAATTTCTATTAAAATACCAAAGACACTCTTCACAGAAATAGAAAAAACAATTTTAAAATTTATATGAAAACACGAAAGACTACTATTAGCCAAATCAATACCAAGCCAAAAGAACAAAGCTGGAAGCATTCACATTACCTGATTTCAAATAATATTACCAGGCTATAGGAACCGAAATAGCATGATATTAGCATAAAAGACCAATGGACGAGAATATAAAAAACCCAGAAATAAATCCATCCATTTACAGTCAACTCATTTTCAGCAATTGCACCAAGAATATATATTGGGAAAAGAATAATCTCTTCAATAAATAGTGCTAGAAAAATTGGATATTTGTGTGCAAAGCAAACAAACAAAAAACTAGATCCCATTTCATCATGTAAAAGTTGTATCAGTATTTCATTAATGGGTGAATATATAAGGAAAATGTGATATATTTACAGAAGAAAATGCTATTTCGCCTTAGAAAAAAAGAAATTCTGTCTTTTTCAACATGTATCAACCTGGAGGACATTATGTTACATGAAAGAAGCCATAGAAAGAGAAATGAACATGTCTTACTTGCAGGTGGAATCTAAAACAAACTCACAGAAGCAGGGAGTAGAATGGTGATTACTAGAGCTGGAGAAGTTGGGAGAATGGGATTTGTCAAAGGACAAAAAGTTGCAATTAGGAGGAATAAATGATAAGTATTTAAGGTGATACATACATCAGTGTAGTGTGGAAAGAAAAAATAAAATAAAATAAAAATTAAGGTGATACATATGTTAATTTGCTTTTTTCAATAATCCCACACCCTGTGTTGAGTATATAATATCACTGTGTACTCTGCAATTATATACAATTACATTTTGTCAAAAAATAAAAATTAAATTTAAAATTTGTAGCCTATATTTGGAGTATTTAATGTACAAGGATGCAATTTTGTGACATCTACAACTAAAAGGATTTAGGAGAGACTTGTTAAAAATAGCAGATTTTTGTGTATTACTGAAGTTAAGCTGGTATAAAGTTAAATAAATGTAATTCCTATAGTAATCTCAAAGAAAATAGCTGTAGAGTATATACAAAAGGAAATGAGAAAGGAATATAATGTCTTATTATAAAATCAGCTAAACACAAAATAAAACCGTAATGCAGAAAATGAAGAAAAATAAGCTATAATACCTATTTAAAAAATAGCAAAATGACAGAAGTTCCTCTTTTTCAGTAATCACTTTAAATATAAATGGATTAAACTGTTGACTCAAAAGAAAGAGATTGGAAGAATAAATAAAAGCACATGGTCCAATGACATGCTATCTACAAAAGACTCACTTTTGATCCAAAATCAAAATAGGTTGAAAGTGAAAAAATGACAAATAGTAACCAAAAGAGAGCAGGGGTGGCTATATTAACAGTAAAAAGACTTTAAATCAAAAAAGATTGCAAGAGATAAAGAAGGATCTTATTCTATTAATAAAAGGTTCAATACAGAAAGAACATACAACAACTATATACATGTATGCACCTAATAACAGACCATCCAAACATATGAAGCAAAAACTGATAGAATTGAAAGCAGAATAGACAGTTCCACAATAATAGTTGGAGATTTGAATATAGCACTCTCAATAATGGATAGCACAACTAGATAAAACATAATTAAGGAAATAGAGGGCTTAAATAACACAATAAACCAACCAAATCTAACAAACACACACAGAACACTCAACCCAACAACACTATACATATTATTCTCAAATGCACATGGAACATTTTTCAGGGTAGACAATACCTCTGTTAGGCCACAAATTAAGTTTCAATAGATTGAAAAAGAGAGATATAGAAAACGTCTTCTCTAACAACAACAGGATAAAATTAGTAATCAATAACAGAAGTAAAACTGGAAAATTCACAGATTTGTGAAAATTAAATAACACATTCCTAAACAACGAAGGAAAACAAAGAGGAAACCACAAAGGAAATTGGAAATACATAGAGATGAATAAAAAAGAAAACACATTGTAACAACTTATGGGAAACAGTGAAAATCATGATAAGGAGAAATGTACAGCTATAAATCTTCACATTAAAAAGCAAGAAAGATCTCAGCCCAACAACCTAATTTTACATCTTGAAAAACTAGAAAAAGAAGAACAAACTAAACTAAAGCTGGCAGAAAGAAGGAAACAATCAAGATTACACCAGAGAACAAATGAAATAGAGAATAGAAAAACAATAGAGAAAATAAATGAAACTATAAGTTTGTTCTTTGAAAGACCAGCAAAATCGACCAACTTTTACCTGGATGGACTAAGGAAAAAAGAGAAAAGACTCAAATTACTAAAATCAAAAGTAAATGGCAAAATATAGATTTAATGTAATCTTTACCACAATTCCAATGTTGTTCAAAGGAAAACCCATCCTAAAATTGACATAAAATCTCATGGGACCCCAAATAGACAAAACAATCTTGGTTCCATTTGAATTTTAGAACGAGTTTTTCTACGTCTGCAAAAGACACCATTAAAGAAGAATATATCTGGAGGACTCACACTTCCTGATTTCAAAACTTAATACAAAGCTACTGTAATAAAAACAGGATGGTGCCAAAGACAGATATATAGATGAATTAAGAGAGTAGAGTGCAGAAAAATAAACTCTTTCACGTATGGTCAAATTTTTTAGAAGGGTACTGATAGCGTTCAATGGGGAAAAGACAAGCTTTTCAACAAATGGTGCTGGGAAAATTGAATATTCACATACAAAAAATAAAATGAAGTCAGACCCTTACCTAACACCATATACAGATATTAACTCAAAATGGATCAAAGACCTACATGTAAGACCTAAAACTGTAAAACTCGTAGGAAAAAACAAAGGGTAAAAGATTCATGACATTGGATTTAGCAATAATTTCTTGGATCTTGGATATGACACCAAACGTACAGGCAACTAAAGAAAAAATGGACAAGCTGAACTTCGTGAAAATTAAAAATTTTGCCTATCAGAACACACTACCAAAACAGAGTAAAAAGGCCACCCACAGAATAAAAGAAAATATTTGCAAATTATATGGTTGATACATGATGACTCTCTAGAATGTATGGAGAACTCCTAAATCTCAACAACAAAAAACAACCATATTAAACAACAGGCAAAAAACTTGGAATAGACATTTCTCTAAAGAAAATACACAAATGTCCAAAAAGCACATGGAAAGATGGTCAATATCACTAATAGGAAAACGCAAATCAAAGCTATGAGCTACCACTTCCAACCCATGAAGATAGCTACTACCAAAAAAGAAAACAACAACAAAATAACCAGTGTTGGTAAAGATATGAAGAAATTGGAACTCTTGTGCACTATTGCTAAGAATGTAAAATATTAATAGTATAGCACTATAGAAAACAGTATAAGAGTTCTTCAAAAAATTAAAAATACAGTTAACATTTGATCCAGCAATTTCACTTCTAGGTAAATATCTAAAAAATTTCAAAGGAGGGTCTTCAAGAGATACTTGTACTGCCATGCTCACAGTGGTATTATTCACAATAACAAAAATATGGAAGCAACCGATGTCCATTGACATATAAATGAATAAGCAAAATGTGGTATATACATACAAGTAAATATTATTCAAAAATATTATTTATAATTATTAGTATTCAATATAATTCAGAATTATTACTCATAGTATATACATACAATGATAATATTTCCTTAAGAAAGAAAATTCTGACATATGCTACAACATGAATAAAACTTGAGGACATTATGCTAAGTGAAATAAACCAGTCATTAAAAGACAAATATTGTATGATTTCATTTACACAAGGAAGTTACAGCAGCCAAAATCATAAAGACAGAAAGTAGAATGCTGATTGCCAGGGGCTGGGGAGAGGGAAGAAAAGGAAGTTGCTGTTTAATAGATAGAATATCAGTTTTACAAGATGAAAAGAGTTACAGAGATGAATAGCAATGATGGTTGCACAACACTAGAAATGTATTTAATGCCACTTAACTGTATATTTTAAAATGGTTAAGATGGTACACTTTATGTTACATACAATTTAGCTCAATTTTTTAAAATTGGGGAAAATGGCAAGGAGAGGAGGGAGTGGGAAATACATCACACATTTTCAGAAAAGATTTGTTCCAGAAAGATTAAAAAAAAAAAGGCAAGGCAATTTTGAAGGGAAATTGCATGAGACAGTAAAAAAAATATTAAACAGAAAAAGAATGGCTGCTCTAAAGAGTAGAGAAAACCTTTGGCAATATACTGTAGTAGTGGTTAAGCATATTGACTTAAACGTCAAAAGGACCTGGGTTTGTACCCTGGCTCCCCTGAAGAAACTCGTTACATTTGAGCCTCGGATTTCTCATCTGTAAAATGAGAGAAAATAATACTACTACTTATGCTTTGGTTGCAAAGTTTAAATAGAATAGCTAAGTTGTAAACAATTATAATTACCTAAATTGAGTCAATTATCTTTCTGAATGCTTAATAAGATAGATGTAAACTTAATAGCACCTCCATGGGTTGGATAGCAAGAGCTGCTTGTTTACCAAATAAACTAGCAAAGGCATTGCTTTTAGCTTCTGTGGTGACCTCTGAAGTATTAGCTTATATTTTAATAGCTGATATTTCTTGGGGACTTAATAGCTTTTAATATGTAATTGATCAATTTATCATTTTTTAATCAGGTTACCTGAATATGTCTCAAATTCCTTTTGCTTTCATAGCACCGCAAAATCATGAACTAAAACACATCTACTATATGTTAAATGTTTACTTTTGTGTGTGTGTGTGTGCCAGAATGTAGGATCAATTCAAAGGTATTAGTTTACTTACTTGGGAAAACAGAGCAATACCTGATTTGATGGTTACATATTCCATGATAATTACATATTAACATATCTTGCACAGGAAATATCTTTGTCATTTTTAAGAAAAAGCTATCTGTAAACAACATCAAATCAGGATTAATTTGTAAGATCAGCCCTGGACACACTTACCTCTTGAATTACAGCTAAAAAGCTATGCAATTTCCCTTCAACTGTAAGGCTTAGAATTGAAAAAAAAAAAATTAAATTGTGATACAAGCAGCAAAAAGTAGGAAGTCTTTGTAAGTAGTAGAAGGAATAACAGAAATGTTGAAAGCTGCCTAGAAGTTAGAGCAATTTCACAGTTTTATGGCTGAAATTACAGAGGAGATAGTAAATGCCATATGGGCCTAGCCAAAGAGCCTTGAGTAATTTGTTATCATGGTAATGGAGATCATACAACTTTAAAGAATTTACTGGCCTCACAGAGGGATGTCTTTTCTCTGGCTAACACTTTCTGCTCTTTCCGGTTCACACTTCAGAACAAGTAGAAAAAAGTATCCTAAAAAAAAAAAGAAAAGCTGATTGGCTCTCAAACGACAATTTGAGTTTGGGTATTTATTCACTTAGTTTTGGCTGGGTCAAATAGGAGCCTTGTTTACATGGAATTTTCCCAACTATAATAACAGAGTTTTGTGTTTTCACTAAGAATTATTTTTGCTTTGATTTGAGACATTAGCAGGTACTTACATGCTATCATACAGCTGCTGTCTAGAAGGGATATGTGAAGTGATGATTTGTGCCGGAAAGAGATAGAACACCTCAGTCCTTCTCCTCTGGATAAACAGAATAATGAAAAGAAGGCATGGTAAATCCTGACATGACCACCCAGACTGATGACAGCTGTACATTTAAAACTACTGGAGATGCCATGATCCTGAAATAAGCACCTTACTTGGGCAATAAACACAACATAGCATTGTAGTCTAGGAATGAGTATTTCACATACACAACAAAAACAAACAAACAAAAGTACTTCCTTGAAAATCCAAAAACAGGCAGCTCAACACTTACACAGGGCTTAACTAATTTGGTCAGATAGCACCAGCCAATCAGTAGCTGATTTCATAACTGATTTCTTCAGAAACTGATTTCCTACGTGAAATGAGTACCGTATTCTTCCCCCAAGCCTCAACAATAGTGATTAGCCTTATTCCTGGGTTACATTCTCTGCTTAACACTCAATGTTTTGTCTAAGAGCCATCCATTTTTCTCTAAAAAAAAAAAAAGGGAAATATCCTGTGGAAACAAAAATAAAACTGAAAAAAAGGTTGGTGATACTTGTCAGTTTTCATAAACCTGCAGTTTTGATTTTTTTATTCTAAAGAAATACATACATTCGTACTTAATTTTATAATCATAATTTTAAATGATTTTTCCTTAAAGATAGTCCTCAAAACACTGCCCAAGGTAATTTATAGATTCAATGCCATCCCCATCAAGCTACCAATGACTTTCTTCACAGAATTGGAAAAAACTACTTTAAAGTTCATATGGAACCAAAAAAGAGCCCACATTGCCAAGTCAACCCTAAGCCAAAAGAACAAAGCTGGAGGCATCACGCTACCTGACTTCAAACTATACTACAAGGCTACAGTAACCAAAACAGCACGGTACTGGTACCAAAACAGAGATATAGACCAATGGAACAGAACAGAGCCCTCAGAAATAATGCCGCATATCTACAACTATCTGATCTTTGACAAATCTGACAAAAACAAGAAATAGGGAAAGGATTCCCTATTTAATAAATGCTGCTGGGGAAACTGGTTATATATAGAAAGCTGAAACTGGATCCCTTCCTTACACCTTATACAAAAATTAATTCAACATGGATTAAAGACTTAAATGTTAGACCCAAAACCATAAAAACCCTAGAAGAAAACCTAGACAATACCATTCAGGACATAGACATGGGCAAGGACTTCATGTCTAAAATACCAAAAGCAATGGAAACAAAAGCCAAAATTGACAAATGGGATCTAATTAAACTAAAGAGCTTCTGCACAGCAAAAGAAACTACCATCAGAGTGAACAGGCTACCTACAGAATGGGAGAAAATTTTTGCAATCTACTCATCTGACAAAGGGCTAATATCCAGAATCTACAATGAACTCAAACAAATTTACAAGAAAAAAACAAACAACCCCATCAAAAAGTGGGCAAAGGATATGAACAGACACTTCTCAAAAGAAGACATTTATGCAGCCAACAGACACATGAAAAAATGCTCATCATCACTGGCCATCAGAGAAATGCAAATCAAAACCACAATGAGGTACCATCTCACACCAGTTAGAATGGCGATCATTAAAAGTCAGGAAACAACAGGTGCTGGAGAGGATGTGGAGAAATAGGAACACTTTTACACTGTTGGTGGGACTGTAAACTAGTTCAACCATTGTGGAAGTCAGTGTGGCGATTCCTCAGGGATCTAGAACTAGAAATACCATTTGACCCAGCCATCCCATTACTGGGTATATACCCAAAGGATTATAAATCATGCTGCTATAAAGACACATGGACACGTATGTTTATTGCAGCACTATTCACAATAGCAAAGACTTGGAACCAACCCAAATGACCAACAATGATAGACTAGATTAAGAAAATGTGGCACATATACACCATGGAATACTATGCAGCCATAAAAAAGGATGAGTTCATGTCCTTTGTAGGGACATGGATGAAGGTGGAAACTATCATTCTCAGCAAACTATCGCAAGGACAAAAAACGAAACACTGCATGTTCTCACTCATAGGTGGGAATTGAACAATGAGAACACACGGACATAGGAAGGGGAACATCACACACCGGAGCCTGTTGTGGGGTGGGGGACGGGGGAGGGATAGCATTAGGAGATATACCTAATGCTAAATGATGAGTTAATGGGTGCAGCACACCAACACGGCACATGTATCCATATGTAACAGACCTGCACATTGTGTACATGTACCCTAAAACTTAAAGTATAATTTAAAAAAAAAAAAAAGATAGCCTTCAAAATAGAATGAACTCGGGTCTCACAAAACTTGGAGCAGCAGGCTATAATTCTGGATTACTTGAAAATGGCAATTTGACACTGGTTTCCCATGGGTTCAAACATGGTAGGGAATATCTGGATTAGGATGTTATTTTCCCTGTAAGCTCTTCCTTTGAGGACAACTTCTTGGAACTGAAGAGATAATATCTAGTCAAACTCATTAATCAACTAAACCTTATGGTCCTAGGGAGCCTATCTCAACAAATGAATTTATATGCCTTCTTCTTTCAAAAAACTATACACTTTAAATACACATCCCCTTTCACTTAGCTATCAAACTTTCTTATAAATGTAACTCCAATTACTTTATTGCAAGTGTCTGTTAATTTTAATTCCCTTTATGCTGTCTTTTGTTTTTAATTTGAATTATACCAATTTATTTGTATAGTATTATAGCTCATCCACTCATTTTTCTTGACACATATAAAATTGAAATCCATAATAAATAAATATCCCTTAAACCCACAAATAGTCTAAGAAAGGAGTCACCACCTGATCCATTTTTATTTACAAGGCCGTATGAAAGCATTACCTTCATAATCACCAAGCATTCATCCATCCACCCATTGTTTTGATAACTACATTTGATGCCTACTATATATCAATTACTAGCAAGTGAAAAGAACATTCTCCTAGTATTAATCAAGAGATCAGGACCACCTTTAAAGGATATTCTTTTAAAAATCTTTATCACCTGTAGAACACCATGCTGAGATTTTAACATGGTTGTTACTCTATAAATATCTATGGGGTTACTATAATTTAATATTTCAGTAATGGAATAAACTTGGATCCAGAAATCCTGTATCTGAATCCTAGACTTGCCAGTTCAGACTGTATCTGAATCCTAGACTTGCAAGTTATGTGACTTTAGAAAAGCCTTTTATATCTGTGGGTCTCTAGTTCTCCAATTATAAAATGGTATGACAGTTCCCATCTACCTAGTTAATGAGATTAATGTGAAACTGTAAGGCTGAAATATATGAGCAAGTATTGGGCCAAGGGTGTGATAGATTTGCTAGTGCTTGGTCCCAGCTTATAAACTAGTGGGAAGGACAGAAATGCATCATCATAAAATTACCATGATGGAGGGCTATGCATAATATAGTGGGACAAAGCGTCTACATCTGCATCTGGAGTCAGTGAGGGTTAAGAGAAGCAGCAGCTTTGAACTGAGACTTGTAAGAATTCAGCAAATAAAAGAAAAGGAAGGGCATTCTTGGCAGAGGAAATCACTCCTGCAAAACACGTGGCATAAGAATCTGTGGTGTGTTTGGAAAACTACAAGTAGTTTATAATTTGAGAAACCATATGCAAGGAAAAGGTGAAGTAGAGTACACATTAGGGGAGAAGAAGGGGTAGCTGATAGGAACAGATGGACAGACAAGGAAAGTTCACGAAAGACCAACATTGTCTGCTATACGATAGAATTTGGATTTCACCACTTGAGCAGTGGAATATCACGGAAAGATCTGTAGGAAGAGAGGAACACAGATCTGCTTATTGAAAAGACCATTCTGACACCAATGGAGAGAACAAATTGGAGGTGGCAAGACTAGTATTAGGAAATGCAGTAAATCCTCTTCCAGATTTCCTAGTGGGTCTGATGGCCATCTGATACTCTCTCCACATTTTGAAGAAAGTTCCCTGTCAGAATCATCCCCACTTGGCCGGGCGCGGTGGCTCACGCCTGTAATCCCAGCACTTTAGGAGGCCTAGGCGGGCGGATCACGAGGTCAGGAGATCAAGACCATCGTGGCCAACACGGTGAAACCCTGTCTCTACTAAAAAATAGAAAAAATTAGCCGGGCGTGGTGGCGGGCGCCTGTAGTCCCAGTTACGCCTGAGGCTGAGGCAGGAGAATGGCGTGAACCCAGGAGGCGGAGCTTGCAGTAAGCCGAGATCTCACCACTGCACTCCAGCCTGGGCGACAGAGCAAGACTCCGTCTCAAAACAAAAACAAAAACAAAAACAACAGAATCATCCCCACTCTTGCCCCCTAAGACTAACACACGCCAACTATTACCCTGCCAGTGCTGTGCGTGTTCAATATGCGTTTCATCCCACTGCAATTATTAGACTTCAACACAAACAAAATAAGCTTGACATTAAGAAAAGTCCATTGCTCTAATAAATTCACAGATAACGATGATGGTATTGAGAGCTAACACTTATTGTGTCCTAGGTGCCACATACTATACCAAGCATTTCACATGCTCTATCACATCTAATGCACACAGTAACCCTACAATTATAGTGATGATTGCTGTCACTAAAACAAAAACAAAGAAAAAAAAAGTTTAGGAAAGTTAATTGAGTGCAGTGGTGTACAGTGAGGCAGGAGGATTGCCTGGGCCCGGAAGTTAGAGTCCTGCCTGGGCAACAGAGCAAGACCCTGCCTCTCTCGCTCTCTCTCATTCTCTCTCTCTCTCTATATATATATACACACACTTGTGTATATATATACGTATATATATACACACACTTGTGTATATATATGTATATATACACACTTGTGTATATATATGTATATATATACACACTTGTGTATATATATGTATATATATACACACTTGAGTATATATATGTATATATATACACACTTGAGTATATATATGTATATATATACACACTTGAGTATATATATGTATATATATACACACTTGTGTATATATATGTATATATATACACACTTGTGTATATATATGTATATATATACACACTTGTGTATATATACGTATATATATATATATATATATATATATATATATAATTGAGAAGGAGTCTTGCTTTGTCACCCAGGCCGGAGTGCAGTGGCACAATCTTAGCTCACTGCAACCTCCGCCTGCCGGGTTCAAGCAATTCTCCTGCCTCAGCCTCCTGAGTAGTTGGGATTACAGGCACCTGCCACCACACCCAGCTAATTTTTGTACTTTTAGTAGAGACGGGGTTACACCATGTTGGCCAGGCTGGTCTTGAATTCCTGATCTCAGGTGATCTGCCTGCCTTGGCCTCCAAAAGTGCTGGGATTATAGGCATGAGCCACCGCACCCAGCCCAAAAATATTTTTAAATAAAAAAAATTAAAATGAAAAGAAGTTTAGGGAAGTTTTATAACTTGCTCAAGCTTATACACACACACACACACACACACACACACACAAACACACAAAATGGCTGAGGTCAGCCTTAAAGCCAGTAGTATCTAACAACACGACTCTTACCTTCCCATACTATACAGAGCATCAGAAATGACACAACGGGCATTGTCTCCAGTATTGTGATATTAAAGATAATGGGACTAATCTGTTTTGTGACTGATAAAATCTGAGGTGCCAAGGTAACATACATTTTCTAAATTTTCTACCATTAATTGTGTAATTAGAAAATCAAAAAAGCAAAAAGTTGTTAATTTGCTGAGTATGTTTATTTCAAAACAGACCACTGTGCAGTATAGTGATTGTATTAGTGTTCTTCAGAGAAAGAAAACCAATAGGATATATAGAAATTTGCAAGAGGAGATTTATTGCAGGACTTGGCTCACATGATAATGGAATCCAAAGAGTCCCATAATACGCCATCTACAAGCTAGAGAACAAAGAAAACTAATGGATTTTGATGATGTTCCTCCACATTGCTGAAGGTGTATCTTCTTTACTCAGTCTACTGATTCAAATGCTAGTCTCTTACAGAAACACTTTTGTAGAGATACCCAGAAATTATGTTTAAACAGCTCTCTGGTTATCCCCTAACCCAGTCAAGGTGACACATAAAATTAATCATCACAGTAATAAAATCTTTAAAATGTTCCCTGTTTATATTATAGAAATGATCACTGAGTCACACTATCATGAAATGTTCAACAACAAAAAGATACTGTATTAGCTAGTGTAATAAATCAAGGATATGTGATCCAGATAATTTTAAAATGAGAACACTCAAATATCTAGGTTAGTTTTTTTAATATTTATAATCCACTTGTTCCAAAATTATAATTTTGAGATGTGTACAAAATTTTATGCAACAAAATCAATAGATGAGAAAAATGTTCAAAGAAAACAGTTTTTTTTTCTCAGCAAATTTGGATCCTTGTAATCTCTGATTAATTTAATACGAAAATGAGGGTTGTTTGTTTGCTTGTATTTGAGATGGAATTTCACTCTTGTTGCCCAGGCTGGAGTGCAATGGCACAATCTCGGCTCGCTGCAACCTCCATCTCCCAGGTTCAAGCGATTCTCCTGCCTCGGCCTCTCAAGTAGCTGGGATTACACAGGCACACGCCACCACGTCCGGCTACTTTTTGTATTTTTAGTAGAAACAGGGTTTCGCCATGTTGGTCAGGCTGGTCTCGAACTCCTGACCTCAGATGATCCACCCTCCTCAGCCTCCCAAAGTGCTGGGATTAGAAGTGTGAGCCACCGTGCCCAGCCGAAAATGAGTTTTTAGTCTCCAAGAACACACCAAGTGCCAGGTGCAGTGGCTCATGTCTGTAATCCCAGCATTTGGGAGGCTGAGATGGGAGAATCGCTTGAGTCCAGGAGTTCAAGACCAGCCTGGGCAGCATAGGGAGACCCTCTACAAAATATAAACAAAATTAGCTTGGTGTGCTGGCACACACCTGTAGTCCCAGCTACACAGGAGGCTGAGGTGGGAGGATCATCTGAGCCCAGGAAGTCGAGGCCTCAGTGAGCCAAGATTACACAACTACACTTCAGCCTGGATGACAAAGCAAGACCCTATCTATCTCAAAAAATAAATAAATAAATAAATAAATAAAAGACACACTAAATATAGTAGGCAGAATTCAATGTGATAACTATGATTCCCACCCTGGGTGTATGTACCCTGTTTAATCTCCTCCACTTAAGTATGAAGTTAACTATGAATATGATAGATTTTACCCCCTCAATTAAGTGAACTAATATGATAAATGTGAAGGGATTTTGCAGATATAATTAAATCCAAAATTAGTTCATTTTGAATTCTTCAAAAGAGAGATTATCCTATATGGGCCTGACCTAATTTAGTGAGCCTTGGAAATGGACTTAGGCTTTCCAGAAAAAAAAAAGAAAAGAGAGAGGGAGAGAGAGAGATTTAAAACATGAGAAATCCTTCTGTGGACTTTTAAGAGGTAAATTTTAAGGTTGTGAGAGGGCCATGTGGCTAGACCTGAGGTTCTCTTAGGTTCTGAAAATGGTCCCTGGCCAACAGCTAGCAAGAAAGTGGGGATCTGGGTCCTACAACAAGCAAGAAAACAAGAACCTCTGTACTAGAGTTGCAAGGGACTGAATTCTGCCAAAAGCTGTGTGAGCTTGGAAGAGAATTAGGGCTTCAGAGGAGGATACAGCCTGACCAACACCTTGATTTCAGCCTTGTGAGATACTGAGCAGAAAAACCCAGCCATACCATGCCAACTTCTGATCTACAGACTTTGAGATAATAAACAGATGTTGTTTTAAGCCACCATATTTGCAATAATTTTTAATGTAGAAATTAAAAATACTAATACACTGAAGTAAAGATGTGACCCACTGCATGCTGGACAACATGAAAAACTGGCCTCTGACACCAGTAACGCACAAGACATACAACTGGCTACCCTCAGGGAATGTAGAACCAACCATGCACATAAAATACATACACCTCTAAACAATCTTACATAATTTGAGGTTTTTATATTTTGCATTTTTACCAATGCAATTAAAAGCCAATGCCTCAAGATAAAAGTAATATGAGAAACAGGCAAGTCAAATGTAAATAACTTCAATGTTCTAATAGCAAACCTATGTCCTAACATCATAAGTACTACACTTGTTTCTTTCTTGACACTATGAATCTCAAGTTTCTAAAGAATTAAGTCTCTAGTTTGAGACTAATATAAAGACTAGAATTCAAGTGTCCCTATTCTCTTTCTCCTTTATTACTGAGGCTTTATTTACCCTGACTTGTCACAGGTTTACAAGGACCTATTTTCTCTGCTTTTCTCATATTGCAATGTCTTGATAATGGAGATTGGAAAATTGCGTGGTTATTGGGTAATACTCCCAGAAAACATAGATCCTATTTAACTTTATATTCCAGAAGCCCATATCTCTCTATAAGCCATACTTTTTAACTTTAAAATCTCAGTAAGACGTGTTGAGAAAAAGCTTACTTTGTTCTAATCTCATTCTTTCTCCCCTTCACCCTCCACATATGCACAGTCTTATTTAAATAGTTTGAGAAGCGAGGCAGAAGAAATTAAGGCATTATTTGCCTGCAGCCTAAGAATTAGACTTACAGTCTGAATTCTAGCCAATACAAAAATGTTCTATATCTAAAAATTTAGAAGGTAGTCCTTCAGCTACAAGCAATCCGTTTCAGTAGCTGAAATACTGAAACTCAGCAGATAGATTACAGATGTGAATTTCTTCTGGGAACACATTTAGCAAAGAACATTTTGAAACTATTTCATTCACTCAGTAAGATCGATGCTGAGTCCACTGAAAACCAGGATTGTTAACAGGTTTAGATTCCACAACATAATTGGTTAGGAAATATATTTAAAGTTCCTAAAACAACAGTAAATTTTAACTGTTATTTTTTTCGTTAACAGATTGCTATACTTCTATGAAAGAATGATTGGAATCTGTATCTAAGGAACACCTGAAATTATCCTAGCACCACAAAAATGAAAGCTGTGTCTAACCAATAAATAAATTACTTAGCACACTCCAAGAACAGCTGTGTGTATGTGCTTATTCATGTAAACAGGAGAGTTTACCTATTTTTCCCATATAAAACATCATTTTAGCAATGATTTGGCAAAAATAAATGATATCTAAACAGCAGATCTTAAAACAAGAAAACCAAAAATAAGCTAAAAGTACTGTTTTACTTTATTGTGAGAGTATTAATTTTAGAATGCTAAGGAAGAAAGGAAAAAGGGAAGGTAAAAAGAAAAGGAAGGAAGAAGGGAGGGAGGAAGTAAAGGGAAGAGTTGTCAGATGAAATGATTTTGCAGCCCAAATCTTCTTTTTTCATTCAATGAAGCTTTATTTATTTATTATGAGCTAGGCACTGTACTTGCCAATAAAGATGCCAGTTAGCTAAGGACAAAATCCAGTGAGCACAAAAATATAGAAACAGATCATTACAAGGAAATATGAAAAGAGCAGTAATACAGGTTTGAGCAAAGACCTATTAACTCTGCCTGGAAGTTTAAGTTCACTTTACAGAGGAGATGACATTTTAAGTGGAACTCAAAGAGCTAACTAAAACAATGTTGGAAGAGATCTCTATGTAAACTTTATACCTAAGAGAAATTCCAACTACCTTGATTCTTTTCCTGTTAACATTCCTGCTAACTCCAAAGACACCACCCAAACTCATGTATTATGTCTTGATCCTGCTACTTGTCCCAGATGAATGACACATCCTTCTGGAAAACAACTCTTTGGAGGACACTGTGAGACAAGAAAGAAGCCTGCTGACCAATAACACACTAGAAACTGAAAAGGCAGGCTGCAAGCAGTGGCTCACGCCTGTAATCTCAGCACTTTGGGAGGCTGAGGTAGGCAGATCACGAGGTCAGGAGTTTAAGACCAGCCTGACCAACATGGTGAAACCTCGTTTCTATTAGAATACAAAATTAGCCGGCATGGTGGCATGTGCCTGTAATCCCAGCTACTCAAGAGGCTGAGGCAGGAGAATCACTTGAACCCAGGAGGTGGAGACTGCAATGAGCCGAGATCACACTATTGCACTCCAGCCTGGGCAACAGAGCAAGACTCCATCTCAAAAATAAATAAATAAATAAATAAATAAAAGAAAGTGAAAAGGCTTTGACCTTCTTGGGGCAAGACCACAGAAAATTTATTTCACAACAGCTAGAATTAAATAAGGAAGATATTAAGGGAGCCAGAAACAAAAAGTATAAGACTACTAGATGAATTGCCAGTCTTGTGAAAATGGTGTGAAAATTCAAGTTATGCTTGAATGTATAAGAGTACAGCTTTGACCTTTATGACAACCATCTCTCATGGCACAGACTATCACAGTATTTATTCTTTCTTCTTTCTTCCTAACAGAAACTAAATTTTACCCAGGGAAGCAGAGAATTTACATTTCCCAATATCCCTTGCAAATAGGGTTGCCCAGGAGATATAACTAAAATAAATGAGTAGAATCTCTGGAAAATATTTTTTTAATATGCATCTTCATTGATAGGAATCCATTTGCTTTTTCTCTCCTCTTTCATAAGGAAAAATGAGAAGCCTGTGGCTTTGTTGCTTATAAAAGTCTAAAGGTGGTAACTTGCAAGAGAGAATAATAGAAAAACTAAGATAAAAACTCACATCCCTGATTAAATTACATGTGCTTACTTGATACTTCATTGAAAATTGGAAGGCTGAGAGAACATGAGAATTTTCTGTGCCTTTAAAATTATTACTACACACACACATACCCCTACCAAGTTAATTTTCTTCTAAAATAAAACACCAACAATCCTGAAAACTAACAATCCAGAATTGTTACAATGTCCATTTTTCAACCTAAAACTATTAGACATTCCAAGACAAGAAAGTGTGACCCACATGAGTTTAAATGTCAGATTTACAAAATAAGGAATTGAAAGCAGCTAAAAAACTATGTTCTACAATTAAAAGGAAATATGTTCCAATAATTTAAAAATGCTAATAATAGATAAACAAATTAGTAATCTCAATAGAGAAATTAAAACTATACGAAAGGACAAAAATATTTGAGCTGGAAAATACAATGATAAAATTAAAAAATGAGCTGAATAGCAGATTAGAGAAGGCAAAAAATGAATCAGTGTTTTGAATACAGAAACATACAAATTATCCAAATCAAAGTGTATAGAGGAAAAAACAAGATGATGAAAAACATCTCTAAAACTGTAATTGGATTATGTATAGAAGGATTTCCTCTCTCAATATTTCTTTTTAACATAATACAGAAAGTCCTAACCAGTGCAGTAAGACAGAGGAGAAAAAGGCATACACAGGATTAATACAACCCTCTATTCACAGATAACATGATCATATATGTAGAACACTCACTTATGTACTGTTTATGGCTGCTTTTATGCTATAATTGTAGGCCTCAGTAGTTGTAACAGAAACCAGTGGCCTGTAAAGTCTAAAGTAGTTACCATTTGGCCCTTTAGAGAAAACAAATTCTTAACTCTGATGTAGAAAAGCATAAGAAATACTGGAATATTGGAAAATTCATACTGGAATAATTGGATATATCTATGGGAAAAAAACCTTAACCCTTACTGAAGATAGTAATACACACACAAAAAATACAAAATGGATGCTAGATCTAAATATAAGAGCTAAACTATAAAACTTCTAGAAGAAAAGGTAAGAAATTTTTATGATCTTATGTTAGGCAAAAATTTCTTAGATAAGACACAAAGACTACAAAACATAAAAGACAAAAGGTATATTTGACTTAATCAAAATTAAAAATATATGCTCTCCAAAGACACTCTTTTGGAAATGAAAGGACAAGTCACAGATTGGAAGAAAATATTGCAAACTATATATAATAAAAAAGCTTGTATCCAGAATGAAATAAAAACTCTGAAAACTCAAACATAAGATGAACAAACTGATTAAAAATGGGCAAAACAAGATAAACAAAAAGTCAACAAGCATAAGATTCTCAACATCATTGGTCATTAGGGCAACACAAATGAAAACTACAAGGAGGTATCACTATGTACATACTGGAATGACTAATATTTTGAAAAGTGTACCATACCAAGTGTTGATGAGAATCTGGGCTCTGTTCATTTGCTAGAGCTGTCGTAACAGAATACCACAAACTGAGTAGCTTAAACAACAGAAATTTATCATCTCATAATTTTGGAGACTAGAAGTCTGAGATTAAGATGTCGGCAGTGTTGGTTCTCTCACTCACTGAGTGAGATATCTCTCTGAGTCAGAGAATAATTGGCTTAGTGCCTCTCACTTACTTCACGCTGTATTTTCTCTACATGTACATTTAAGTATCAAACTTCCCCTTTTTATATGGACCTCAGTCAAACTGAATTTGGGCCTGTCCTAATAATTTCATCTTAGCTAATTACATCTGTAACAACTGTATTTCCAAAAATAGTCACATTCTTGGGGTTGGGTTTCAACATATGATTTTTTAGGAAACACAATACAACCCATAACATGAAGCAATAAAGGCTCTCATACATTGCTTATGGAAATGAAAATTTGTAGAGTCACATGAGTAATTTCTTTTCTTTTCTTTTCTTTTCTTTTTTTTTTTTTTGAGATGGAGTCTCCTCTGTTGCCCAGGCTGGAGTGCAATGGCACCATCTCGGCTCACGGCAAACTCCACCTCCCGGGTTCAAGCAATTCTCCTACCTCAGCATCTCGAGTAGCTGGGATTACAGGCACCCGCCACCTGGCCCAGCTAATTTTTTGTATTTTTCGTAGAGATGGGGTTTCACTGTATTAGCCTGTATGGTCTTGATTTCCTGACCTCGTGATCCACCTGCCTCGGCCTCCCAAAGCGCTGGGATTACAGGCGTGAGCCACCACACGCATCCAGTAATTTCTTATAAAATTAATTATGTGCTTAATGTATGACCCAGAAATTGCATTCCTAGGTATCATCCCAAGAGACATTAAAACATATGTTCTCACAAACACTTGAATGCAAATATTTATAACAACCTTATCCTAATAGCCCCAAACTGGAAACAACCCAAATGTCCATCAACAGATAATGATAAACAAAATGTGGTAATATCCATACAATAAAAAACTACTGGCCAATTAAAAGGAGTAAACCGATGATGCACACTCACACAACTTAGTCGAATATTTAAAAAGTGCTAACATAAAAACTACATAATTTATGATGCTATGTGAAGTTCTAGAAAAGGAAAACTATAGTGACAACAAGCAGATCAATGGTCCCTGAGGTTAGAGGTGGAAATGGAGAGTAACTGCAAGGAGACATGAGAAAACATTCTGGAGTGATAACAGTGTTCTAAATCTTGAACATGGTGGAGCTGCAATACTATATACTTTTATCAAAACTCATAGAACTTAAAATGAATACATTCTATTGTATGTATATCATACTTTAAATCTGTTCAAAAATAGTACCATATTTAAAAATATTTGGAATTAAAGATGCTTTTATTTTCCAGTAAACATAGCAACATATACAAGTTATTTTATTCTGATACAAATCTATCATATAGAACATGTACCAAGCAATGTGCTGCAGTGGGACAGGAACAGATTTTATTCCATCCAGACAGATCTGGAAACAAAATTCGGTCTCCCACTCTATGCTTGATCAGTCTATTCTCTGATCCTCAATTTCCTCATCTGTAATGTGTACCACTTTGTGGTATGGCTTTGTGAGTCTTATAAGTATTACAAAGCACCTGATGTTTTCCCCTGTGTAGTCACATAATTTCCATGGTGTTTCATAGAAATACCCGTACTGAAGTAATATTTTCTATAGATAGCATATCAGGTAAAGATACAACTTACAAATGGCTATTCTTTCCACATACCATCAGAATCCTGAATGGTTTTCAGTAATCGTTTAGTTTATATATCTGGCAAAATTAAAAGTGCACTTACAATAACATTATAAGGATTCCTTTTCATTACAAAAGACATTCTTTCTGGCTACTGGAAAGCCTTTAGCTGAGATGGGCAGATCACCTGAGGTCAGGAGTTCAAGATCAGCCTGGCCAACATGGTGAAACCCAGTCTCTACTAAAAATACAAAAAATTAGCTGGATGTGGTGGCACATGCCTGTAGTGGGAAATCAGGGAACCAGAGAGACTGATAGGATTCAGGAGGATTTATTAAGGTGTACAATGGCTCAGCGGACTTCCATCCAGAAAGTCTGAGCCCCGAACAAAGAAGGCAAGGGCCTTTTATGCATCTTGAGGTGGGAAAAACATGAAGCAGGAAGTGGGTTTACGGAAGTGAGAAAAAAAGCAGTTAATCGTCTTGTGACATGTCATACATCTTAAGAAAAACATGTTTTGCAGAGTATGCTTCTCTGGCTTGTGACCTTGCAGCTGTTCAGCAGGAAAAACAGGAATTTACAGACCTTAAAAAATATGCAGAGGGTAGATATGGTTAATGTTTCACAGGGAGGCAGTTAATATTGTTTCTTAACTTCAATGGGTTACTCTGTACCCATTTCAGTCTTAACTGTAGACAGCAATTTTTAATAAATTATAATAATTATCTTCTTTTCTTTTTCTATTTCATCCTGTAATCCCAGCTACTCAGGAGACTGAGGCAGGAGAATCACTTGAACCAGGGAGTTGGAGGTTGCAGTGAGACAAGATTGCACCACTGCACTCCAGCCTGGTGACAGAGAGAAACTCTGTCTAAGAAAAAAAAATTAGCTGGGTATGGTAGCACATGCCTGTAGTCCCAGCTACTTGGGAGGCTGAGGCAGGAGAATCACTTGAACCTGGGATGTGGAGGTTGCAGTAAGCTGAGATCATCCCATTGCACTCCAATTTGAGTGACAATAGTGAAACTCTGTGTCAGAAAGAAAGAAAGAAAGAAAGAAAGAAAGAAAGAAAGAAAGAAAGCCTTCATTACATATGCATGCATAACAAGATAGAATATGATTGGGGGCTGGCAAGATGGTTGAAGAGGAAGAGCTCCAGTCTGCAGCTCTCAGCAAGATCCAAGCAGAAAATAGGTGATTTCTGCATTTCCAACTGAGGTACCCAGCTCATCTCATTGGGACTGGTTAGAGAGTGGGTGCAGCCCACAGAGGGTGAGCCAAAGCAGGGTGGAGCGTTGCCACACCCAGAAAGCACAAGCGGTTGGGGAACTCCCTCCCCTAGCCAAGGGAAGCCATGAGGGACTGTGCTGTAAGGAAGGGTGCATTTTGGCCCAGATATTATGCTTTTTCCACAGTCTTCAGAAACCACAGACCAGGAGAGTCCCTCAGGTGCCTACATCAACAGGGCCCTGAGTTTCAAGCAAAAAACTGGGTGGCCATTTGGGCAGACACAGAGCTAGCTGCAGGAGTTTTTTTTTTTTTTTTCATACCCCAGTGGCACCTGGAATGCCAGCAAGACAGAACCATTCACTTCCCTGGAAAGGGGGCTGAAGCCAGGGAGCCAAGTGATCTCACTCAGCGGGTGTTATGTTTTCTCTAAACTGGTTATAACTCTGTTATGTTCTTCTCTAAACAGGTTATTCTAGTTAGCAATTCCTCTAGAATAACCAGTTTAGAGAAGAACATAAATGACCTGAGGGAGCTGAAAAACACAGCAAAAGAATTTCATGAAGCATACACAAGTATAATGCTCAGCAAGCTAAGATCCACTGGCTTGAAATTCTCGCTGCCAGCATAGCCATCTGAAGTCAACCTGGGACACTCAAGCTTGGTAGAGGGGGAGGCATCTGCCATTACTGAGGCTTGAGTAGGTGGTTCCCCTCCACAGTGTAAATAAAGCCATAGGAAGTTCAAACTAGACGGAGCCCACTGCAGCTCAGCAAAGCCACTGTAACCAGACTGCCTTTGTAAATTCCTCCTCTCTGGGCAGGGCATCTCTGAAAGAAAGGCAGCAGCCGCAGTCAGGGGCTTATAGATAAAACTCCCATCTCCCTGGGACAGAGCACCTGGGGGAAGGGGCGGCTGTGGGCACAGCTTCAGCAGACGTAAATGCTCCTACCTGCCAGCTCTGAAGAGAGCACAGCACAACGCTCATGCTCTACTAAGAAACATACTGCCTCCTCAAGTGGGTTCCTGACCCTTGTGCCTCCTGCCTGGGAGACACGTCCCAGCAGGGGTCAACAAACACTTCATACAGGAGCACTCCAGCTGGCTTCTGGTGGGTGCCCCTCTGGGACGAAGCTTCCAGAGAAAGAAACTGGCCGCAATCTTTGCTGTTTTGCAGCCTCTGCTGGTGATACCCAGGCTAACAGGGTCTGGATTGGACCTCCAGCAAACTCCAGCAAACCTGCAGCAGAGGGCCCTGATTGTTAGAAGGAAAACTAACAAAAAGAAAGGAATAAAATCAACATTAACAAAAAGGACGTCCACACAAAAACTCCATCTGACATCAACATCAAAGACCGAAGGTAGATAAAGCCATGAAGATGAAGAAAAAACAGTGCAAAAAGGCTGAAAATTCCAAAAACCAGAAGGCTTCTTCTCCTTCAGAGAATCACAACTCCTCGCCAGCAAGGGAATAAAACTGGATGGAGAATGAGTTTGACAAATTGACAGAAGTAGGCTTCAGAAGGTGGGTAATAACAAACTCCTCCGAGCATATTCTAACCCAACGCAAGAAAGCTAAGAACCTTGAAAAAAGGTTAGAGGAATTGCTAACTAGAATAACAAGTTTAGAGAAGAACATAAATGACCTGAGGGAGCTGAAAAACACAGCACAAGAACTTTGTGAAGCATATACAAGTATCAATAGCCAAATCGATCAAGTAGAAGAAAGGATATCAGAGACTGAAATTCAACTTAATGAAATAAAGTGTGAAGACAAGATTAGAGAAAAAAGAATGAAAAGGAATGAACAAAGACCCCAAGAAATATGGGACTATGTGATAAGACCAAACCTACATTTGATTGGTGTACCTGAAAGTGACAGGCAGAATGGATCCAAGTTGGAAAACACTCTTCAGGATATTATCCAGGAGAACTTCCCCAACCTAGCAAGGCAGGCCAACATTCAAATTCAGGAAATATAGAGAACACCACAAAGATATACTCCTCAAGAAGAGCAACCCCAAGACACGTTGTTGTCAGATTCACGAAGGTTGAAATGAAGGAAAAAATGTTAAGGGCAGCCAGGGAGAAAGGTCGGGTTACCCACAAAGGGAAGCCCATCAGACTAACAGCACATCCCTCTGTAGAAACCCTAGAATCCAGAAGAGAGTGGGGGCCAATAGTCAACATTCTTAAAGAAAAGAATTTTCAGCTTTTAAGTGAGATGGGTTTCCTGAATACAGCACACTGATAGGTCTTGACTCTTTATCCAATTTGCCAGTCTGTGTCTTTTAATTGGAGCAATTAGCCCATTTACATTTAAGGTTAATATTGTTATGTGTGAATTTGATCCTGTCATTATGATGTTAGCTGGTTATTTTGCTCATTAGTTGATGCAGTTTCTTCCTAGCATTGATGGTCTTTACAATTTGGCATGTTTTTGCAGTGGCTGGTACCAGTTGTTCCTTTGCATGTTTACTGCTTTTTCCACAGTCTTCAGAACCCACAGACCAGGAGATTCCCTCGGGTGCCTACATCACCAGGGCTCCTTCAGGAGCTCTTGTAAGGCAGGCCTGGTGGTGACAAAAATCTCTCAGCATTTGCATGTCTGTAAAGGATTTTATTTCTCCTTCACTTATGAAACTTAGTTTGGCTGGATATGAAATTCTGGGTTGAAAATTCTTTTCTTTAAGAACGTTGAATATTGGCCCCACTCTCTTCTGGCTTGTAGAGTTTCTGCCGAGAGACCAGCTCTTAGTCTGATGGGCTTCCCTTTGTGGGTAAACCCAGAATTTCATATCCAGCTAAACTAAACTTCATAAGTGAAGGAGAAATAAAATCCTTTACAGACAAGCAAATACTGAGAGATTTTTGTCACCACCAGTCCTGCCTTACAAGAGCTCCTGAAGGAAGCACTAAATATGGAACAGAAAAACTGGTACCAGCCACTGCAAAAACATACCAAATTGTAAAGATCATTGACACTATGAAGAAACTGCATCAACTAATGGGAAGAATAACCAGCTAGCATCATAATGACAGGATCAAATTCACACATAACAAAAATAACCTTAAATGTAAACTTTCTAAATGCCCCAATTAAAAGACACAGACTGACAAATTGGATAAAGAGTCAAGAACCATAGACGTGCTATATTCAGGAAAACCATCTCATGTGCAAAGACATACGTAGGCTCAAAATAAAGAAATGGAGGAATATTTACCAAGCAAAGGGAAAGCAAAAAAAAAGCAGGGGTTGCCACCCTAGTCTCTGATAAAAAAACATACTTTAAACCAACAAAGATCAAAAGAGGCAAAGAAGGCCATTACACAATGGTAGAGGGATCAATGCAACAAGAAGAGCTAACTATCCTAAGTATATATGCACCCAGTACAGCAGCACCCAGGTCCATAAAGCAAATTCTTACAGACATACAAAGAGACTTAGACTCTCACACAATAATAGTGGGACACTTTAATACCCCACTGTCAATATTAGACAGATCAATGAGACAGAAAATTAACAAGGATATTCAGGACTTGAAATAAGCTCTGGACCAAGAGGAACTAATAGACATCTACAGAACTCTCCACCCCAAGTCAACAGAATATACATTTTTCTCAGCACCACCTTGCACTTATTCTAAAATTGGCCACATAATTGGAAGTAAAACACTCCTCAGCAAGTGCAAAATAATGGGAACCATAACAGTCTCTCAGACCACAGTGCAATCAAATTAGAACACAGGATTAAGAAACTCACTCAAAACCATACAACTACACAGAAACTGAACAACCTGCTCCTGAATAACTACTAGGTAAATAACGAAATTAAGGCAGAAATAAATAAGTTATTTAAAACCAATGAGAATAAAGGCACAACCTACCAAAATCTATGGGACACAGCTAAAGCAGTGTTTACAGGGAAATTTAGAGCACTAAATGCCCACAGGAGAAAGCTGGAAAGATCTAAAATTGACACCCTAACATCATAATTAAAAGAAATAGAGAAGCAAGGGCAAACAAATTCAAAAGCTAGCAGAAGACAAGAAATAACTAAGATTAGAGCAGAACTGAAAGAGACAGAGACACAAAAAACCCTTCAAAAAAAATCAATGAATCCAGGAGCTGGATTTTGAAAACATTAACAAAATAGATAGACCACTATAGACTAATACAGACTGCTATACACACTAATAAAGAGAGAAGAATCAAAGAGACACAATGGAAAATGATAAAGGGAATATCACCACTGTTCCCACAGAAATACAAACTACCACCAGAGAATAATATAAACACCTCATGCAAATAAAATAAAAAATCTAGAAGAAATGGATAAATTCCTGGACACCTACACCCTCTCAAGACTAAACCAGGAAGAAGTCAAATCCCTGAAGAGACCAATAACAAGTTCTGAAAGTGATGTAGTAATTAATAGCCAACGAACCAAAAAAAAGCCCAGGACTAGATGGATTCACAGCTGAATTCTACCAGAGGTACAAAGAGAAGATGGTACTATTCCTTCTGAAACTATTCCAAACAATAGAAAAAAAGGGACTCCTCCCTAACTCATTTTATGAGGCCAGCATCATCCTGACACTAAAACCTGGCAGAGACACAACAATAAAAGAAAATTTCAGGCCAATATCCCTGATGAATATCGATGCGAAAATCCTCAGTAAAATGCTGGCAAACTGAATCCAGCAGCACATCAAAAAGTTTATCCACAACAGTCAAGTCGGCTTCATCCCTGGGATGCAAGGCTGTTTCAACATACACAAATCGATAAATGTAATCCATCAAATAAACAGAACCAATGACAAAAACCACATGATTATCTCTAGATGCAGAAAAGGCCTTTGATAAAATTCAACATCTTTTCATGCTAAAAACTCTCAATAAATTAGATATTAATGGAATGTATCTCAAAATAATAACAGCTTAATAATAATAATAATATGACAAACCCACAGCCAATATGATACTGAATGGGCAAAAGCTGGAAGCATTCCCTTTGAAAACTGGCACAAGACAAGGTTGCCCTCTCTCACCACTCCTATTCAACATAGTATTGGAAGTTCTGGCCAGGGCAACCAGACAAGAGAAAGAAATAAAGGGTATTCAAATAGGAAAAGAGGAAGTCAAATTGTCTCTGCAGATGACATGATTGTATATTTAGAAAACCCCATTGTCTCAGCCCAAAATCTCCTCAAGCTGATAAGCAACTTCAGCAAAGTCTCAGGATAAAAAATCAATGTACAAAAATCACAAGCATTCCTATATACCAAGAATAGACAAGACAAACAGAGAGCCAAATCATGAGTGAACTCCCATTCACAACTGCTACAAAAAGAATAAAATACCTAGGAATACAGCTAACAAAGAAAGTGAAGGACCACTTCAAAAAGAACTACAAACCACTGCTCAAGGAAATAAAAGAGGATACAAACAAATGGAAAAACATTCCATTCCCATAGATAGGAAGAAACAATATTGTGAAAATGTTCATACTGCCCAAAGTAATTTATAGATTCAATGCCATCCCCATCAAGCTACTATTGACTTTCTTCACAGATTTTTAAAAATCTACTTTAAATTTCATACAGAACCAAAAAAGAGCCTGTATAGCCAAGACAATCCTAATCAAAAAGAACAAAGCCGAAGGCATCATGCTACCTGACTTCAAACTATACTACAAGACTATAGTAACCAAAACAGCTCAGTACTGGTACCAAAACAGATATATAGTCCAATGGAACAGAACAGAGGCCTCAGAAATAACGCCACACATCTACAACCATGTGATCTTTGACAAACATGACAAAAACAAGCAATGAGGAAAGGATTCCCTATTTAATAAATGGTGCTGGGAAAAACTGTCTAGCCATATGCAGCAAACAATCTGGACCACTTCCTTACACCTTATACAAAAATTAATTCAAGATGGATTAAAGACTTACATGTTAGACCTAAAACCATAAAAACCCTAGAAGAAAACCTAGGCAATACCATTCAGGGACATAGGCATGGGCAAAGACTTCATGTCTAAAACACCAAAAGCAATGGCAACAAAAGCCAAAATTGACAAATGGGATCTAATTAAACTAAAGAGCTTCTGCACAGCAAAAGAAACTATCATAAGAGTGAAGAGGCAACCTACAGAATGGGAGGAAATTTTTGCAATCTATTCATCTGACAAAGGGCTAATATCCAGAGTCTACAAGGAATTTAAACAAATTTACAAGAAAAAAACAAACAACCTCATCAAAAAGTGGGTGAAGGATACAAACAGACACTTCTCAAAAGAAGACATTTATGTGGCCAACAAACATATGAAAAAAAGCTTATCATCACTGGTCACTATGCAAATCAAAACCACAATGCAAATCAAAACCACAATGCAAATCAAAACCACATTGAGATACCATCTCACACCAGTTAGAATGGCGATCATTAAAAAGTCAGGAAACAATAGATGCTGGAGAGGATGTGGAGAGATAGGAACGCTTTTACACTGTTGATGGGAATGTAAATTAGTTCAACCATTGTGGAAGACAGTGTGGTGATTCCTTAAGGATCTAGAACCAGAAATACCATTTGATCCAGTAATCCCATTACTGGGTATATACCCAAAGGATTCTAAATCATTCTACTATAAAGACACATGCACATGTATGTTTATTGCAGCACTATTCACAATAGCAAAAACTTGGAACCAACCCAAATGTCCATCAATGATTGACTGGATAAAGAAAATGTGGCACATATATACCCTGGAATACTATGCAGCCATAAAAAAGGATGAGTTCATGCAGGGACATGGCTGAAGCTGGAAACCATCATTCTCAGCAAACAAACACAGGAATAGAAAACCAATCACCACATGTTCTCACTCATAAGTGGGAGCTGAACAATGAGAACAGATGGACACAGGGAGGGGAACATCACACACCAGAGCCTGTCAGGGGGTGGGGGGCGAGAAGAGGGATACCGTTAAGAGAAATACCTAATGTAGATGACGGGTTGATGGCTGCAGCAAACCACCATGGCATGTGTATACCTATGTAACAAACCTGCATGTTCTGCACATGTATCCCAGAACTTAAAGTATAATAATAATAATAAAAGAAAATGACAGCATGGGATGCATATAAAACAGATGAGAGATCCATATTCATAATAAAATAGGGTGTGGGAAAGTTAACTTTTTCAGAATGTTGGCACAAGGTGGTAAATCCTTCTTTCAGGGCAATTTGATAGTAGCTTTCAATTTCTTAAAATGCTCATATGCTGACCCAGAACTCCCATCTTCATAAATCTCGCCTACAAAAATACTAGCATAAAATATGCACATAAACATATATATATGTATGTTTGGTAAAATAGCGCTTTCATCGCGAAAAGCCTGAAGTGACTTAAATGTCCATTAGGAGGGAAATGTATCAAATGTTGTCCAATTCTTATGATAGCATAATATGCAACTATAGGTATAGCCATATCTACCGACCTGGAAACTTTTCTAAGACAACACTGCTATAAGAAAAGTCATAAAGAAAATCCATAGTACAATCTTGTTAATGCAAAACATAACAAAGCCAAAAACTCAACAATATTTAAGGAGCATGGAAAATTGTATTGACAGACATGAGCCCAACTCTTTAGAGATGTCCCCTTTGGTGGGAGGAGTGAGGGTTTGTAGGATTAATGACAAGAGTGTTTGGTTTTACTCGTCTTTAATGTTTTGTAATGACTTGTATTCATGTACTGCTGCATAATTAAGTAAAAGAAAAAAATTAAAAATGATTACATCTACTATAACAACAGCAATATAGATGACTTAGGCATAAAGCTACTAGGAAATGTGCAGGACTTTTGGAAAGAGAACTATTAAATTTTATGGAGTTACATAAAAGAAGACCTGAATAAATGGAAAGATGTAACATGTTTGTGAATTGAATGATTCAATATAGTTTATAGATGTTAGTGCAAATCTAGTCAAAACCCATGGGAAATTAAACTTCTCAAAACGATCCTAAAGTTCTGCAAGAACAAAAACTGTAGGTGAGAATAACCAAGAAAATCTTAAAGAAGAATTATAAGAGTAGCCTGTACAACCAGATATTAAAGCTCCCCTAAAATTAAAGTAATGAAAAAGAAAGAATATGATTGTTTCTACTAAAGCCAATATTATTAATGATGGGTTTTAATTATATTAACTTACCTGATTGAGATGGCTAGAAATAATTTAAAAATACTGCCATCTAACCATTGATTACATTAATAGCCCCAATTCTTCACCCCTCCCTGCATTCACGGTCTTTGTCGTGTGACTTTTTACCACCCTCTTTCAAAAGGTATATTTTCCCAACCCTTGATTCTTAGCTTGACCACGTGACTTCCTTTGACAAATGAGATTCTAGAAGACAATATATAAATAAGGTTTGAAGAAGCACTTACTTGTTTGTACTTTTTTGCCTCTGCCATAGTCACAAAATATGCCTCAATTAGTCTACAGAGAGATGAGAAACACATGAGTAAGGGCTGAGTCCCATCTGTTGTCTCAGCCAGGCCAGGTTAGATCAGCCTTAGAAAGCTGACCCTCAGTGCATAAGCCCAACCAAGACCAGCAAAGCTGCCTAACTAGCCAGTCCTACTCCATGAAAGCAATGAAAGCTTGTCGTAAGAACTGAAGTTTCGTGGGAGTTTGTTACATAGGATTACTCTGGTGGTAAACAACCATTTAACACATTAAATTTGAAATTTATTCTGAAAATATTTTTTCATCCAGAAAGCATATATCCACCTCAAATAAATGTTGTTTTGAGAATAGAAAGGCAGTCTTTGTTTTTTTAATAGAGAATAATGGCCTACAATTATTAACAAACAAAGACATGTAAAGTGAAAACTAAATAACGAAATTAATATTTCATTTATAGTAGAGTCAGTTGTTACCTTTCTATCCTTTTAGGCACTTTTACAAGCACTTGGTTTCAAAATTACTTTGTTTTTTCTTTAACATTGAGCAGCCATTATATTCTGATATTTATTTACTCTGCCTGTGTATCTTATACTTCAGAGTTTGTTCCTTTTTTTTTTTTCTTTTCTTTTTTTTTTTAGACGAAGTTTCACTCTTACAGCCCAGGCTGGAGTGCAATGGCACGATCTCGGCTCACTGCAACCTTCACCTCCTGGGTTCATGCAATTCTTCTGCCTCAGCCTCCCGAGTAGCTGAGATTACAGGCACCGGCCACTATGTCCAGCTAATTTTTTGTATTTTAGTAAAGACGGGGTTTTACCATGTTGGCCAGGCTGGTCTCAAACTCCTGACCTCAGGTGATCTGCCCGCCTTGGCCTCCCAAAGTGCTGGGATTACAGGCGTGAGCCACAGTGCCCAGCCGAGTTTGTTCAATTTTAAGATAGGTTTGGGAATACTTAAAATATGTGATAAACAGAGGGGAAACCATGGTATAAATACTAAGTTAATGAGATGCTAGTCATGGCTGATAGAAGGTCTTCTGTTGTGAGATGCATACACTTGTGTTAGGAGAATACTGGTGTTCCCACACTCACCCATGCAGTACACTTCCCAGACCTTTGTACTCTCCTTCACACACTCTCACAAAGTTGTACCTATCTCCATGTTTCAAGGCAATTCATGGTAAACTTTTGTCACACACAAAATATTCAAAACTAAACTACACAAAGGACTAGGAGACAAGAGACATGAGAATCTAGGGTTGGAATTCCTAAGTTTAAAATCCTAGCTATGCCACTTACTAGTTGTATGACCTTGGACATGTTATTTAACCTCTCTAAGTGTTATAGATGTCATTTGTAAAGCGGGTAAAAAATCATAAAATAATGCTGTTGGCATCATCAGGTTGCTGTGAGATTAACTTTATGCAAAGGATATATTGCATATCGCTTTAGGACAATGCTTGGTTCATCGGAAACAGATAATAGATGTTTCCTCCCACTCCGATGATTGCACAGTGCTCTACCAAGGCTTTTGTTTCTTTTATCTTTTAGTAGCATATGACAGGACAGAGCTATTCATTCCATTTTGCAGGAGAGGTTTTGACACTCATAAACACTTAACTGACAAAGGACTATACTTGGAGAGAATATACCTGCAATGGTCAATTAGAAAATTAAATTGTGTCTTTTTAGTAGGACAGTTATTAAGCTGAACTGTAATTGATATGATTTGGTTCTGTGTCCTCACCCAAATCTCATCCCAAATTGTAATCCCCAGGTGTCAAAAGAGGGACCTGGTAGGAGGTGATTGGATCATGGGGGTGGTTCCCCCATGCTGTTCTTATGATAGTGAGGGAGTTCTCACAAGATCTCATGGTTTAAAAGCCTGTGGCAGTTGCTCCTGTGCTATCTGTCTCTCTCCTACCACCTTGTGAAAAAGGTACTTGCTTCTCCTTTGCCTTCTGACATGACTGTAAGTTTCCTGAGACCTCCCCAGCCATGCAGAACTGTGAATCAATTAAACCTCTTCTGTTTATAAATCACCCAGGTAATTTAGGTAGTAACTCAGGTAGTAACTTTATAGCAGTGTGAAAATGGACTAATACAATAATCAACATATTATATAAGTCATTATCAGAAAAAGTATTCTTACACTATATAAACTACAATCTAACTTATTCTAAATCAGAGTTAAATAATATATATTGACCAATACAACTTTTTCAGAAATTGGTGAATATTATCCTTAAAATCTTAAAATTGAAGGGAATATTCTAAATTAAGAATCTTATTTTTGACCAGGCACGGTGGCTCATGTCTGTAATCTCAGCACTTTGGGAGGCTGAGGCAGGTGGATCACGAGGTCAGGAGTTCAAGACCAGCCTGGCCAAGGTGGTGAAACCCCGTTTCTACTAAAAATGCAAAACTTAGCCAGGGATGGTGCCGGGTGCCTTTAATCCCAGCTACTTGGGAGGCTGAGGCAGAGAACAGCTTGCACCTGGGAGGTGGAGGTTGCAGTGAGCTGAGATCACACCACTGCACTCCAGCCTGGGCGACAGAGTGAGGCTCCATCTCAAAAAAAAATTTTTTTTACTTTTAAATAAAAGATCAATTAGCAAAGAGCATAGCTAATACCAAGTCTTCCATTGAATTAATTTCGGAATACATGAAACATATATAAAAACTTATTATGTCTTCAAAACTAACTTATAATTCAAGATTTCAACCTAAAAACATTTCTTATTTTGTTTACCTGACAGAGAATAGAGAATGAGGGAGAGGCTAAATGTTATTTAATATCCCTATTATTTAATATTTACTACTTCAACAACATTATAGCATAATAAGCTGATAATTTTCTCTTGACTTCAGTTATTGGGTTTGTGGTTGTTTTTTATTTTTAGGTTATAAAGATCTTTTAGCTTTATGTTATTGTTACATAAGTAACCTGTTTTTATTGTTTTCCCCAATTACTTAAGCTAGAATATGCTTCCTTGTGACCTCAAAGTTTGGAACTTATGTCTTAATGTATTGAATTGACTTATATGGGCTTTAAATTGATATATCATAGTTGTACATATTTTGGGAGTACATGTGATATATAGATACATGTATACAATGTGTAATGATCAAATCAGGTTAATTGGAATATCCGTTGCCTCAAATATTTGTCTTTTCTTTGCACTGAGAACATTTCAAATATTCTTACAATTTTGAAATATACAATAAACTATTGTTACCTATAAATTCCCCATTGTCCTATCAAATACTATAACTTATTCCTTCTAATTATGTTTTTATACTCATTAACCAACTTCTTTTCACCCCACTCCCCAACCAAGCATTATGAGTGAAGAGGCACCATTGTAGATAGGGGAGATCCATTGATGGAGATGAAAAGCAAGGCACCTGCTCTAACAAGGGCATTCTAATGATTTGGAAAATAGAACAATATGCACATAGTTAAATGAGCAAAATACTTTTCAAGTATCATATATGTTTTGAAGAAAATAGGAAATTCAGAAGGTGTCTGACCTGAGAACTGAATTTAAGAGAACTTAAAAGAAGGCAATCTTGTGAAGATCTGAGAAAGAGGGTCTAGAAAGTGCAAAAGCCTTGATGTCCAAAAGAGCTTGGAACACTCAAAGAACAGAAAGAAGACCAGTGTGGCATTGTCACAGTAAGAGACAGAATAGGAGATAAAGCAACAATCATGAGCCATTGGAGGGCATAGCACGAGTCATGGTTAAAAGTTTATTTCATTCTGATTGCATTATAGCAACTATATTGAAATGGGCTAAGACTGGTTACTGAAAGACCAACAGAAGCTTAAGGAAGTGGTGCAGGTAAAAGATGATGGAACTTGGGCCAGGATGACAGTAGTGGAGATGACGAAAAATGAAAAGAATCTGCATTTACTTCTGAAGAGACAGTTAACAGGATTAATGGATGGACTGGGTGGGGAATGATGGAAGATAGAAATAAAGATTGACTCAAGTTTTTAGCTCTAGAAAATTTGTGTATGGGGATGGTGTCAACTAAGAGTGAGAAAACTACAGAGTAGGAGCAAATTTAAAGAAAACAAAGAATTCAGTTTGGGGTATGTTAACTGTAAAACAACCATTATATAGCTAAGTTCAGAGGTCAAGTAAACAGCTCAAAATATAAACCTGACACTTAGAGGTCAGGACACAAACTAGAGAGTCATCAACATATAGGCAACCTGTAAGTTATTTACCTTAAAGTTTGCCTATGTGTTGTTTACCCTTTGTATTCTTAAAATGTATACTCAGATTTATCTAAACATTTACGTGTTGATAATACTGTTTTTAAACTACTATATTTTTTCTGGTTGAGAAAAGCGAATATTATAACAATTTGTTATACCTCCATAGTATATTCATTGACGTATAGTGAGAACAGATCAAGAAAGAGAAACTAGAAAGAGTTTTACAGTTTTGTATACTCACAATTCACAGTTCACTGGGGAGAAAGCAGCAGGCCACACAAGGCCACTCAGGTCATGCACCGCGGTCAGTCATGAGGCAGAGGGAGACAGGGCAACTGAGGGCACGTCCCTTTATTGTGGTTTCTGCAGGAATGAAACTGTGAAGCAGGGCAAGTAGGTTTAAGATTGGCTGGTGTGAATAATTTCAGTGAGCTCTGAGGACTAGGCACTGGCCCTTGTTGCCTGGTATCTGGCTATGGGGCAATTTGGGTTGATGCATAGTGGCCCAGAGTTTGGGGTACATGATTGGGGTGTGAACAAAATCAAATGTTCAAGAAAAAAAGTGACTACTCTCTAGCCAGGGCCTCAAACTGGGTCAAGATACCATTTGAAACCACTATATTACACAATTCTCACAATTAGTTAAAAAACTTAACGAAAATCCCATTGGAAATTGTTTTATAACTTGAAACATTAATTCAAAATTACTCTTCATCTGGAAGGGTAATCAAGAATAGACAAGAACATATGTGTAAACGGAAGGTAGTAGAACTTGTAGAACCAGATGTTAATATGTACTTTAAAGCCTCAACAATTATTCTCGCACTAGTACAAGAATGCATGAAAAAGCAAAGAAACAGAATTAAGATCCTAAAAGTTACTCTAATGCCCATAGGAATTTAGTATCTAATATAGGGAACATTTCAAATCTGTGAGGAAAGGGGATATTATCAGCAAATGGTTTAAAAAATAACTGGCTAAAGATTGAAAAAACTAGAATTAGATGCATACATGACAACAGAAAATGCTTTCTTAAATAATTTATTATTTACATATAAAAAAATAAAATTTCTAGAAGAAAAATATTTAATAGATCTCAGGATGGAAAACACCTTTCGCGGTGTGCCACAGAAAGCAGATATCATCAAATAGATACTTGACTTAGTAAAAATTAAACACATCCACAAGTCACAAAGAATATGACAAACAGTCAATGCAAGTGACACATGAGAGAAGAAACATTTTAACTTCTATGTGACACCAAGTGAACTAAATAGAGAAAAAAATAACCTACGAATAATAAAAACAAGCAATAGCTATAAGTCAACAATTCAAGAAAGAGAAATAGTCAAAACCTTACTAGTAGGGTTGGACATGGCAGCTTACACCTGTAATCACTGTTCTCTTTGGGAGGCCTAAAGCAGGAGGATCATTTGAGCCAGGAGATCAAAACAAGCCTGGGCAACACAGTGAGACGCTGTCTCTACAAAAAATTAAAAAATTATCTGGACATGGTGGCATGTGCCTGTAGCCCTAGCTACTCAGGAGGCTAAGGTGGGAAGATAGCTTGAGCCCAGTAGTTTAGGGCTTCAGTGAGCTGTGATGACACCACAGCTTTCCAGCCTGGGTATCAGAGCGAGACCCTCTCTCTAAAACAAACAAAAACTCACTAGTAACGGAAGGAATTAAAATTAAAACAAAAAGGTGCAACTTTTACCTAGGAAATTGCTAAAGATTTATTTAAATTATGTAAAAGAAAACTCTGAGGCATAATAACATTTTAAAGAGCTTATTTGGATGAGAAGCATTCATGAATTGGGAAATGCCAGATGGAAAAAGGTTTAACATTCCAGTGACAAAATGTCTGATATAAGTATTTATTGGGAAAATGCAGAAGCAAAATAAAGAAATTATTTAATTGGCTTGCAATTATAAAATTGCCCCTTTATAGGTACCTTGTTGGAAAGTCCCTAGTCATATAATCCTATGTTAGTGGTGTTAAGGTCCACTGGCTGACAGACAAAATGGACTTCCTATGGCTAACTGAAGTGCTAAAGGTTATACAGAATCAAGTAGCCTGGGTAAAAGAGCAGTCATGTATTCTGTGTTCTCAGAAAGATGTTGTGAAAATGTCACAGGACCTTCCTTTCTACAATCAAACCAAACCAGTTCCCATTTTTGGTGTCAGGATAAACTGCAGTAGGAACCCCACCCCCAACCCACATCTTACCACCCCCGCTAACATATGAAATAAACATCTGATAGAGACTTCTGGTTTGGGGCTTGGAATCCACCCAATCAGAGCTCAACTATTTTGACCAATCACAACTGACAAGTTTGAATCCTTCATGTGCATAAATGGACCTGATTGAGAATCAGGGGAGAACTTTTCTCATTTAAACCAGAGTTTTCCTTCCTCCTTTGGAGAGCACATTTTGATTTGTACCAATGGCTGTGCTTCCCCAATCTTCAGATTGTTTTTTTTTTGATAGAAAAGAAAGCTTTCTCTTTTTCCTTTGCAGATGTCATAGTCTGTTAACAGTTGGCTGCTTATAATTGGCTGGGGTTAAGTTTTAATTCTGCCTAACATAAGCATTTATTGCAAATGACCCAAGTTAAGTTTTGCTTATATTTGTAGTTATCACCTAAAGTAAGATTCACTTAAGTTTGTAATTTTAGCAAGATTAAGGCTATTCTTAAGGCCTTTGATTTTGTTTGCTTAGGAATTTTTCAAGCCTGATTTCCATTTTAGTTTTACTTTAGTAATGATAATACCCACTGTTGTCAAGGATGCAGGTAAACAGGCACTCTCTCATATTTTTTATGGAATACAAAGTGATACAGATTTTCTGCACACCAATTAGGTAATATGCAACAAAAATTTTAAAGGGCATGTCCACTGACCCAACACATTTTTTTATATATATATATATATACACACATATATATATATAAAATATTCATTTTATATATATATAAATATATTCATACATTTGTATATATACACACACACACAAATACATACACACATGTATATGCATATATATATACACACATACATACATTGATACATACAAACATATACACAATATTCAACCTATGACACTAAAAATATGGCCAATAACCTAAAAGAACACTAGTAAGAATTAGTTAACCAATTATTTCATTCCATTTAATGAAATAATACAAACTCATTAAAAATTTAATTGTAAAAGGTTATTTTAGAAACTATTCATAGTATGTTTTTAACTAATGACACGTTTTAGCAATTTAGCATTTCGTTTTAGCAATATGTACAATTCTTTGCCTACTTTCCCAAAAGACTTCTCAAGTCACCATTTTTAAATACCTTTAGTAAATAAAAATTGAGCTGGATGACGAGTTAGTGGGTGCAGCGCACCAGCATGGCACATGTATACACATGTAACTAAACTGCACATTGTGCACATGTACCCTAAAACTTAAAGTATAATAATAATAAATAAGTAAATTTTTAAAAAATTGAGGAAAAGATTCATGTATTTTGATTACTTGACTTCTCTTTACAAATTTCCTGCATCAAAAATTGAACCCCTAAACTTTCAGGAAATTAGAAATGTTCTCTGAACACAGGGCTACTTTTTAAATACACGGAGGAGTTGACCAGAGTTCTTTCATTTTATTTCTTAGTTCAGAGATCTGTAATAAATTTTTGTGATCATATCAGCCATGTTCTTTTTTCTAACTTATACAGTTGTCATCTTATTGTAGACATCAAAGAACCATAATAAGCATAAAATGGGTCATTATATATAATGACCCAGAGTTTAGGTTAAATAGGATAAGTGAGAAATTTGGGAAATGTAGAGCCCTGAAAGACTAAGGAAAGTTGGGGCCATCTCACTATGTTACCATACAATTGTTATGTTATTCTATTCTGCCATCCCACTATTCTGAGTTTATTTAAAACCAGAAGTAACTGATCAACACTACAAAGTTCTTTTCATGCATTTGCTGTTTGAACAGAAGTATTAGAAGACTACTGAGAAGGCCTAAGCACTCAAGATTTACTACTCAATTTGTCCAACTGGAAAAATATTAGTAAATAGCTAAACTTGTATTTGTTTACTTGAGACTTTACTATAAAGAACCATATTCTACCACCTTATATTAAGCATAGTAATGAGCTAATTAAATGATATCACTACAGACAATTTTCTCAAGCTTCTGTCCTATTCAAATAGCTATAAATCAAGGTTCACAGCCTACTGCAAAAAGCTTTTGACCACAGTGAATGCTGTGAGTGGAAAGAAAATAGCCAAGCAAGATTGAAAAATTCTGTTTAGCATTTTGTAGCAATTAGTGCTAAACTACAGTTGATAAATCCTCTCTTAGACCAGAGACATAAAAAAATTCTGCTAGTTGTTTACTGATCTTATTTTCATTTTGCTCATTATTTTTAAGTTGCTTTGATATTGCTAGAGTGGTAACTCATCAGGAGAGTAATATATAATGTAGTTTGTTGATTCCCTGCATACACAACTCACTAATAGCTTCCTAAATCCATAGGGATAAAGTAAGGCAAATGTTGGATAAGTGTAATTTTTCCCAATTTATAGCCTTTAGCAGTCTGAGGCTGAGCTTCATCGATTTTTCTTAATCACTTGGTAAGATGCTCAATAATGGCTTAGCCTCCTTTTTACTTAAATAATATCAATTGTTTTAATTAGCAAACATTGTAAATACTCTTCTATTTATTTACAAGATACTCATTCCCGCTCTGATTCTCACAAATTTGGCATTGATGAGTAACCTGTACAATGTTTAGTGATCTTAGTCACTCAAGTAGAAAGGGCCAAATACAAACTCTTCTGCATTCTAATGATATTTTAAATTAAACTGTATACTCTTCTAAGAAGTACAGTTATGGGTGTTCTGTTCCCTAAGTTCTAAACTCACACTCTGAAAGTGGTAGCTATTACAGACATTCCATATCTCTTCTTTAAAGGAAAAGCTTCTGCATAGCAAAGAAAACAATCAACAGAGTGAAAAGACAACCTCCAGAATGACAGAAAATATTTGCAAACTATCCATCCAACAGGGAACTAATGTCTAGAATATACAGGGAACTCAAACATCTCAACAGCAAAAGGAAAAACACAGTTATTTTAAAATGGGTAAATGATCTGAATAGACATTTCTCGAAAAGAAGACATACACCTGGCCAACAGGCATAAGAAAAAAATGCTCAACATCTCAACATCACTAATCATCAGAGAAATGTAAATCAAAACCATAATGAGGTATCTCACCCCAGTTAGGAAGGTTATTATCTAAAAGATAAAAAAATAACAAATGCTGGCAAGGATGTAGAGAAAAAGAAACTCATACACAGTTGAGTGGAACATAAGCTAGCACAATCACAATGGAGAAAAGTGCAGAGATTCCTCAAAAAACTACAGATAGAACTACCGTGTGATCCAGCAATCTTGCTACGGAGCATGTATCCAAAGGAAAGGAAAACAGTATATCCAAGAGATATCTGCACGCTTATGTTTACTGCAGCACTATTCACAGTAGCCAAAATATGAAATCAACCTAGATGTCCAATAAAAGATGAATGAATAAAGAAAATATGATGTATATACACAATGCAATATTATTCAGCCATAAAAAAATGAAATCCTGTCAACAGGATGAATGGATGGAACTGGAGGACATACGTTAAGTGAAATAAGACAGGAACAGAAAGTTAAACATCATATATTCTCATCCATATGCAGAAGCTAAAAATAGTTGATCTCATAGAAGTAAAAAGTAAAACAGAGGATACTAGAAGCTTGGAATGGTAGGGGGAAGCAGGAATAAGGAGATTCGAAATTAAAATTAAAAGATACAAAATTAGGGCTATATAGGAGGAATAAGCACTAGTGTTCTATACCACTGTAGGATGACTATAGTTAACAATAATATACAGTTTCAAATAGCTAGAAGTAGGATTTTGAATGTTCACAACACAATAAAATGATAAATGTTTGAGATGAAGGATATGCAAATTACCCTGATCTGATCACCATGCATTTGATATATATATATACCAGAACATCACTATGTACCCCATAGATGTGAATAATTATTATATGTCAATTTAAACAATGAAAAAATTTAAAATTATGTGTCTTTGTTTTCAAGGCAATAAACAATTGTACACTTTAAAAATATTCTACTGTAATGAAATTCATTATGTTTTGCAAAAGCTAGTCGATATAATGGAAATAACACTAAAGATATGGTTTGGATGTTCTGTCCCCTCCAATCTCATGTTGAAATGTACCTCCTGTGTTGGAGGTGGGCCTAGTGGTAGGTGTTTGGTTCATGAGGCTGTATCCTTTGTCAATAGGTTGGTGCTGTCCTCATGGTAATGAGTGAGTTCTCACTCTATGAGTCCAAGTGAGATCTGGATGTTTTTTAAAAGAACCTGGCACTTCCTCCATCTGTCTGTTGCTCTCTCTCTAGCCATGTGATACGCTGGCTCCCTCTTCACCTTCTGCCATGATTGTAAGCTTCCTGAGGTCTCACCACAAACTGAGTAGGTGCTGGTGCCATGCCTGTACAGCCTGTAGAACCATGAGACAAATAAACCTCTTGTCTTTATAAATTACTCAGTCTCAGGCATTCCTTCAGAATAACACCAATAGACTAACACAACTATCCTGCGAGTTCCAGGACTCGTAGTCTATTTGACAATGCATATGTCAGTTAACTTCTTTAGGTCTCAATTTCTGCATTTATAAAATAAGATTATATTCCCTTATTTATTTTCTTCATGGCAGTAGGATAGACTAATTGGTATTTTAAGATACCATTCGACTCTAGAAGCCTTGGCATACAAGCCCTAATATTGCAATTCAAGGCCAAGAGAATAATAAAGCGGATTTATGGAGTCATTTCTAATGCAGTGTCATTTTCTGTTTATCTTATTTGAACCTCACAACCTCCTATGTGATAAATGGGCCTATATTATTACCTACTTCTGCCAGATGAAGAAACTGAGTCTCAAAGAGGTCAATGCCTTCACTAAGATCACAGACTTAAGAAACTGAGCCAACAAGACCAACTCCTGAGTCTTCCAATTCCAAGTCTTACGATCTTTCTCCTGTACCACATATTTGTCATATAGATCTAAAACCCAGATTTTTGAAACTGCATTTTCAAACACATTCTGTTAGCTTTCAAGAAAATGCACACTTTTCCAATTTTACTTAGCAGAGTTGAGTATATAAACCTTAACATGAAATTGAACAGTGTAGGAATATAAGAGACATAAAAAAGAAATTTTCCCAGCCTTCATATATCTCTAATATGAAAGATAACTATATGAAAGATAGTCCTCAAATACAGATGGTTCTAATGCAGATAATTAAGTCAGGTGCATATCATTGAAGTATGAAATCCTGGTTTAAAGATCTTCTCTTGCTACCTTTGCTCTCTACCATCTGAAAAGTTGCTTCATGGACATGGCAATAGTATGGGAATAGTCAACTGGCAGACTTCAAATAATTAAGACATTTGGTGATGGAGAGACTAACTCATGAAGTAACTAACTATAATAAATATATAAGAAAATGATATAAAATGTAAATAAGAAGCCATCAACATTTTAATATTCAGTTTAAGTTTTATGTCCTTTTTACAGCCTGCTATGGCCACTCAACCTTTCATTAATCTCCTCCTCTTTGGATTTTTGTTTTTAATTTAAATTTTTTTTTAGAGATGGAATCTCGCTCTGTTGCCCAAGCTGGAGTGCAATGGTGTGATCTCAGCTCACTGCAACCTCTGCCTCCCGGGTTCTAGCAATTCTCCTGCCTCAGCCTCCCGAGTAGCTGGGATTACAGGTGCGCGCCATCACGCCCAGATAATTTTTTTGTATTTTAGTAGACATGGGGTTTCACCATGTTCCCCAGGCTGGTCTCAAGCTCCTGAGCTCAGGCAACCCACCTGGGCCTCAGCCTCCCAAAGTGCTAGGATTACAGGCATGCACCACCATGCCCAGCTAATTTTTGTATTTTTAGTGGAGATGGGGTTTCACCACTTTGGTCAAGCTGGTCGTGAACTCCTGACCTCAAGTGATCCACCCACCTCTGCCTCCCGAAGCGCTGAAATTACAGGCGTGAGCCACTGTGCCCAGCTCTCTTTGGACCTTTTATAGTATGTACTGTTTCTGCCACAAAGGTTGGAATCTCATTACCCTCAAATTGCCCTAATTGTGAACATCTGACTTTGGAAACCACTTCTACATCCAAATGGTTATACCTTCCTCTTTCACGGTTCTTGTTTATCCTCCTGCTACCAGAGAGATAGCCCAACCCCAGAGAAGGAAGATATGTTTCTACCATTCCAGTTAAAATTTAGGACAATTTTATTCTAGGAGCATTTAAGCTCTATATCAACATTAAGCCAATCAATTATAAGCATAACTAGTTTTTCTATACTACATTATTTTGGCCATGCTTGATTCCTTTTCTGTATGAAAAAAAGCATTCCAGTTTTCAAGGTACTATCTTAAAAATCATCATGAAACATACCCTATTTATAGATTGGGAGCAGTGCACATTCTGACTTGTACTACACACTAAAATTCCATGTATTATAATCATATCAATATCTTCCCCAACTACACTGTTACCACCTTTTGGGATATGAGAGCTACAGCTCTACTCTGCTAAATTTTCCACAAGTTTAAAAGTCTTTAATCTACAGCACGTGGTCAAGACAATGCTGTTGACCAGTCAAAAGGCAAAGTTGTTAAATATAATTAAGGTCCCAGGAAAACTCATACATGACAGTTGTCCAAAGCTAATAATGATATCAGCATGTATTGAAAGCCAAACCTTGTAAACATTTCAGTGTATTCTGCTATATATTTTGAGGTCTTGGACTTACTGTTTTAGGAGAAAGAGCAAAAAGTCAAAAACGGCACTGAATGTAAGAAGAGGTAGAGGGAGATAAGACAGAGAAACGCAAAGAGAGACAGAAAGAGAATGAGACAGACACATAGGGAAAAGTGTGAACTAGAAAGAGGCAAATATAATAGGAGACCTAGAGACAAAGAGAGAAGCAGAAGGAACTCAGAGACAAAGAGAGAAGCAGAAGGAGACGGACATTAAAATAAAGTCGATATGGTAGGAATAAAAATGACCCCAAAATAGGCAGTTATTGAGTAACTAAGGGAAAATGACCAATAATCTTTCCATGTTTTTTGCTTGTTTGTTTGTTTCCGACATCTTAGTTTCCACATTAAAGAGAAGGGGAATTAGAAGCATAAAATCAAGTAAATCTATTTAAAGTATAAATTCCTGAAAGGCACTTCTTTGAAAAAAACTGTGAAATCAATTAACTTGGCCTCTGTTTTCCCAATTTTCCAGCCATGTACCCTTTTTTAGAGTCTATACCTCCTCCTCATCTGATTTTTTAAATCAAAAAAATCTACTTTTAGGAAACGTTCTAAATGGCATTCACACTAAAGTACACATGATTAAGGCTAGTGTTCAGGGCAAATAATTAGCAGTAGTGTGTCCAGATAATTTTTTGTCAAAATGGGGACAATTTCGAGAGTGAAAGAGGGATTAGCAATTATGCCCTGGCAACAAATGTAAAACAGAATAGATCTGGGGGTAAAATAATGTATACTCATCACTAAGTGAGAGAGAGATATTAGGAAAAAGCGCTCTTCCTCAAGTCTCTAAAACAAAATACGTTATTGCTTCTATGCCATGTGGTAAAATCAGCTCTACATTTAAGTCCCAAGTGGATCAAATTATAATGCTGAGTTATTTTGTCTATTCTTAGGATGTTATGGAACAAGACATGTACTGTATATCACTTCAGAGTGAAATCATATGACAGTCATTCTAATATGTTCTGCCTTCCTGAATACTTAATGCAATAATTTATAAGAGTGTTGGCTTGTGTGGAGCTACAGATATCTGCCAATTAATTAGCAACGGAAATGGAAATGCTAATAATTATCTGATATGCATTCATATGTGATTTTAGGTAATCTACAAGATCTCTCCTATTTTGTCCAAACACAGAAAATTCATGTTAGAACTCACAAAACATGTATTCTTAAAATAAACCAGAGCTATTTTTGGCAAATAGAATTTATACAGTTATTTGTACACACACACACACATATATATATATCATTCACTATATCTTTGAAGGGTAAGTCCACAATCAAACCACATAATCAGCTTGCCAGAAAATTTATTCTGTTGATATTAAAATTGGCAAAAATATAAATTATTTTTAATAATAAAATTTTAATGTAAATCCAAGTTTTATAAAATATGCATTCAATTCAGAGTACATTTTCTTTTTTTTTTGACATTTAAGTTCAGGTGTACACGTGCAGGTTTTTTATATAGGTAAACTTGTGTCATGGAGGTTTGTTATACAAATTATTTCATCACCCAGGTAGTAAGCTTAGTAGCCATTAGTTATTTTTCCTGATCCTCTCCCTTCTCCCACCCTCTACCCTCCACTCTCTGGTAGGCCCCCGTGTCTGTTGTCACCCCCTATATGTCCATGTCTTCTCATTATTTAGCTTCCACTTATAAGTTAGAACATGTGGTGTTTGGTTTTCTGTTCCTGCTTTAGTTTGCTAAGGATAATGGCCTCCAGCTCCATTCATGTTCCTGTAAAAAACATGATCTTGTTCTTTTTTATGGCTGCATATTATTCCATGGTATATATGTACCACATTTCCTTTATTCGGTCTACTATAGATGGGCATTTAGATGAATTCCATGTCTTTGTTATTGTGAATAGTGCTGCAATGGGAATATATGTGTATGTGTCTTTATGATAGAACAATTTATATTCCTTTTGGTATATACCCAGTAATGGGATTGCTGAGTCAAATGGTAGTTCTGTTTTTAGGTCTTTGAGGAATCACCATACTATGTTCCAGAGCACGTTTTTCTAAACTTGTTCCACCCTCATGTCTTTAGCCACCTTCTAACCAGAACCACTCACAGAGATAAGATGAGGGCTAAGATAATGGCTGGGTAAAGTACCTTCTTATTTCTAGTCAGCCATATCTAGTGTTCTCTTAATTTATGGCACATACTGATCTACTCCCTGTAAGTTCCCTACAAGCTGTCTGTCAAAAACAACAACAACAACAACAACAACCTTCTGAGCAATGAATTCAAAATTCACTAAAATATCCTAAGTTTAATCGGATGTTCCATCTAGTCCTAGTGTAGGTGTGAAAAATCACCACATTTTATACTTAATGAAACTTTAATGGTGATATAATAAACAGACATTGATTCCCATTTAAAAATATATTGGAAATATACTCAATATGGTGACACTGTTACAGGATCTGGACATACTGGAATGAACCAGACAACATGGCCCTTGTTCTAGGAGAATTTACATTGCAATGGAGGAGGAGTCAGAAAGAATCATGGTCAGGACAGCACTATTTATATTGTTCTCCTCTGCCAAGTAAGTAGAGGAGAATTTAAGTCATTTTCAATTGTATTTAAATTAAATGATATAAAATGCACTTTAATGCAGTACATGTTCAGATGAGTAAGTGAAGGTCAACAACTGATGTGTTACTAGGACTACAGAGCCACCTGCTTAGATTCACATGCATTAAGAGGGATCTTTTTAATGCATTCTATTTAAAAGAAAACCTAGGCCATTAACATTGAAATCTTGCAGCACACCATCATGCAGTTAAAAAACGTAATTCTACAAGGCTCTTCACAAAGCAAAGCAATATAAACTGGAGAGCATTTTTTTTGTCAAGCAGTATAAAGATGATAACATGTACTACACACCTGTCCCTCAATGAGAAACACTCAGACTATTTAATGCTCTTCACTTTCCCACTGTTTTTATTTCACACCTATCCCAGAGAACCCATGAAGTAGCACTAAGCTAATCTCACAAGACACCATGTTCTCTAAAGCATTATGTAAGAGAACTTGCATAATGAGTCCTGAGATGTATCATTAGCAGATTAAGAGTTTTTGTTAACCACTTTACTGAGATATGATTGACTACAAAAAGCTGCATATATTTAATGTATGCAACTTGGTGAGTTTAGAAATAAGTATATACCCATAAAACCATCACTACAATCTATGCCATAAACCTATTCATCATCTCCAAAAGTTTCCTGTAGCTCGTTTTATTATTTTTTAAATGACAATCTTTATGAAAATAAGATCTGCCCTCTTTTTAAGGTTAACAACTCCACCGCCTAGAGTTGTGCATTTCACCACATAAGACAAAGTGGAGATATGGCAGAGGGTATGAGTGGGGCTAAACTCCAATCCATGAGTGAGCTCTGCCCACCAAACCCTATGCCCTAGTGGGCTGAATCAGCCTATAGGAAAAAAAAGTTGGATACCTCTTTCTAATTCACCTTCTTAGAAAAGCTTCCTATTAATAATTTTCCCAAAAACTCTTGGTAGGCTAACAGACCTTGGACAAGTGCTACTAGCACTACAGCTTGTCATAAAACAACTAAAATCAGCGATATTACACAACGAAGTTCCCATAGACCAAGCAATATTTCTGTCAAGCATCCTGGGTTAAATAAGAGTAGAAACTTAAAAGAATTATTTTACATAACTGAAAGACTAGAAGAACAACACAAATAAAAATAGTGTTAGAAGTGAAAATGTTCTTTGTAAAAGGAGATGATCTACTGATCACCTTGGTAATATGTTTTAGAGGAATTTTCCCCATAGCAGTAATGACTTGACACAGATTCACACATATTCTATCACCAGGTCCTACTTGTGACCAGCAACACAGGCCTGAGAGAAATCCTAGAGAACGGTGTCTGGCTAAATGGACTGAAAAAGTTAAACTACTTATATGGATCTCAGCAACACTGTTATCTAACCTCTGATCTAATCTAGCACCTATTCCAGTTAAATATCCCTAAAGATACCCTGCTATTAGAAGCCCCTTGAGGGCCTGGGCTCTTAATGATCTCTCTTTCTGTCCACAGCTCCCAGCGCAACACCGGGCATGTAGGACTCAATAAATGTAGTTGAACAAATAAGAGACATTTAGAAATTGCCATTTAGTGTCCCTTAATAACCACACAGTAAGCTCCATGGTGAAAGTAATTAAAATCCTATCTGCTGTGGAATGTAAGCTCATTTCCTCTTATTAGGATACCAACTCAATTATATAAATATTTATTGAATACCTATTAAACATAAGGTACCACATACTTAAAACTGTGAGGAATACAATGATAAATTCATATAATGTTGCTGCTTTTAAGGTGATTATGAATGTGATGGAGGTACACAGGCACAGTATATCAACTAGCATATTGTCATTCTCTATTAATAAAAACCTAAGAAACCTACAGACAATGGAATCATTTCAGAGTCACCTTAGGAATTTCAGCTGAGCTGCCACAGCATTGAACCTTTGTTATTAACAAGGAGATTTTTGTTGAACATTTTCATCTGAGATTTTTCAAGATCTCAATATTTGGTTGTTTTCCCGAGGAAAACAGAGGTGCTGTCGTGGTACCCAAGAAGGGATTGGTGATTGAGATCGATGAGAATGGAATGTCTTATGACAAGAGTCTGAGGCAAAGAGAAAAAAAAAGAAAAAAGAATCAGGGGGCCCAGCCTACTGCCCAATAGAACAGGAAGTACATTACATCCTTCCCATATTCTTATTTCTTTCTATGTTCCAGAGCTACTGCCACCACATGAGGGTTTTTACAATTAATATGCCCAGTTATTAACACTAACATCCTAAAACTCAAAACTATGATCCTTAAACAACTTATGCCTTTTGTATTCATATTAAAAATGCTATAAGTACTCAATGTTTCATCAATGCTACTGCATGTTTTAAGAAAAATGCAATAAATTACTTTCAGTAGTATTGGTTTCTTGTCCAACTTGAATGCCAATATTTTAATGAGAATAGTTCATATTATGATATTATCATATCTCACCACAATCTTCTTTTAATTGGACAGTAGCCTTCTGTGATTCATGTTGCCTTTGAAATATAGGTTCTTAGTATTCTGCATTGGGATTATCTAACTCTTTTAAACCATTCTGTAGAACACTGCATAGTCAAACCAAATGAGAGCGTTGGCTAACAATACAGTATAGTCAAAAACCAAATCAAAATGTTACTGTACCCAGCCATCATTCATAAAATGTAATAAGCATTTCACAGTCTCATATTCTCATCACAAAGAAGGTAATGAAAAAGAAATGTCACATAATTAATCATTTCTCCCGACAAAAAGTTTAATAGGAAAAAGAGAATGTTGTATTACCAATGTAAATCAGCTATTATGGTCTTAATGCTATATTTCCATGGTAATCCCACACTGCTGTGTCCAAGTAGTCTGAATCTTCCTTCTTTTCAGGCACCTGGCTAGTTTTTCTTTCTTTTTTAAAATTAATAGACTTTACTTTTTTAGAGCAGTTTTAGGTTCACAAAAAAATTGGGTAGAATGTAGAAAGAGTTACTATACAGCATATCTCCTGTCCCCATAGCTAGTTTTGAGATAGCTCAAAAGACAATAAAAAGATTTAGAAGAATGACTAGTGCAACAAACAACTTGTTCTTAATGGTGTATTCTTTTGTAAATACAGCTTTTAATCAATTGAAGCAGTGGTGCAAAAACTAACTTTCCAAATACCACAGACAGATAACAATTTCTTCCCTTTAAAATACACAACTCTTAGGATTATACAAAAAAAGCAAAATAAAATTAAAAGCAATGTGAAAAAAATGATTCATTATTAAATGAAATGGCTTGACTACAGGATATGCTCTAAATTCAGCAGACAAAAAGAAATTCTCACTATTTGTAAGAAGAAAGTTTCCTCTTGAAAGAAAGAGATCTGAAGTCTTTGTTAGTTTCAGAACCCAAATCTAATCTATCCAATTTGCATCTAACCAGAAGTACAATTAAGCAAAAAATAGTGTGCAACAATAAAAACCAGTAAAATAGTAGAAAAGATAAAAAATTAAACAAGTATGGGCTATATTTATGAAAAAAGTTGATTAGAAAATGGGAGGAAAAACACTAAAAACATAGTCTTAATTTAGTTCTTTAAATTACTTGGGAATGTAAAAACTAAAAATAACATAACACAATCCAATCTCTTTAATAGAGGCCCCTAATATAGGAGGCATTAAGTTAACATGATAGCAACCTGTTTGAAGATGTATATCAAGAACCGAAAGAATAAAATGCAATTAACTTGGCTTTCATCCATCCCACAAATCTAATTGTGAACATATGCCTAAGAAACATAAAGATAAAAGAAAACTGCTATTTCCAAAGAGATTCATTCTTGAAGAAATATCCGCTGAGGCAGAAGAAGCAAGAGAACTAGCAGAACGATGAGTGGTAATGAACAACAATGGGTGAAACAGCCATAAAAATATTCTCAGAACATTCCACTTGTTTTGACTCCTTAACCAATCACCTAATCATAAAAAGAAATGATAATGATCCATGTCTTGAACTGAGAAGTAAAAATATTATAAAAAATGTAAACATATATCTTCAAAGAAGGAAGTTACTTCTTTAATGACATAAAGCTTAACATGTTTTGGACTCAGTTAAATAATTGGAAACACTAAAGCCATAGAAACAAAATACCATAAACTGTAGGCAAAAAAGAGAACAGAAAGTTCCCATCCAGGGATTTGTGGCAGCTGAGAGCTATGTGCTGTGATGTGTGGCAGGGCTGTGAAATTAGACATAGCTCCTGGAAGGCTGCTGTAAATTATAAACCAGCATATGTGCAAGGGGAAGAAGCAGCCCATTAGTAAACCTTTCAAATATAGATGGGCTCCCAAGAGGTTAGTTTGTACATTATTCACAGAAATAACTTTGACTGCACAAAGATTTGTGGAGCATTTCAATTTCCCTGAGATAATTAAGAATTTGTTCAATGAACAAAAATGGAAACCTTAAAATCACAGTAGCTGAACAAATTATTTTAAAATGGCATCATTTATTTGGTAGCAAAATAAGTTTGGACAAAAATTAACAAGAGATTCCATCGTGGTCACTTAAACTGTCTAAGGGAATGCAAAACAAAGAAAAGAGAACCATTGAGCTGTTGTGTTCTCTCTTTTTGAAATGGTGGGAAGACTCCATTAATAATTACAATTCAACATGTACCATTTTTGACTGAAATTCAATGCAATTCTTGGCCTGTAACTTAGAAAACTTCTCATAATAGATTCTCTATAATCATAGCATTGTTACAATCTGTTAAAATGTTCAATAAGACAGTTGCACTTAGACTATAAGCAGCATACAATTTGCATTTCTGCTCTGTGAAAGAATGGCTAACTGGTGGAAATTCTTCTGGTTAAATATGGCTTTGAATAATAAACTTACTCTTTTTTAAAAGAAGATGCTGGATGGTATGAAATGAAGAATGGCTTTTAAACCTAGTTTCATTAATGCATCTTAAGTGTATTATTCCTGTGCTGGTGAGACATATTCTTCATGTAGCACACAGAGAAGCTACATTCATCATATATTTAAAGGAGACACATCAAACTCAAACAAGCAGAGTATGTTATTATGCAAAAGAACAGCTATAAATATACATGTCAAGGAAGAAATTTAAGGAGTAAAGACAAGCACACAACTGAAAAATAAATGGGTTTAGAGAGCAAAAGATCATAAGTATTCATGTTGGCACTTTCCAACCACTTTCTTAGTTTTCTTTTCCAATCTCTTTGTCACTTTTTAATTGTTCTTCTAGGAGAAGATGTTCATGATAACGAATATACTAACACAAATCCTGACCAATCCCATCCTTATGTCATGTTTACTAGTTATATTGGAAGGTCACTGTTCCTTCCTCACAGGATTATTTTTTCCTAGGTCTGCTACATTTCAGAAGCCAAAGATGTAAGTGGGGTGATTTTCTGGAGTCAGAGTTCAGCTTATTATTTTTCCTCTGACTTCTTTTAGTGCCACAAGTGAATTACTTAATCACTCATATAATCAACAAAAGAATGGAGAATACCACTGGAGCTTGACATCTAAGCCTAAAACTATATCTGCTGCACATTCCTTCATTCTAACAACAAATCATCCATGGTATTGATTTTTTTAAAAGCAACTTAATTACATTTCAAAAACACAAAAAGGCCATTTGCTCACTGAAACCTAAGACTAAAAGTCATTTTGTTATAGCATAGTAGGTCACAAGCCGAAGAGGTCCTAACAAATTCATTACAGCTTAAGTTTAGAAGCTTCTTATATAATTAATAAACTTGGTTCTGTATTCAAACTTAGAAGGAAGGTAGTTAATCATAACCTGGGATTTGTCCAGCATAAGCCAATGATGATGATGGAAAGACATACTTTTCCCAAATCCTTTCAGTTTAACATGCCTAAGTGTTCTGTTCTAAATGGTGGTGAGGCTCAGATAATCTCAAGGAGGGCTATATTCATTTCTCACAGCTGCAAACATTGACCCTATTTTTATTCCTCAAAAATACATCTGTGGGAGAGTGACAGTAGCAAAGTGGAAGAAGAGAAGGTATCCAACTCACATCCCTCACACAAATAATGATCTGGCACCCATGGACAAGTGCCTCTGTGGTGTTTTCGGATCCAGGTAGGAGAAGCACCAGTGAGGCCCCAGACCACGGAGAGCCACTTTGAGAAGGCAGACCCCCACCCTAGTGGCAGGTTTGCGAACATGATCCCAATTGCAGACTGAAAGCAGCCCCATATCCCTATGGACCCAACTCTAGCCATCTTTGGTCACAGTCCTGAAACCCATCCATCAAGGAGCAATACCTGTCCATGCTCCTGGTAACAGGTCTGCCAACCTAGACCCAACTGAACACACTGAGGCTGTCCCTCTCCAGTCCCTCTCTACCATTGTCATGGAGGCAGTCCTGCCCACCCAGAGACCTTCCCAGAGACCCAGTGGGAGCCCACTCAGAAACTATGCTTCAGCCACACTCATCTATAACCATAGTAACAGGCCCACTGTCTGCAAACTTGACTGTGGAACCGGAAGTAGCCCCACAAACAATCTCCAATCTTATTTGACAATGACCATGGTCCTAGAGAGAGTCCTACCTACCTGGTAGTAAGCAGTCCCACGCACTTGATGGAAAGTCACTCCATCCACCTTGATGTGGCAGAAAAGATATCTGGTAACAGGCTCACAGACCAGCAAGCAGTCATGTGACTCTACTCCAGCACCACTTGATTGAAATCCCAGAGTCAGTCATATCAATCCAGGAAGCCTGCAGGAGAAGTTGTATACCTGCCAAAATAGGCTGACATGGCAGGAAGAGGTGTTTTCTCCTTCAAATCCACAGACATCAATACAAAGTTAACACAACATTAAGAATCAGGCAAATGTGACAACAGCAAAGAAAACTAATAAAGCTCCAGTAACTGATACCAAGGATATGACAAATAAATCAAAATAATTGTTTTAAGGAAGTCCAGTGAGTTACAAGAGAAAACAGAAAACTCAAGAAAATTAGGAAACTAATACATGAACAAAATGAGGACTTCAATGAACAGGTAGAAATCACAAAAATAATCAAACAAATTCTGGAGTTCAAGAATACAATGAATAAAAATTTTAAAATTCAGTGAAGAGTCAATAACACACTTGATCAAATAAAAGAATCCATGAACTCAAAGACAGGTCATTTGAATATATCCAATTTTAGGACAAGTGTGGTGGCTCATGCCTGTAATCTCAGAATTTTGAGAGGCTGAGGCAGGTGGATCACTTGAGGCCAGGAGTTCAAGACCAGTCTGGTCAACATGGTGAAACCCCATCTCTACTAAAAATACAAAGAAAATAGCCTAGCATGGTGACACACACCTGTAATCTCAACTACTTGGGAGGCTGAGGCACAAGAATTGTTTGAACCTGGGAGGCAGAAGTTGCAATGAGCCATGATTGCACCATGCCACTGCACTCCAGCCTGAGCAACAGAGTGAGACTTTGTTTCAAAAAAAAAAAAATCTGATCATAGGAGAAAAAAGAATGGAAAAGCATGAAGGAAGCCTACAAGATACATGAGACACCATCAAGAAAGATAATTCACATTATGCAAATCTCAAAAGGAAAAGAGAGAGAGAAAAGGACAGAAAGCTTATTTAAAGAAATAATGGCTGGAAACTTCCCAAATTGGGGAAGAATATAAATATCTAGATCCATGATGCTCAGAATTTCCCCAACAGGATCAATCCAAAGAAGATTACACTGGGGTGCATCACAATAAAGTTATAAAAAGAAAAAGGAAAAATTTTGAAAGCAGCAAGAGAAAAGAAATTCTTCATATACAAGGAAATTCCTATGATGCTATCAGTGATTTATCAGCAGAAACTTTGGAGGTGAAGAGAAAGGGATAATATATTCAACGTAGTGAAAGAAAAAAAAACTGTTAATCAGGAATACTATAACAAGAAAAGCTGTCCCTCCAAAATCAGGAAGAGATAAAGACTTTCTCAGATAAAGGCTGAGAAAGCAGATCACCACTTGACCTGCCTTACAAGAATTGCCACAGGGATTTCCTCAGGTTGAAAAAAAGGAAATTAATCAGGAGCATGAAAATATATGAAAGTATAAAACTCATTGGTAAAGGTAAGTAAGTAGTCAAATTCAGAATACAGGCATAGCTTGGAGATATTACAGGTTCAGATCACAGACTGATACAATAAAACTACTATCACAATAAAGTGAGTCATACAAATTTTGGTTTCCCAGTGCATACAAAAGTTATGTTTATACTATACTGTGTACAATGGCATTATGTCTAAAAAAGGTACATACTTTAATTTTAAATTACTTTATTGCTAAAAATTCTAACAATTACCATAGACTTCCATAAGTCATGGTTTCTTTTTCTGGTGAAAGGTCTTGCCTCAATATTGATGGGTGCTGATTGATCAGGAAGGTGGTTGCCGAAGGTTGGAGTGACTGTGGCAATTTCTTAAAATAAAACAATGACATCAATTGAGTCTTCCTTTCATAAAATATTTCTCTGTAGCATGCAATGTTTGATAACATTTTTGATAAAAACGTTTGATAACATTTTGCCCACAGTAGAGCTTCTTCCGAAATTGGAATCAATCTTCTCAAACTATGCTGCTGCTTTATCAATTAAGTTTATGCAGTAGTCTAGATCATTCTTTGTCATTTCAACAATGTTCACAATATCTTCACCAGGAGTAGATTCCACCTCAAGAAACCATTTTATTCACTCATCCATAAAAAGCAGCTCCTTATCTATTCAAGTTTTACCATGACATTGAAGCAATTCCATCACATCTTCAAGCTGCACTTCTAATTTCAGTTCTTTTGCTATTTTTACTACATCTGCAGTTACTTCCTTCATTAAAGCCTTGAACTCCTTAAAGTCATACATGAGGGCTGGAATCACCTCCTTCCAAACTCCTGTTAATGTTGATGTTTTGACCTCCTCCCATTAATCACAAATATTCATATATATATATATATATATATATATACACACACACACACACACACACATACACACTTTAAGTTCTGGGATACATGTGCAGAATGTACAGGTTTGTTATGTAGGTATACATATGCCATGGTGGCTCGCTGCACCCATCAGCCCATCATCTACATTAGGTATTTCTCCTAATGTTATCACCCCCGCTAGCTTCCCACTCCCCGACAGACCCCAGTGTGTGATGTTACCCTCCCTGTATCCTTGTGTTCTCATTGTTCAACTCCCATTCATGAGTGAGAACATGAGGTGTTTGGTTTTTTGTTCCTGTGTTAGTTTTCTTAGAATGATGGTTTCCAGCTTCATCCATGTTCTTAATGGCATCCAGAAAGGTGAAGCCTTTCCAGAAGCTTTTCAGTTGACTTAGCCCAGAACTATCAGGGGAATCACTATCTATGGCTGCTATAGCCTTAAAAATATATATTTATATATCTTAAATAATAAGGTTTCAAAGTTGAATTGACTCCAGGATCCATGAACTGCAGAATGGATGTTTTATTTGCAGTCTTGAAAACAACATTAATCTCCTTGTACCTCTCCACCAGAGCTCTTGGGTGACCAGGTCGTTGTCAATGAGCAGTAATACTATGAAAGAATTCAGTAAGCCATGCCATAAACAGGTGTGGTATTATCCAGACTTTGTTGTTCCATTTATAGAGCACCAGCACAGTAGATTTAGCATAATTTTAAGGGCCTGAAATTTTCAGAATGGTGAAATAGCATTGGCTTCAACTTCAAGTCACCAGCTGCATTCACCCCTAACAAAAGAGTCAGTCTATCCTTTTAAAGCAGGCATGGACTTTTTCTCTTCAGCAATGAAAATCCTAGATGGCATTTTCTTCCAATAAAAGGCTGGTTCATCTACATCAAAAATCTATTGTTTAGTGTAGCCATCTTCATCAATGATATTAGCTATTAAAAACTTTTCAGGATAGTTTGCTGCAGCTTCTACATCAGCACTTGCTGCTTTAACTTGCACTATTATATTATATACATGACTTCTTTTCTTAAGCCTCATGAATGAATTTCTAGTTTCAAGGTTTTCTTCTGCGGTTTCCTCACCTCTATCAGCCTGCATAGGATTGAAGAGAGCTCGAGCCTTGCTCTGGATTAGGCTTTGGCTTAAGAGAACTTCGTGGTTGGCTTGATCTTCTATCCAGATCACTCAAACTTTCTCCATATAAGTAATAAAATTGTTTTGCTTTTACAAATTACAATATTGAGAACAGAAAAAAATACACATGTGTAACCCTGACCTCTCACCTATTTCCAGTCCCATATTTCCAGTTGCCAATTGGACATGACCACTGATTGTTTCATGTCCTCCAAATCCACATACGATTTCCAAACACATTACGTTTTCTTTTTGAATTTACTCTATTTGTAAATTAGATAATATATGAAAGTGAGTAACATAGTACCTGGTTTATTAGCTAGTGCTTCATAAAGGTCAGATTCTTTTCTCAAATTCTTGATTTCTATTAGTACCCCACAATTGTATTAGTCCCAAGCTTAATAGCTCATCTCTTAGGTTATTTCTCTGTCCCATTGTCTTTATCAAGTCACTGTGGTTTTCTTTGTTGTTGTTGTTGCTGTTATTGTTATTGTCTTTTGGTTTTGTTTGGGAGGGGTTTCTTTTTGAGATAGGACTTCCCTCTGTCACCGAGGTTGGAATGCAGTGGCACAATCGTAGCTCACTGCAACCTTGATTTCCAGGGCTCAAGCAATCCTCCTGCCTCAGTCTCCCAAGTAGCTGGGGTTATAGGCTTGTGCCACCACACCCAGCTAATTTTATTATTTGTGGAGATGGGGTCCCACTATGTTGTCCAGGCTGGTCTTGAACTCCTGGACTTCAGTGATCCTCTTGCCTCAGCCTCCCAAAATGCTTGGAATATAGGTGTGAGCCACTGCTCCCAGCTTCAATCACTAGTAACTCATTTATCTGTTACTTCTTTTCCTATTCTTGGTCAGTTTCTTCATATCTGAATTACTGAATTCACATTCTATAATTTACCTCTACCTAAATTTATTAAACTCTCATTTTATTTTCTACCACCTGCAATTTGACTTTTCTCAGTTCTTAGATTAATCTCACTAAAGGCCTACATCTAGCATGTTGCTGTTCTTCACAAAACCTACAGCAGATTTAGCAGGCCTGTATTATGTGAAAGTCTGAATATGCATATAGGAGACAATATGTAAGTTGAGAAGCACTAGTATTTCCAAGCAGGAATTCCTTCCTGGCATATTTTAGGCAATTTTATGTATTGCCAAATCCCAAACCCAAGTAAAAATCTGTCAAGGAATCAGAAAATTAAAAAAGTATTATAATTTCTCTGCACAAATTTAAGTTTAACAATTAACAACAAAGTATTACTGGTAAAAGGAATCACTGACATCAAATTGAAAGCAAGACAGAAAATATTGACACACTGGGCTGAAGGTTAAAGTCTATATTTCCAGGAACCAGAACCAGGAGCAAGTAGGAAGGAAGCATTCATGATCCGGTCAGTAAGTGTTGTTTGTAACTGGTACCTTATAATAAGGGTATATTCATGAATATGTCCCTATCTACTGCTAATAGTCATTCTTACAGATAAAATAAATATTAATATGTTTATATATATACTATATTGCAAACAAATCCTATGAGTGAAGTTTAAAGAAATAATCAGAAATGGAAGCATAATAAATCCTTAACTTGACAGTTTTGACAAGTGATTCTCTGTAGTGCTGGTAACCTTGCTAAGACACCCAAATTTTATACTGTTCAAACACTACTCAGTAACATTGACTGGCATTTTCCAGTGTTTGAATGTTCATTCTTGGCTATTCTCTTTGTAAAATACTCCTAAATTAACATTCTCTATTAATTTCACCTTTTGAGAAATCATAATATAAAAATAATGAATTATTTTAAGATTAACTTAAAGCTTCAGGAATTCCAAAGTATTCCTGGAAATTCCTACTTCTCATTCCTGACTACCAAAGATTAATATCTGTCAGAAATTTGGAAACATCAAGAGATACATGAACACAATTCTAAGAAGTTTGAAGGAAGAAAATATAACATAGATAAAAAAAAGAAACCGACATTAGATATTGGTTATAAACATTAAAATGCAAAGGGTTCCATAGATTCAGGGAAATTAGTTAGATGCACAAAGAATAGCACATACAACACCACAGCAGTGTAAAGCTACAGGCTTGTTTGAACAGCGGTATGTCTTCTGGTTTAGCATGTGGAGTACAAGAAACAAACAAACAGAAAATTGTGGTAGATAAGACTGGGAAAAATGTTGTGGCTACAATTTGAAAGGCTGAATGCTCAAAAGCCAAGGGTACCTATTCGAAATTGGTTCAATAAACAGTTGTTGAATGTTTCTCATTTTCTTCATTAAGTCTTACCCAGTGACTTCTATACCTCCTTCTTTGAACTTCAATTGAATTTAACATTTTTACCAGACAACTTAACAACTGAGAAGCTGAGGATCTAAGGGAGAAATTTCAGTGCTACTTGATGGTAGTCCCTCCTGAGACCAAGAACTGCTTGCATTCTGTCACATCAAACACCCTTTTTCTCTGCAGAGTTCCTAGGGGAGTCCCACGCACTAAGAAAAATAGCAGAACAGAAATCAAAGTACCATTTTATTTATAGCCGAGCAAATAACAGAAAGTCCTCATGATTAATCAAACCAAACCTAATATCATGGGCCCTTGAGGCAAGCTCAAAAGTATCCAAAAAGAAAGAACAGGAGTGAGAAAAAAATGCAAAGCAGGTCCTAGAGAAAGAAAAGGGGGAAGAAGAAAAGAGGGAGATGGTTGAATTTACCCCTAAGGACATAGGTCCTACCTAGGTTTATTTACTATGGTGACAAAAACACAAGATAACACATAGCTTAGAGTCATGCATTAATGCATAAAAATTCTGCTCACTAGTAAGCTTTGGTCCAATGACGGTTTTGGCCTCTGACCAATTATAACTCTTCTTTTCTAGGGGCCAGAGAGCATTTAGTAGAAGATAATGAGGGTATCAATTTGCAATTTCCTTAAAACAGGGCTTCTTTACAGCAGCACTATCAATGTTTTAGGGTTGGATAATTCTTTGTAGTTGGGTGTTATCTTGTGTATTATAGGATGTTTATCAACATCTCTGGCCTCTATCCACTAGATGCCATTCCCCAAGTTGTATCAACCAAAAATACTTCCAGACATCACCAAACTTGTTCCCAGTCCAGAACCATTACCTTAAAACAGCCACCGCTGGCCAGGCGCAGTGGCTCACGCCTGTAATCCCAGCACTTTGGGAGGCCAAGGCGGATGGTTCACAAGGTCAGGGGTTCAAGATCAGCCTGGCCAATGTGGTGAAACCCTGTCTGTACTGAAGATACAAAAATCAGCTGGGCATGGTGGCAGTTGCCTGTAATCCCAGCTACTTGGACTGCTGAGTCAGGGAATTCTTTGAACCCAGGAGGCAGAGGTTGCATTGAGCCAAGATCGCACCACTGCACTCCAGCCTGGGCAACAGAGTGAAACTCCACCTCAAAAAACAAACAAACAAAAAAAAACAGCCACCATTTACTCTCATTCACTCATGGGGTTGTTGGTCATGTGGAGGGAATTCAGCTGACCTCAGCTGGGCAAACCTGCTTCAAACTACAGGATCCTGATGCGCTTACGTATTCTTCGTAGGTTGGTCTCAGATTCACCCCAGTATGTTCGTTCTGGTGCCCATGCTGAAAGGATGGCAGCTATGGAGCAGAAACTCTTTACATGGCAAACAAAAGGTAAAGCCCAACCATCCAAGCATATTTCAAGTCTTTGCTTGTGCCATTTCTGCTGACATCCCATTGGCCAAAGCAACGCACAAGACCAACCTCCAAGTTAAAGGTGGTAAAGCACATTTGGTCAGCAGTGGAATAACTTCCAATTACAAAGCAAAGGGCATGGATATAAGGAGAGGTGAAGAATTAGTGGTGGTAATTCACTCTACCACAGTCCACCTGCAGAGGGAGAAGTCTCTTCCCCATGGTGGCCATCCCTTTTAATTCTCCTGTTCTTTATGACGTTAGTCATGTTAGCAATTACAAGACAAGTGTCTACATAAATACATACATTTGCCTTCTTTCATCCTTAGTCTATATCCCCAAGGCTCACATCTCACCAGATGTTTAATGATTCAAAAGAAAAACAATGAGCCATTTTTGCCAAGGATATTGAACTGTGTCACAGAGTAGCTGCCATAGTCCTTCAGCCTAATGTAAACTCTGCTTTGGTTCAGAACCCAATCAGGAAACAACTCTCCTTACCAAAAAGACAGAAAACAGCCTCTTTAATTGGCATATATGGGAAAATTTAATATCTAGCCTGAAAAACTCAGAGCATTCAGAGATCAGTGTAAGACAAATAAGTGCAGGCCCACAAACAGAAAAGTTATCCAAGAGTATTTGTACCAAGTCATTAGTGGAACCAAACTTCCTTTGGAATCTAGTCAATGAAGACTCTGTGGGTAAAGATTGAGATTTTCCTACAAAGCATAATAAGGATTCTAACATAAGCAAAATCTTGGCTCAGATCACCACAGGGCCTAAAAGACATGAAACAAAATAAAAAGAGAATCCATACACAAGGATAAATATCCTTTTCCACTTTAGTATTTTCCTCATATCGTTAGTGAGAAAAGCTAGCACGCTTTACACCAGACCTCTCAATATCATTTAGCATTTGCTGGATATAATGCCCCTTACGTTTGACTATAGAGCAAACTGCACTTAGTTCTCTTCCCACACAGTAGATCCCGTTATTCTACATCCATTGCTTTGTGGCCTTCAGGTTGCCTAAACTAAAGACCTCATCCAGGTTTTCTTCAAGATGAATATCTGGAGTAGTCAAACCATGTCCAACTATTTTGATCAATGTCGTTGCAGTGATTGCAATCTGGATGTTCTATACATTACAGCTATTCAACATCTTTCCCACAGGAACCTCTTGCTCCATATACTAAAATTAGCTGACCGTTATTTTCATATATGAACCAAAGAGGTGTTTGTCTACAACGTACACAGTTACCAAGATGCCTTCAGGTAGTCTGGGTTTCACTACAATAGCTGTGAAGCACCTATTATAAACTAAGTACTCTTATACATGAAAAGTACACAATTCCTACCCCATAGAAAATAGAGTATAGACAGGGGCAGTATAAGTAAACAAAACAATGACAGGACAATGCAAAGAGAGCATCAGCAGCAAAAAGCTCTGTGCCATCTGGGTAAGAGATGATACAGAAGGGGGAATGGTTAACTTGTTCTAGAGGCATCAGGAAATGTTTCAAGCAAGAGAGAAAATCCAGGATGATGTTCTCCTACAAGAAACCTAAAAAAATCAAGGAAAGTATATTTCTTTATATTTAAACATGCTTTTCTAACCCTGAGTTTTTCATTTAATGAGGAATATATTATAAAGAAGAGTGGTAAATGTTACTGAGTTGTCCTTAACCTTCAAAAAAGTTTTAACTATGTGCTGTAGATAAAAACTATAATACTTAAGGATCTATATCTTCTCACCAGATTTTCCAAGTGTGTTAATAATAAATCTACTCTGGAAAAATATTACCTATGATTAAACTACATTCCCCGTTATTGACCTTTACGACCTCATGCTTCCTTTGCTAGGGTGCTATAATTACCTCATAAAAGAAAGGGTAGAGTAACAGGACCCATGAAGATAAAAAACATCCACTGAATTTCCCTCACTCAAGCTATCATCTGGAATCTCTGAGTCTCTCAACCTTTTTCTAAAGCTATTAATATTATTGCTGTGTTGACCTTTGCTGCTGTTTGCCATTTTGAAATTTACAGATCAGCAAGCACCAGTAAATCTTGTCAGAATTAATGCAAATGTAAGACACAGTCATTACAGGCTCCTCACGGTAAAGAATAGCTTGCTACAATGTTATTACCGAGACACAATTTATCCTGATTGCCAGAAAGATGAGACACCCTGAATATAAGCAGTAAACTGGCTCTGAGAAATAAATCTCACTGGCATTGCCCACACAGAAGTTTGCTCACGCGGATGAATGCTGTCAGTGCAGCGAGTGGCGGAGTGATTGATTCACTCCCGTACATCTCCCATCTCCCCCTGCTGGAGAATGAAAGTTAATTTGCTCTCATTCATTCTGTTCACCACACTAGATGTTTTTAAGGGTTGAACTCAGAAAATGAAGACAAGTAAATAATGGTTTCGATGACTTTTTTTCCCGGCAGTGGATGTGCCTTCATATTTCAACCCTGCACATTTCTTTCATAGGGTAGCTATGATTAATATACCAATGAATTCCAAGTCAAACAGGAAACATTATTTGCTCTGTTGGATGAGCTTATGTTTCTGATATATAAAAAAGTGATTCCATAAAAGAATTGAGGATATATAGGTAGCAAAATTCCAGTTCATGACAATTTCATCTTCTCAGTGCATTTTTAAATCACTTTTTCTCTATGAAAAATTCTTGCAATGATATTAAAGAACTAAGAATTTTAATGTAGTCTTCTTTAAAGAATAGAGTGAATGTTGGTGGCCAAAAGAATGAGAGTTATGATCAACTCAGTATACCACTGGAGGCTACAGGAGCAAACAGCAAACTGTTTCTCATGAAAGCAGGATGTTCAAAGCAGGATGTTGGCAAAATGACAAACTGCATCTGCCACCCAGAAGGAATGCTGAGGGCAGTCATGCCCCAAGTGCAGTGTTTTTGTGATTAGGCACAACTGAAGCTTGTTAGCAATAATATGACCCTGTGATTAATTGAGCGGCTGACCAATCATTACCTCCTCCTCCCTGCTCTTTCTACCCAATAAATACAAAGGGCTGTGGAAGCTCAATGGGCTGCCTTTGCTCATTAGAAGCAGGGAGCTCTCTTCTTCTTCCCCTGGATCCTTCCTTTAAAATAGTTTCTTTTGTCTTAAGTTTTCATTTCTACGTTTGTCCCTTCATTCAGTCTCTTAAATGACGGTCTCAAGCAGTAACAGTAGTAATTGCTGTAATGACGGTCTCAAGTAGTAACCAGGGCACTCTGCCACAAGTGGCACCTGAACAGGGACTAACAGGGACTATCAAGAACAAACGGAGACCTGAAGAGACCTGAAGGGAACTGAAGAGGTCTGCAGGGACAAATAGAGATAAGTAGGGATAAATAGAGATAAATAGAGACAAATAGAGATAGGTAAGGAATGACAGGGACTTGCAGGAAGTAACAGGGACCATAGGGACAGATAGGGATAGATAAAGACTAGCAAAGACTAGCCGAGATTAGCAAAGACCAGCAAGGACTAGCAGAGACTAGCAAAGACTAGCAGAAACTTGCAGGGACAGGCAGAGACAGATAGGGACAGATAGGGTCCTACAGGGACTTGAACGAGGAAGATCTGCTGGAAAAGAAAAGAACTACAACCAACCAGATGAACAAGAAACCCTGTTACAAGTCTGCTGGCAGCAACATAAGGTCAGTGCTCTAAAAAGGTACTGGTCAGTACCCTAGAGGTACAAAGAACGGGAAGTTTTTGATCAGGGTAACATGGGGAAGAATTTGGTTATTTCTTTTCTCTTTTTTGTTTGGAGTTTGGTACGTGCCATCTTCTGTTATTTCAGGGTTTGAGAGAATTTTTTGCCCCACCTACAGCACCTATGGAGGGTGATGAACAGGAGAGGGAGGATGAAAATTGGCTTGTATCATCTTCTTTAGTGGTTGCAAAAATGCTAAATGTTATAAGTGTAGAAAAATTGGATCTATGGGAGTAATTTTAGGTAAAAGTCAACTTAACTTACACGGTATTACTGTAGTCCCAGGAGTTGTTGATTCGGATTGTGAAGGAGAAATTCAGGTGGCGGTAATGTCATAAGATTTTAGGTTTTAAACCAGGAGAATATCTTGCAGAACTGTTGCTTATTCCCTGTAAATTGCACCCTTCTCCACATAAGGAGAAATGAGTTTGTGGATTTGGCTCAACTGTTGCTTATTCCCTGTAAATTGCCCTCTTCTCTATGTAAGAAGAAGCGAGGAGGTCGGGAATTTGGGAGTACAACTAGGAGAGAGATTTATCTATCACAACCCATAGCATCTAATAGACCCACCTGTACAGTACAAATTGAAGGCTTAAGGATTGTTTTTTTACTATGTTATTGCACGAGAGGGAGAGGCTTCGATTTGTTTTCTCTGTGCCTTCTGTTAATCAGAAAGAGCCTGCTTCTCATTATCAATGGAAAGTTTTACCCCGTGGCAATTAACCAAAGAGGGAGAGGCTGAGCTGTAGCTTGTAGAACAAATGCTTCTGCAATGGCATGCCTCCCGGCTTAGAGCCACCTTTGCTTCTGTTTTGGTAGATTTACTAACTTGGGGACCAGGGTATGCTTGTTTTTGCAGGAAATGAACAAAAAGTGTGGGTGCCCCCAAGGTGTGTACTACCATGGAATGGGAGATTGGAGGGACACATGGATCCCAACCGTGGGCCTGGTTCCCCCAGTATGAGCTGAATACGAAGACAGAACAAACCACCAACCGGCAATTGAAGGTTGCACATTTTGCAATTGCCTTTCTCAAGTAATTCAATAACAAAAAGGGAGAGATGAATTGGAGGCTGAAAGAATGAGGGTCATGATCAAGTCAGTATACCACTGGAGGCTATATGAGCAAACAGCAAACTGTTTTTTTTTTTTTTTTGAGACGGAGTCTCACTCTGTCACCCAGGCTGGAGTGCAGTGGCGCGATCTCGGCTCACTGCAAGCTCCGCCTTTCGGGTTCACGCCATTCTCCTGCCTCAACCTCCCCAGTAGCTGGGACTACAGGCGCCTGCCACCACGCCCGGCTAATTTTTTTGTATTTTTAGTAGAGACAGGGTTTCACCGTCTTAGTCAGGATGGTCTCGATCTCCTGACTTTGTGATCCGCCCGCCTTGGCCTCCCAAAGTGCTGGGATTACAGGCATGAGCCACCATGCCTGGCCTGCAAACTGTTTCTCATAAAAGCAGGATGTTGGCAAACTGACAAACTGCATCTGCCACCCAGAAGGAATGCTGAGGGCAGTCACGCCCTAAGCACAGTGTTTCTTGTGATTAGGCACATCTGAAGCTTGTTAGCAATAATATGAACCTCTGATCAATTGAGCAGCTGACCAATCGTTACTTCCTCCTCCCTGCTCTTTCTACCCAATAAATAGGAAGGGCTGTGGAAGCTTAAGGGGGCTGCCTTTGATCACTAGAATCAGGGAGCTCTCTTCTTCCCCTGGGTCCTTTAAAACAGTTTCTTTTGTCTTAAGTTTTCATTTCTATGTTCGTCCCTTCGTTCAGTCTCGTAAATGACGGTCTCAAGCAGTAACAGTAGTAACTGCTGTAACGACGGTCTCAAGTAGTAAACATGCCAGTCTGCCACACGTGAATGAATAAGTAAATCCTAGAAAATAAAACGGAGGAAGCAGTGTTTTTAATGCCTCCAGAAAATAGCCAAAGTGTAGAAGTTTATCAGTCCTTAGGGAAAGGAAGAACATTCAAAAGAAATTAACTCTAAATACATGAAAAGGAACGTGGATATATGAGTAAAAGGGAGTGTAGGCATGAAATAGACTTAGGCAATATCAACTATCTCAGATTTCAAAAGACCTGAGAAGTCACAATTAGAAATGCCACAAAGATCTGGACGCTCTCAAGAGCTACTACCATAGGAAAAAAAAGGAATGTCAAAATTAAGAGGAGAGCATATTTGGAACAGAATATAAAATACAAGAGAAAAAATTAAAATAAGCAGAAGTAATATTTTAAGAGAAGTTAGAGCATATTAAATTGCCCATTTTAAAATTCTTCAAAATATTTTATAATCCTTTAAAGAAATTATAAATTAGAAATCTCTTAAAATAGTTCTTCAAATTTCAAATTTAATTTGAAGATAAAATAAAAATAGGGTCTAAGCCCTATATAGGTTTTATTATAAGAGTAGATCTACCAAATCTAAATTATAGTACCAACTATATAAGCAAAAGCACCTTGGAAAATGAGTTTTCTAGAAAAGGACTGGCATATTTAGAAATTTTAAGGCATTTAAATTGATCCTTTAAATGTTTATTGAGTGCCTCTCAACATATCAAACATTATTCTAGGTGGTGAGGATAAAAAAGAGCCTTCCTTTAAGGTGTTCATAATCTAAGAAAGTAGAATAATATGGTTCTTTACTTGTGGTAATTTATATATGGTAGAGAGATTGAGTGAATCTTCTTTTTTTAACAAAAGTCCAAGAAAATTGAGGGTAAAAATAGTTTTACTTTTCGATAAGGTATCTGATTCATAAGGAAATTGTTTCATTAACTCCTTTCAGCTATCAGGAAAATTAAAGAGCAAATATGGATTACAAATGTTAATAACAGCTGACCAGCCAAAATGGCTCATTTACTCTGAAGCAAAACCTTTCTACACTTAATTTTAAAAAAGAATTATGTTATTCTTGGCCAATGAAGATTATAAAATGTAAAAGTAGAATTGATAAGCATAACCTTGAGAATAAATTGTGAAAATAAGAGTAGGAAAATGCCAGTGTGTTTCTACTTGTAAAGACAGATGACATTCCAGAACTCATTTCATAAATAAAAAAGCAATTTGACCAGCATATCATGCTATTTTACCTGTAATAAGAAAAGTAACTTAAAATCAGATTTTGGGAGCAGCCAGGCAAAATAAATATCAAAGTTATATACTTCTAATGTTAGTAACAAAAAAATAATTCACAAACCGGGGGTTGGGCTCTGTGGTGTGTATGTCACAGGGTTATAAAACCGGCATCCACATCACATTTTGAGTTCTTCTGTCTACCTGGACAGCCATACAGTAACTACACCTGTTTCTCTTCCAAAATACAGGATGATGCCCATTCTATTTCCTAGGAAGGGATAAGTTTTAAGGCCTTATAAAAAGGTAAAGTTACTAATTGACTCCCTTTCTATTTTACTTTTTTTTTTTTTTTTTTGGTAATCTATCTTAAAGACTTGGGGAAAAGTGAACATGAGCAAATAATAAATATAAAAAAAGAAAAACATCTATTTAAGATCACTTCTAATTTCTCCCACGCTAAAAGAAAAAAAATCTTACTACACCTTATACTTTCCGAGTTATTGCCCCATTTTAAAATTTCCCTTTGTAGCAAAACTCTTGATCAGATTTCCTACCCCACCAATACCCCTCATGAATATATGATGCAAAATTTAAAAATATCCATCAAATGCAGAAATATATTTTTAAAAGAATATGTCATAACCAAGTAGAATTTACATTAGAAAATAAATTAATACATTTTATTGCATTGACAGAATAAAGAAGAGGAAGGCTCTAACAAAATACAGGGACCATTCATGATAAAAATTCACAAATTAAGAATGGAAGAGAAGCTCCTCATTCAGATAAAGGGCATCTGCGAAAACCTGTAACTTACACTATATTTATTGGCAAAATACTGGATATTATCCTTTGTCCCTCAACTTCAGGAATCCAGTCAGTGTGATAAAGACCAAAAAAGCATAAAATGGATAAAGATTGGAATGGAAGTATTAAGTCTTTATTCACAGAAATTTAAAAGTATATAAATTTATCATATAGATGTTATCTATGAAATCTCAAACAACCAAAAAACACTAAATATAAGTAAATTTAGCAAGGTTGTAGAATATGAAGTCAATGTAGAAAAAAAGCTGTGCTTGTGTATACTAGAATGACTAATTGAAAGTAAAATTTAAAAATAATTTACAATAAAAAATTACAAATATTTTAACAGATATTAATGAAGACCTATATAAACAAACATACCATGTTTAGGAATTAGTAGAATTGATATTGAAACAATGTCAATTCTCCCCAAATTCTGTATAGATTCAATACCATTCTGACCAAAACCCCAGTAAGTTTACTTATACAAATTTACAAGATAAATCTAAAATATTTAAGAAACCCCAAAGAACTTTAGGTAGCCAAATATGATTTTTAAAATAAAAACAAGGTTAGAGCACTAATACAACCTGGTTTCAAAACTTGTTATAATATTACAGTAATCAAAATAGCATGGCATTGGCATAAGGATGGAAAAATAGATCAGTGAAACAGAATAGAGTTCCAGAAATAGATCACCACATTTAGAGTCAGTGGGGAAAACAGAATATTTTCAACAAATGGTGGTGGGACAAGTGACCAGAATGCAAATTACTTCAATTTATAATAGAAATTAATTCAAGACAGATAATAGACCTAATGGTAAAAGCTAAAACTGTAAATCTATAAGAAATCATGGAAGGATATGTTCACAATCTTAGGGGAGGTAATGATTCTTAGAGAGTACATAAATATCACTAATCATAAAATAAAAAAATAATAAATTAGACCTCATCAAAATTAAAAATGTCCATGCTTCTAAAAAAAGTGTTAAGAAAAGGAAAATTCAAGCCACAAACATACACACGCACATATAACACACATCCAGAAAACACAAAAAATCATACGAGTTAATAAAAGTCTAATTTTTAAAATTGGGAACATACTATAATAAAAAATACATAAAACACATATTTAAAAGTGTTCAGCATCTTTAATCATCAGGAAAATGCAAATTAAAGCTACAATGATAATATTGTTTCCCACCCACTAGTATAGATAGCTAAATTTTAAAAAGCTGAAAACACCAAATGTTGGTAAGGATATGGAGACACTGAAACTCCTGTAACATTGCTGGTGGAATTATAAAATGGTACCAATATTTTGGAAAACTGCTTGGCAATTTCTAATAAAGTTAAACATATGCGTACTGTATTAGGGTTCTCCAGAGGGACAGAACTAAAAGGATATATATATATATGAAAGGGAGTCTATTAGGGAGAATTGGCTTACTTGATCACAAGGTGAAGTCCCATGATAGGCCGTCTGCAAGCTGAGGAAGAAAGAAGCCAATAGTGACTCAGTCAAAGTCCAAAATCTTCAAAGGTAGGGAAGCTGACGATGCAGCCTTCAGTCTGTGGCCAAAGGCCGGAAAGCCCCCAGCAAACCACTAGTGTAAGTCTAAGAGTCCAAAGGCCAAAGAAGCTGGAGTCTGATGTCTGAAGGCAGGAGGGAGAGATGGATGGATGCATCCAGCAGGGGAGAAAGGTGAAAGTCAGAAGGCTCATCAAGCCAGCCTATCCCACCTTCTTCCGCCTACTGTGTTCTGGCTGTGCTGGCAGCAGATTGGATGGTGCCCACCCACATTGAGGGTAGGTCTTCCTTTCTCAGTCCACTGACTCAACTGTCAATCTCCTCTGGCAACACCTTCACAGACACACCCAGAAACAATACTTTATCAGCTATCTAAGCATCCTTCAATCCAATAAAGTTGACACCTTTATTAACCATCACACCTACCCTATAAGTGAGCATATTTGCTCCTGGGTATTTTTTCTCAAGAAATATGAAAACAAATGTTGACACAAAGACTTGTATAAAATGTTTTTATGCCAGGCATGGTGGCTCTTGCCTGTAATCCCAGCACTTTGGGAGGCCAAGGAGGAAGGATCACTTGAGTCCAGGAATTCAAGACCAGCCTGAGCAAGACAGTAAGACCTTGTCTCTACAAAAAAAAATAAAAATTGAGGTGGAAGGATCACTTGAGCCCAGGAGGTCAAGGCTGCAATGAGCCATGATCACACAACTGCACTCCTGCCTAGGTGACAGGAGTGAGACTCTGTAAAAAAACAAAACAAACAAAAAAAATTGTAGTGGCTTTATCTTTAGTAGCCAAAACAGCCCAAGTGTCCATTAGCAGGACAGGCATATATATATATATTGTGGTACCAAAATAGGAACAAAAAGAGAGACAAACTGTAGAGAAAACAATAGGACAGGTTTTTAAAAATAGTTCATATGAAAGAAGCCAGATACAAAACAGTACATACTATATTTTATTTACAGAAAGTTCATGTATAATCCAAACTAGTCTATAGGGATAAAAATCAGAACAGTGGTTGCCTGTGGAAGTGGTGTGTACAGAAAACCTTAGCTAGAGATGGAAATGTTCTATATTTGGATGGAGATGCTGTTTACCTGTGTGTGTTCATTTGTCAAGACTTATTTAATTTTACATTTAAGATTTACGCATTTTGATGTAGGTAAATTTGATCTTAATAAATTATTTAAAAATATAAAATATCCTTGCTTACTAGTCAAAAGTCATTGCTGAAATAACATTACCTGGTGTCAGTAAGAAATAGATGAGTTCTCAAACACAGAATATTGTTGAGGAATTTTGTGATATTTGAAAGCCTAAGGTCTCTTATTCGTTGGCTGGCCATAGCACAATCTTGAAAAAGAAATGTTGTGTCTGTACATATTTAATTATGGACACCACTATATGGCTACTAAAGAACAACCCACCTTTGCCCAAATTACATTACCAGGTTATCTGGGATCAAAGGTATAGATGTGGAATTCAAGGTCTTAAACTAGAATGAAGTATGGGGAAGAAAGTGGAAAAAGCATTAAATGTGTGGTCTGTGTGCTATGTGTTTTCTGATGACTAAGTCCGAATTTTCTAGGAAATACAAAGCATATTTCAATTTTCTGAGTATTATGTGTTTACAGATATCTATTTTTCTTAGCATTTCCAGTAAACAAATGGGAATATATAGTTAAATTTGTTCCATAGGTACAAATATTGAAGGAAAGGGAAATTAAATTTGTAACTACTTGATACCAGTGTGACTAGCTTAAAAAGAAACATTTTTATCAGTCAGTTGCCTGGATATCATGACTGTTTAAAATCAGACAACTAAAAAATTATTTTAATTAATTTACCATCTTTTAGAATATAAGTCACAATTTTTTATCCCAACGCTAAAAGATCAGGTAACAGAAGAGAAATTAAAACCAACCTCTCAATTTCTGGTCTGAATATTCCTTCCAGTAAATGATAGCTCCTTACAAATACAGAGGACAAAATAAAAGTGACTTAATTATAAAAACACAGGTGAGTATTGGTAATAGTTCCCTGAAAGAATGAAGAGTTTGAGTTTTTCCTTATTTATAGGCAATTACGAGAGTGTATTCAATTTATTGTTGGAATATGCCACACTCTACTACAAAGTAACATACAAAAGCTTTTCTTACTTGCAGACTTGAGAATTTTTATACATTTTTTAAAAATATAAATCATTCCAAGAAAATTCAGTCTACTCACTATTTTCAGCCTCATATAGTTTCTTCATACAGTAATTCCCCATCTTATTATGGTGACAGACACCTTTAAAAACTGGATGAACACCGCTATCGAGTTTCTCTTCAGAAAAAAAATAAACATATATGTTTGTACACATAAAATTTAGCAAGTAATTTCCAGAAGTTCATGAGCTCATGAGGAAGAGACTCTTCTCTAAAAGAATCACACTATCAATTCATGGTGATTCTTTTAATGACTAATTCAATTCTAACTACTAATCAACAAATTACATAGAGAAGTGTTTCGCTACAAATATAAGAAACTCCTTGTTAGATTTACATGTAGAATATTCATTTGATACAGGTGATATTTGACAAACTGTTAAGAAAATGGACAACAGGAAAATGTCATGATTTCATTTTAGTTTTAAATAAATTTTTATTTATTTATTTATTGAGATGGAATCTCGTTCTGTTGCCCAGGCTGGAGTGCAGAGGCGTAATCTCAGCTCACTGAAACCTCCTCCTCCCAGGTTCAAGCAATTCTGCCTCAGCCTCCCAAGTACCTGGGATTACAGGCAACCGCCACCACGCCCGCCTAATTTTTGTATTTTTAGTGGAGACATGTTGGCCAGGCTGGTCTCAAACTCCTGATCTCAGGTGATCCATCTGCCTTGGCCTCCAAAAGTACTGGGATTACAGGTGTGAGCCACTGTACCTGGCCTGGTTTTAAATAAATTTCAAATATTATAAATCACAACTTATATTTTAAAATAACGGTCCATGAATGTATAGATTATTTAGCAGCAATTCTTGGTGTACAGGTGAATTTGCAAACCCTCAGGAATATCTCTAAGAACCCCACTCCCACCACAGTCCAGTGAAGCCAAATGACTGGGAAAAGCAGAAATAGAAAAAAGGCTCCTAAGAGAAAGTATTTTAATTTAAATACAGAAGAATACCCTCAGAGAGAGAGACAGAAAGACTATGTTTTTAAAAAGAAAATTTACTATCATACAATCCCTATAATTATACTGCACTGTTCTTTTAAAATAGCTGTAGTTTGTTTCAATATGTTATTTGCATTTTGTTTCAGAAATATTTCTTAACAGCAAATTGTTTTCATTTTCATTTATAACCTGTAGTGACACAAAGTGAACCGGGTTCTATAAATTACCATGGAAAGTGGTGAGCCAACGATTTGGCAGAACAAAACCCTGAGGATATGCAAACAAAAGGGACTATGGAATTTGCAATTGCAGATTAAAATTGAAGAAGAAAACATTTGAGTTGCAAATACCGTATTAAAAGTGGACACTGCTTATGACTGCTGTATGCAACAGTTTTTCAGGCCCGAGGTGATAAATAAAAAATTGTTTGCTCTATTTAACCATTGAATGCTTGGACTACTTTTGTATCCTTAAGATGTGAAGTGTTCTTCACTAGAAGTAAACATTAAGGTCATTTACCATTGATTGCTTAAGGCTAGTAAATACGTTTAAGGAGTTTTAAAGCTTTACTTTGGGAGAAGTCAGGACCAGACAGCTTAATAAAGCCACTCTGTGTGGGACCATGACTAAGTTTTGTTGTGTTTACAGACATTTTGTCACAGAATCAAAGTTAACTTTTTTTTTTAATTCTCTTTGCCACAGAGGAACCCAGACATGCTCTATTTGCAAACCGACTGCATGAAACAAAAAGCACGGTAATTCTGAAGCTGTTGGCTTGGATGAAATGAGAATGTAATTAAAAAGAAAAAGGTTAGCAAAAGAACATGCTGGGAATTGAAAATAAAAATCTGAAATGATGTCCCAGCCTGCCCTTAAGGTCTTTTCCACCATGTAGAGAGCTACCTCAAATGCTCTACTTGTCCCAGAGTCTATGTTCTTTCACTACTATTGCCTATATCTGTGTTTTCTGCTTTCAATAATCTATTGAAATAATCAAAATTAATTACATTCAGCATTTTTTCTGTATTACTCTGATTCTAATAATTACCTCAAATTTATTTGTGCATTTCTATACTAGAAAGAAAAAATAATTTTTAGAGTTTTACTATATCTTCCCCTTAATTCTAAGTTGCTTGTCACTAATTCCTTTCCCAACACTATGTTATTTCCACCAAGAACATTACCAATATCTTCAGGAAAATTCCACCCCATATTTTAAGCCAGATTGATTATTGGGAATATAAATACATTTAAGAAGGAAAGTCTTTTTGACTGTGTTTCTCCACAGACCAATAGTATACAAAACACAGAAGGCTTTTAAGCACATTTCATAGGGATCACTGACTTAGAACAGAAGGAACCATTTCGTGAAACACTCTCATTTTGCACATAAAGGAGCTGTGGCCCACAGAGGAATATGATTTACTGAGAGTGACCCAGTTAGTGGCCATAAACCAAAAGCCCCAAGATGCTAAATGTTTGTTATGAAGAGTAAAAATCCTCCCAGTTTATAAGAAGTAACTTCATCCTTCCATTTTCTATTTCCACGATGACTCCCCTGGCTTAAATTTTAATCTCTATTTTGGATGACTCCAAAATCTCATTCTTCTAAATTAATTATCTAATACCACAATGTTGCACTTATCTTCCTACAAATCTACTTTCATCTGCCTTGACAAAGCCAACCCTAATTTTCTCTAGTCCTCATTAGAAATTATTGCAACAAAAATTCACATCCAGTCTGAAGTTTGGGAGCCAGAAAAGAATTTTCCCATTAAGATGAGACAGTATCAATTATTAAGCAGAGGAAGACACAAGAGGGAAAGCAGCTTTCACATGAAAAAAAAAGAACTCTGATTTTCTGACACATTTTGTCATTGCAGTCAAACTTTCAGAGTTAGAACTAGAGACCTAGATATTAGCTAACCCAGCATTTTCCAAGTATTCCTCGGAACTCTAGAGGCACAGCATAGTACTGGTAATGATTTTGTGGCAGGATAGATTAAGGAAACCTCACAGTTATACCAAGTTAAATTCATTTATTTCATGTAAAATTCTGATAGCCTTTTATGCTACTAGGCCTAGTGATACTCCAAAATTATTGGCCATATATCTGAAATTTATTTCAGCAAGAAACCCTTTAAAGAGCATCCCGCAGAGTTAGTGTTTTGAGGGATATCATTGGGGAAAATGCTGATCTAGACCAATTCAACAAATTGTAACTTAGTTAACACCAGAGTCAAAACAAAAACCAAGTCTACTCATGTCTGTCTTAGGCCCTTTTGGTCACAAAAACACGTTCAAACCACTTCAATTAAGAAAATGGTGAGAGGGGAAAAGACAAGCAGGGAACCTTATCCCAGGTGGGCTGATCACAGGACTTCCAAGGCTGTCCCTTAGAAGAGTCACGATAATGGCATCTCTAGCACAAAACTCAAATTTAGTTTTAATTCTTAGTCGAATAATAATACAGTAAAATTTATTGCATGCATAAGGATAATACATTAAAACTACTTAAATTACATTTTAGGGCCGGGCGCGGTGGCTCACGCCTGTAATCCCAGCACTTTGGGAGGCCGAGGCGGGTGGATCACGAGGTCAGGAGATCGAGACCATCCCGGCTAAAAAACGGTGAAACCCCGTCTCTACTAAAAATACAAAAAATTAGCCGGGCGTAGTGGCGGGCGCCTGTAGTCCCAGCTACTTGGGAGGCTGAGGCAGGAGAATGGCGTGAACCCGGGAGGCGGAGCTTGCAGTGAGCCGAGATCCCGCCACTGCACTCCAGCCTGGGCGACAGAGCGAGACTCCGTCTCAAAAAAAAAAAAAAAAAAAAATTACATTTTAAATAAAATCACACAGAAACTCTCATGACATATATTAAGGGAACTTTCTAAAAATATGTTTTAAATTTCATGGCTAAATTCCCGCTGGCAAAAAAAAACAGGAACATTTTGAGAAACAATAAAAATAATAGCTGCAACTGATTTAAACTTCAAATATGTTTAAATCAGTGAGGCCACAATGATGCACAAGGAAAAAAATGTATAGAGCACTTTAAGAGAATGTCAGGTGATATGATTTGCCTCTGTGTCCCCACCCAAATTTCACCTTGAATTGTAATAATCCCCACTTGTCAAGGATGGGACCGAGTGGAGATAATTGAATCATGGGGGTGGTTCCCCTCATGCTGTTTTTGTGATAGTGAGTTCTCATGAGATTTGATGGTTTTATAAGGGACTTTTCCCCCCTTCATGCTCCTCTCATTCTCTCTCCTGCCGCCCTGTGAAGAAGTCCCTTCCACCATGATTGTAAGTTTCCTGAGACCTCCCCAGCCATGCAGAACTATGAGTCAATTAAACGTATTTTCATTATAAATTACCCAGTCTTGGGTATTTCTTCACAGCAGCGTGAGAACGGACTAATACACTACGTTAAAAAATCACATTATGTTTTTCCTGTATGAGCTGTACCTGAGGTAACATAATTAATGAGGGAAAGCTTCTCCTTATCAGAGTTTTTCTAACTCATAGAGGAAGCAGGAATTATAGAATTATAATGTCACCATAATGAAATAATAGATCTAATCAATGATCCCCAGGGCCCTTATGTCACAAAAAGAGAGACACACACAATTTTCACATGCCTTTGATGGAACCACCTGTAAAGTACTCCTGCCCTAAAACTGAACCTAAATTTGATCAACCCTCTAATTCCAAATACCCTTTACAGTAAATATAGTAGTCGTAGGGACAAGTTAAATGACACCAGTGTAGTGCAATCAGCAAGATTCACAATATGAGAAACTCTGCCCTGGTTTCCTTCAACAAATAAATTGCATGGAGGAAGAAAAGAGAGACAGGGAACATACAGATTTAAGAAACATAGCAAGGAATTTAAAATGCGTCTTTTATTTGGATCCTAACAAAATTATTTTTAGGTATGGTAGTGTTACTATTTTTTTAAGTAGTTAACTTTTAGAGACATAAACAGGCACTATTCATAGGTATTTAATTTAAAATAATCCAGGGTTGAATGAGAGCTTTTAAAGATGAAACAAGGTTGACCCTAAAATAAAAATTATTGGAGCTCGGTCATGGCTATATAGAAGATTTGTTATGCTATTCTATTTTTGTGTATGTTTGAAATTGTCTTAATAAAAAATTATTGGAAGTATGTTGCTAAATCATAGTATCTTTTTATACCACATCAAATTAAGTTTAAGCCAAAAGAAGACAACAAATATTTGATTATAAAATGATCAATATTTACCTCTTATTTATATATTTGATTATAAAATCAGTCATTTAATCTTCAGATATTCTTTTTATATCTAGAGAATTTCAATCCATCAATTTTCCACTGAAAAATATCATAGAGTAATAACTACCACTTACTGAGTATCACTGATTCAGAAATCAATGCAAAGACAATTAAAACATAAAACTGACTTATTCTAGTTTATCTAACAGTTTTGTTTTATGTTTGATATGTCATGTTGAATCTGTATAATAAATTTTAAATCACACATCACAGAATTTAGAAGAATGAATGCTACTCTTTAACTCTTTCCCAAGTTAACTGCTTTTCATGACACTCCCCCTTCGCTAAATTAATATAGATGTGTGTATAAAATCTGTAGCTCAATCTTGGACTTACCCTATATTTAATCACTAGCCATTTCATGAATCTATTCATTCCCTAATTGATTATATTATAAAAAAATCCAATAAATTACTCATAAGTTATTTGGGAAATCTCCTGGATATGAACAAATCTTTATTAAATAAATAGAAAAATTACTGTATGTTTTTAAAATATAGATTTTTCTTCCAATATGAACATTCTTTGAATATTTTTATTAAATTTTACATGTCAGTCTTGGTGAGACGATAAGTGAAACCCAAACTCTGCCACTAACATTGTGATCTTAGGCAAATTTTTAGTAACATGAAAGAAGCTTAGACACTTAGGAGCGTCTAATATTATATAAATCATAAAGTAGGTAAACAACATTCTCTACAAGGAAGATTTTAAATCTGGGGTGAATGAGCTCCTTCTGTAAAGGGCCAGAGTAAATATTTTAGGATTTCCAGACCATAAGATCCCTGTCATGACTATTAAACTTTGTATTGTAGCACAAGAGCAACCACAGACAATACGCAAACAAATCAGAGTGGCTGTGTTCCAATAAAATATTACTTATGACGCTGCAATTTGAGTTTCATATAATTTTCATGTATCATTACATATTACTGTCCTTTTAATGTTTTCCAACCATTTAAAAATGTAAAAGCCATTCTTAAATATAAAGCCATATAGAGATAGACAGTGAGCTGTATTTGACCAGTGCTATAACTTGTCATCTCCTGCTGAACTAAAATCAGTGTTCTTGTTAATCTTATTTTGCTTCTTACAGAATTACAAAAGCAAGCAACATTATTTACATGTTTAATGCTTAGGAGAAGCATGATTGCAACACAGAAACAAATGACTTTAGTGTGAAGGATCTTCAGTATAATTCTGTTTGAATTTTATTCTAATTTCAAATCTTCAGACTAAAGGAAACCTGGCCCTTTGAAAGTCTCTAAGGAATTCAAGTTATAAAGCAGCTGAAAGAAGTACTCTTAAGTAACCTTGTACAATTACCACTTATACCAATGCAGGTGACAATGGCCAGGGAAGAGTAAGTTTAATTTAGGGTTCTAGATGTAAAGGCGGACTTCATTAGAAAGATACTATGAAGGAGAAAGTTATTAGTCTACTGTATGAAATAGCAGTGGGGAAAGGTTATATATATGTTTGCCTTGAGTTTTAGGGTAGAAGATGAAGAAAAAGAAATCAATAGCCTTTCTTATAATAGCTGCAATAGTACAGAGAACATTAAAGTGCAACAAAATGCTGTTCTCACTAATAAAAAGTAGATAAAAGGGAGGAAAATGAGACAATATTGGAGGTAATAGGTGCTCAAAATGCAATGTAATGCCTTCCCTATGAAAACTTGCATGCAAACAGAAGAAAAAGTAAAACCATCTCTTCCAAATGCCTGAATCCTTACGTACCTGAATCAAGAATGGAGCTGCGTATGAATATTAGATGTATTCAGACTCTAACAAAAGAGTCAGGGTGACACAACCAATACTTTGTTAATCAATGTCTAAATAATAAAATAGCTACCATCTATCGGTTGCCTATCAGATGCTGGCAATGTCTCAGGTGATACAAACAGTGTAAAAAGTTCTCATCTATATAATAAGGATTGAAAAAATAAGTAACCTTCTTAGGGTCACACACTTATAAACAGGTAAGGCAGACATATGAACCCAGCTTTGGCTCCAAAATTCAAGCTCTTTCCCATTGTTTAGCAAAGAGAATAAGACTGGTTTCAGTATCCCACATCTGCCATTCCATGTTCCTTAGTGTGCAAAATGACAATGCATTTTAAACAAGCCATCAACTTCACAGCAACACACAGCCTAAAGAAGTTCAAGGATCAACGTCTGGAGCCCTAGTTGCCTTCAGATGGCATTTTCAAGTCCCAGTGTTCGTAACAGATATTAAACAGAGAGAGATCAGACAAATGGCAGCTTAAAATCAGTTAAAAGTTGGGCTGCTATCTATGATGTATTTCACCACTTTGATTCTCAAATCATTTCCCTAAAACTAAAACTAAGAGTAGAAGGGCAGATAGTTTAAATCTACATTTGAAATCTATGGTTTTTATTTGTAATTAGTGGCTTGATTGCAAATATTAAATTTGTTCTAAGAAAAAGAGTTCAAACTCTAATTCACAAAGGAAAAGCTTGAACTGGAACCTTGACTTCCAGAGAGAAGAAAAAGAAAACTCTTTCAGCAGGAGAGCGACAAACAATTCCCCAAACACCTCTCAAACTCTTCATTTAATTAACACGAATGATTTCTTTCCTGTAAAAAGACAGAAACGGTGCCATTTCTCCTGTCTGTGTTTCCCTTCACAACTGGATACCCTGGGGCTTTGACTCAGGACTTTGAAAGTAGGCCAGTGTTAATAACCTCCAAGGCCTGCCGGGTTGATTAGCAGGAGAAATGCGGTTACAAGAACATTGCTAAAGGGCCAAGCCATGTGAGAGGAACTGTCAATGTTCAGAAAATGCAGAATGGGAAAGTCTGAACATTTCTCATGTTAGGTCCTCTAGCATCAAAAGCAAGTATTCTTGTTAGAAAATGACTTCATATTAATGAATTGTGGGAAGTGACTAAGTGTGCTTTACATAATGGAAAGACAAATGAAACATTTGTTCATCTACCTTCTCTATTTCCTTTTCAGTATTTCTCCCTTTCTTTGGCCTTTGATAAATTCTATAGCTACATCTTATTTGTTCTCTTACAAGACTACTATAATTTCCATTTCAAATAATTTCCCATTATTGGGTTCCACAGATTTTAACTTTTACTTTCTCTTTGTCAGAACACTTGTTTGTGCATTTTTTCCTAGATCTTTTGCCTCAGTATTCCTTGCCTGCAATATGGAAATTGCAGACTGAATACACATAGGAAAAATATGTCCTCTAGGAGAATAATTACCAGACAAACCCTATCTACCACCATCTCCCCAACAAGGTAATTTCTGTTCCCAAGTTCTTCATGGCCAGAACATGCAGGATGAGATACACTAGGATTAGAACACATGACAACAAAAGCATTTAGGCAGCCTGATTTACCTGAGGATATTTTGACAGCTAGTAAAGTAAGCGTCTGGGACTGCTGGGATTCCTGCATGCAGCTTGACCAGGTAGTTGGGCCACTTCAAAGTGTACTGAGCACAAAATTTGCTTGCTCTATCAGTTCTCTCTGGCAAGATTTACTACCCTACTCAAAAGTTATTTCTATAAATACATTGGCTATGTAACTGTGTTCATCCATTCTTGTGTCACTACAAGGAAATACCTAAGGCTGGGTAGTATATAAGATAAGAGGCTTAAGGGGCTCATGGTTCTGTAGGCTGTATAAGAAACTGCACCAACATTTGTTCAGCTTCAGGTGACAGCCTTAGGAAATTACAGTCATGGCACAAGGCCAAGATTGGAAGTCAGCATGTCACATGGCAACAGCAGAAGCAAGAGAGAGAAGAGGGAGATCTCAGACTGTTTTAAACAACAAGATCTCACATGAACTGAGTGAAAACTCAGGGAGATGGTGCTAAACTATTCATGAGGAATCTGCCTCAATGATCCAGTCACCTCCCACCAGGTCCCACCTCCAAAAATGAGAATCACATGTCAACACTTGGAGAGGACAAACATCCAAACCATATTAGTAACATTACACAAATCATTCTTATTTGCATAATGTTAAATTATTTTGTCATTCTGAGAAAATATATAAATCAAAGAATGCCAGAAAAGAATTGTCAGTGAAATGGTGTTTGTTGGATTATGTGGGCATGGTCTAAACTTGCAGATGAATGGACAGGCTGTTTATTCATCTACTTTCTTTTTATCTAGTTCTATATTTAGTATCTCTTAGAACTCAAATGAAATTCTGGGAAACATGGAGATGTCTGGAGTAGGCATGTGACTTTAGCAGAAAAGAAACACTTAATTTTTGGCAAAATATCAAGTATCCAAAACTGAATAACATAGACATAATATATAATAAGGATTTGAGAAAGACATTTCCTTAAAATATTTTCTGAGAAACTTTCATTCTGGTTCATCCTCCTTCTATTCCTCTGGTGTGACTGCTTCTAAGCATACAGACAAGGAAATCAACTTCATCATCACCTTCTTACACCGCATATAAGATTTTTTGATAGCAGGAACATGAGTGTGGATTAAAATCTGTGCTGCCATTGGATTCTAATGCACTTCAAATTGTTGTGGTACAGTTTTATGTAGCTGAAACAATTTTGATCAATTTGTGTGGTAGGCTTAGATGTTAGTCATGTAACATCCTCAGTTATTAAAAAGGAGTTAATATAGTTCTTCAGAGATAAATTACATTCAGTATCACAGTGCATTGCACTTCTGAAATGCATATAGAAACTAGATGGTGAAATGGACCACATACTATAAAGAGAATGTCATAACTTTAGCACCTTTGATTGTGTGAACTACAGCACTGTTGAAACTCCCCAAGTCCCTGATTTTTATACAATTTCTAACATAGACCGTGGTTTTAATCCTAAGCATGTCCATGATTTTCAAATATGTTTTATTTCTTAAAATCAGTTGAAAGTCAGTATTTATTACAGCCTACGTACTTTTATTTCTTAAAATCAGTTGAAAGTCAGTATTTATTACAGCCTATGTACTTTTATTACTTTTAGAATTCTCATTAAATTACTAGAGTTATGCAAATTGCACGTTAATTCATTCTATAAAATAATAAAGATATCATCTGTTTTAAAAAGTCCTTTCCATACTGAAAACAATTGTATACTTCTGTGTTATTTTTGTTACCTCTGTCAAGATTTTACTATGAATTTTTAAAAAGTAATTTAAATTACAAATATAGTTCATGTATTCAGACACAAAGTGATCAAAAAAATCCAATGTGCCATTGCAATAGTTTGATTTGCAATATAGGTTAATACATAATCAAAACCTACTACTGGCTAGAAGACTATTTTCAAAGGAGTTGCACAAATTGTAAGCCTTTTTCATTTTCAGAGATTTGATAAGAAGAAATTGAATTTTCCAAGAATCATCATTTCATTTTATTTAAATATATCTCCTACCTACAAAACAGCAGCTTTACCCATTGTTGCACTTCAGGTTTGGCTGCAAAAGTAACAAGATTTTTAATTAGGAAATATCATGTTCCCATATTCTAAAGGATTAATTTTCTCTCCATGGTAAAAGTATATGGGACTCAATCTCATATACTTTTATACAATATTTCTCTTCCCATCTCATTCAGAATCAAAAACAAAATTCTCCCCATGGCTCATAAGGCCTTAAACAATCTGCCCTCACTCCAACCCAATATCAAGCCTATCTTCAACCACTCTCCCCTTGGTTTGCTTTTCTTCTGCCAGTCATGTCTCCTTGCTATTCTTTCTATGCCAAAACATATCCCTGGCTCAAGGCCTTTGCAGTTACTGTACCCCATGTCCGAAATGTTCTTTGCCCAGAGAGCCACGTGGCTCACTTCATCAGTTCATTCGACACCCTGTTCGATGTTATCTCAGAGAAGTAAGTCATTCTACCCAAAATCTCCCATCTCTTACCTCATCCCTCTCTATTCTCTTCTGTCCATAGCAGGTGCTCAAATATTTGAAATGTCTGAATGAATGCTGTAAGAAAACAGTGGTGGCAAAGATTAAACCATTTTTCCCAAGCCTGAGGGACATCTTCATGATAACCCTTGACATGAGTCTGGAAGGATGAGTAGGAACTCACTAGGCAAGAAACAGAATGCAGTTGTGCATAATAGCTGGTGGCTCAGGAAACTGAAATACAGAGTAAAAGGGGGTGAGCAGCTGGAGATGGAGCCTTGTCTGCCTTGCAATGGAACTTGGTCACTGCGAAGCAATTACGACTTTTAACTCTGGAGAAAGAGCTGATTTTCAACAAGATTAGGACTTTTTTGAAATACTTCACAGACAAAAAGAAATAGCATGAAGGACAGAAGTGAGGCAAGTAAGAATAGAGTCCAGGAGACAATTTAGTGGCCTAGCCTAATAGTCATGAGGGGAGTTTGAATTTAGGCTGTATAATACAGAGCGGTAAAAAAAAAAAAAAGGATGCCTTTTGATGATTATTCCATGTAAATAAAACTTGTAGTCATGTAGAATATTTTTCTTTCTTTATCTTACTATAATTTGCTGAGCAGATGCAATATGAAAAAAAGGAGAGAAATAAATACAGAAAAGTATCTAGTTCATTGGACAACTTACCACATTCTCTAAGAGATACCAGATGAATGGTGATGATCTCACCAGGTGCTGCTGCTCTTTGAAACTGCAACCACTAAAATACATACTAAAAAATGTTTCTAGAGCTTTTGAATTCCCATGAGACAAATGCATTTGAAAAGGCTTGCAGGTAATACATGGAAAATAATTGTAAGCAGTATGTAGGGAATCTGATGAGTAGAAAGGACTGCTCAAAGGAAGATTAATACACAGTATTAAACTTAAATCAATAAAATTCTCTCTGGACTCAAGTACTATCTGGTCTTCACTTGGGTGATAAAACTGAATAATGAAACAAACCATTCCATCATTTTTCCATATAGCAGCCAGAACTATGGCCTGAAGATGAAATTTTGAAAAGATTAGAAACTTTTTCATGCTCAAAATAGCTTCATATCTAATAAGATTGTACCCAAATACATTATTTGGTGTAGAGAAAACTGTAAGGATTCTTTGCTTTTCTGCCTTATTTTCTACTAGGTAGAAGCCACTCTGCTTATGGATTTAAAGAATATGATGACTACATTTGCAGGTATATTAATACATTACCTCTCTCAAATCCAAACCCATCTTCTTTTCCTACACAGACTACATTTCTTTTTTGCTAATTGGCTCATTGTTAGGCACAGCCAATCAAGAGTTCTGGAGGGATTCTGCCAGGTTAGAAGAGAAAGAAGGGATTTGCAGAAGTTCCAGGAGCTAGTGACTATCCTGGCAGTTCAGCAGCAGATGCCCTCCAACAAAGGCCACCACAGTAGTGGTGGCTCTCAAGTTATTAAGCCAAGCAGTCTCCATCAAATTCCTTGATCACTGTAGTAGTGAGCAGCATCTTCCGGTGGCAGCCACACCTTCTACGTAGAGATCTGAATCACAGCCCTATTGATTCTTTCTCTAAATTCCTTTCTTGTGTACTTTCCCCCTATCTCTGGAAGTAGTAGCCCATAGTTACTCTCTACAGATGCTTCCTCTGTACATTTTAGTGTTCTCTTTTACCCTTTTTAATAGTTAACCACTTTTATCTCATTAAAAATACTTTATATAAAATTTTCCCTGCTTAAATTACTGACACGGTTTCTGTCTTTTGACTGGACTCTGATATAGTTTATGTTTGGAAATATGTCACATGAATATTTATTCATCTCGCTCAATATTATGAGAGTTATAAAATTAAAACACAAATTCAGTTAAAAACTAAATGAGAAATTTGAATATGCATATTCATTAATCTGGTAATCCTCTAATAGGTAATTATCCTATGAGAATTATTGGATAAGTGCCCAAAAATTAATGCATAAGAATATTTTTATTGAAGTTTAAAAGAACAGAAACAGATTGAAACTATTTCAAATATAAAAGGAGACATATTGAAGGATACCTAAAGGTCATAAAAGCAATGTGTTGTAAATAAGTACAGCTGGGAAGAATTCATGCAAACTTAAACTACTAACTAGAAAGTGGTCAAAACCAAGGCAGCGGCTTTCTCCATCCACCTCACAAGAACCAAATCATCTATCCTCACAACCTGCTCTCCCAGTCCCCCTTATTCTGCTCTTTCTTTTCTTTCCATAGCATTCCAATAGCTATCTCACTCATTTAAAATGTCAGTTGTTTATTGCCTCCCTTCTCTAGAAAGCTTACTATATGAAAGCAAAAATCTTGGTTTTATTCATTTATGTATCCCAAGCAGCTAGAACAATAAGTGGCACATAGTAGGTGCTCGTATGTCTGCTCCATTTTTTCTCTTTCTATAGATTTCCAATTTCTTTTTAATCCCTAGCTTACACATGGTCATATATGTCTTGATTGTGGTGGATAAGCTTTTTCATGTGCTGCTGGATTCAGTTTGCCAGTATCTTATTAAGGATTTTTGCAACTCAACTATAAGTGGTTAGCACAGTTTTTTTTAGTTCCATAGTTCCAAATTGTTGAGCAAGAAACCTGCTAGTACTCATCTCATCTTTTTGAGCCAAGCCAAAAGTTATGAAAGCCTAGATTAATCCTCCATTTGTGGAGGGAATGCTGAATGCCATGTCCTCTATTCCACTGCCCATTTGAAATTCATAAGGAGATATGGATGGGTCAGGAAATGTTCTGCATTTCTAATACAAAAGGAATTCCTTATTGTAGCATTATTTTCAGTAACTATTTAGTAGCATTATTTTAAGTGTAATAATAGAAACTAAGTACCTCTTCATTCATATCCACATATTAAAAGTTACAATACAGACTATGTTTTATTCACATGGAAATATATTTATTATATATATATATATTTAGATTTTTTAAAGACATAAAATAAAAAAGAGTAAGATTTTAAGGAGGAAATGCTCAGACATTGACAAAACAAGCATCAAAAACATCTAGGAAAACATGACCACACCGAGTGGACTAAATAAGGTGCCAATGACCAGTCCCAGAGGGGTGAAGATATGTGACCTCTCAGAGAAAGAATTCGAAATAGCTGTCTTAAGAAATCTCAGTGAACTTCAAGATAACACAGAGAAAATTCAGAATTCTATTAGATAAATTTAACAAAGAGATTGAAATAATTTTTAAAAACCATGCAGAAATTCTGGTGCTGACAAATTCAATCGACAAACTGAAAATACATCAGAGTCTCTCAATATCACAATTGATCAAGCAAAAGAAGTAGTGAGCTGAAAGACAGGCTATAAGAAAATACACAATCAGAGGGAAAAAAAGAGAATGAAATAGAATGAAGCATGCATAGAGGATCTATAAAATAGCCTCAAAAGGGAAAATCCAAGAGTTATTGGCCTTACAGAGGATGTTGAGAGAGATCAGAGAAGAAAGGTTATTCAAAAAAAAAACAGCGGAGAACTTTTCAAACCTAGAAAAAGATGTGAATATTGAGGGACAAGAAGGTCAAAGAACACCAAGCATATTCAATCCAAATAAGACTATCTCAAGGCATATACTAATCAAACCCTCAAAAGAAAAGAAAGGATTGTAAGAGCAGCAAAAGAAAGCAAATAACATATAAAGGAGCTCTGATATGTCTGGAAGAAGACTGTTCAATGGAAATCTTTGAACAGAGGCAGTGGGATGACATTTTAAACGTGCTGAAGGAAAAAAGTTTCAACCTAGAATATTGTATCCAGAAAAATTACCCTTCAAATCTGAAGGAGAAATAAAAATTTTCTCAAAAACAAAAGCTAAGGGATTTGGGCAACATCAGACCTATCTTACAAGAAATGCTAAAGGAAGTTCTTCAATCTGAAAGAAAAAGACATTAACAAGCAAGCAGAAAGTATCTGAAGGTATACAACTCACTGGTAAAAGTAAGTACATTTAAAAAATCTCAGAATAATACTATAATTTCAGTGTATCATACACTCATCTTTTTTTTCAACTTTAAGTTCAGAGGTATATGTGCAGGATGTGCAGGTTTGTTACATAGGTAAACGTGTACCATGGTGGTTCACTACACAGATCATCCCATCACCCAGGTATTAAGCCCAGCATCCATTAGCTATTCTTCCTGATGCTCTCCCTCCCCTACGCCACCCAACAGGTGCCCAGTGTGTGTTGTTCCCCTCCACATGTCCATGTATTCTCATCATTCAGCTCCCACATATAAGTGAGAGTATGCAGTTTTTGGTTTTCTGTTCCAGTATTAGTTTGCTGAGAAAAATGGCTTCCAACTACATCCATGTCACTGCAAAGGACATGCTCTTATTCCTTTTTATGACTGCATAGTATTCCATGGTGTATATGTACCACATTTTCTTTATCCACTCTATCATTGATGGGCATTTAGGTTGATTACATCACTTTGGTATTATAAATAGTGCAGCAATGAACATACACATGCATGTGTCTTTATAACAGAATGATTTATATTCTTTTGGGTATATACCCAGTAATGGGATTTCTGGATCAAATGGTAATTCTGCCTCTTTGTCTTTGAAGAATCACTACACTGTTCAACAATGGCTGAACTAATTTATACTCCCACCAACAGTGTAAAAGTGTTCCTTTTTCTCCAAAACCTAGCCAGCATCTGTTGTTTTTTTACTTTTTAGTTATAGCCATTCTGATTGGCAGGAGACGGTATTTCATTGTGGTTTTGATTTGCATTTCTCTAATAATCAGTGATATTGAGTTTTTTATCATATGTTTGCTGGCCACATGAATGTCTTCTTTTAAGAAGTGTCTGTTTAATGGAGTTGTTTTTTTCATGTAAATTTAAGTTCCTTGTAGATTCTAGATATTAGACCTTTGTCAGATGAATAGATTGCAAAACGTTTCTCCCATTCTGTAGGTTGTCTGTTCACTCTGATGATAGTTTATTTTGCTGTGCAGAAGCTCTTTCATTTAATTAGATCCCATTTGTCAATTTTTGCCTTTGTTGCAATTGTTTTTGGCATTTTTGTCATGAAATTTTTGCTTATGCCTATATCCTGAATAGTATTGCCTAGAATTTATTTTAGGATTTTTATAGTTGTGGGTTTTCCATTTAAGTCTTTAATCCATCTTGAGTTAATTTCCAGTTTCAATTTTCTGCATATGGCTACCCAGTACTCCCAGCACCATTTATTAAATAGGGAATCCTTTTCCCATTGCTTGTTTTGGTCATGTTTGTCAAAGATCAGATGGCTGTAGGTGTGTAGTCTTATTTCTGAGTTCTCTTTTCAGTTCCATTGGTCTATGTGTCTGTTTTTGTAGCAGTACCATGCTGTTTTGGTTTCTGTAGCCTTTAGTATACTTGGAAGTTAAGTAGCGTGATGCCTCCAGCTTTGTTCTTTTTGCTTAGGATCGTCTTGGCTATTTGGGCTCTTTTTTGGTTCCATATGAATTTTAAAATAGTTTTTTCTAATTCCATGAAGAATGTCAGTGGTAGTTTAATGAGAATAGCACTGAATCTATAAATTACTTTGGGCAGTATAGCTATTTTCACGATATTGATTCTTCCTATTCATGAGCATAGAATATTTTTCCATTTGTTTGTATACTCTCTGATTTCTCTGAGCAGTGGTTTGTAGTTCTCCTTGAAGAGGTTCTTCACTTTCTTTGTTAGCTGTATTCCTAGGTATTTTATTCTTTTTGTAGCAATTGTGAATGGGAGTTCATTCATGATTTGGCTCTCTGTTTGCCTGTTGTTGGTATATAGAAATGCTAGCGATTTTTGAACATTGATTTTATATCCTAAGACTTCGCTGAAATTGTTTATCAGCTTCAGAAGCCTTTGGGTTGAGACCATGGGGTTTTCTAGATATAGGATCATGTCATCTGCAAACAAACATAATTTGACTTCCTCTCTTCCTATGTGAACAGCCTTTATGTTTTCCTCTTGCCTGATTGCCCTAGCCAGAATTTCCAATATCATGTTGAATAGGAGTGGTGAGAGAAGCATCCTCGTCTGGTGCCGGTTTTCAAGAGGAATGCTTCCAGCTTTTGCCCATTCAGTGTGATATTGGTTGTTGGTTTGTCCTATATGGCTCTTATTATTTTGAGGTATATTCCTTCAATACCTAGGTTATTGAGAGTTTTAAACATGAAGGGATGTTGAATTTCATTGAAGGCCTTTTCTGCATCTATTGAAATGATCATGTGGTTTATTTCTTTAGTTCCATTTATGTGATGAATCACATTTATTGATTTGCATATGTTGAACCAACCTTGCATCCCAGGGATGAAGCCAACTTGATTGTGGTGGGTAAGCTTTTTGATGTGCTTCTGGTTTGCCAGTGTTTTATAAAGGATTTTTGCATTGATGTTAATCAATGATATTGGTGTGACGTTTTCTTTTTTGTTGTATCTCTGCCAGGTTTTGGTATCAGGATGATGTTGACCTCATAAAATGAGTTAAGGAAGAGTCCTTCCTCTTCCATCTTTTGGAATAATTTCAGTAGAAATGGTACTAGCTCCTCTTTATACCTCTAGTAAAATTCAGTGGTGAATTCATCTGGTCCTGGGCTTTTTTTGGTTGGTAGGATATTTATTATTGTCACAACTTCAGAACACATAAGTGGTCTACTCAGGTATTACATTTCTTCCTGGTTCAGTTTTGGGAGGGTGTATTTGTCCAGGAAATTGTCCATTTCTTTTAGATTTTCTAGTTTATGTGTATAGAGGTGTTTATAGTATTCTCTGATGGTTGTTTATTTCTGTGTGGTCAGTGATGTTATTCTCATTATCATTTCTGATTGTTACACTCATATCATTAGTAGGAAGACTAAAGGACAGATCTATCAAAAATAACAACAAAAATTTATTAAGAGGTAGATAACTTAAAAAGATATAAACAGATACAATAAAAAGTCAGAAAGTGGGGCACATAGAGTTAATGTGTAGCATTTTTTAGTTTTCTCTTTGCTTGTTTTTCTTTTCTTGGTAATCAGAGTTAAGTTGTCATCAGTTTAAAAATATTTAGTTATAAGACATTATTTACAAACCTTATGATAGTCACAAAACAAAAACCTGTAACAGATGCACCATCAATAAAAAGCAAGAAATTAAAACATGCTACCAGAGAAAATTGTTTACAAAATAAAACAGGAAGAAAGAAAGGACAGAAGAGAGGACCAACAAAACAACCAGAAAACAAACAACAAAGTGGCAGTAGTATCTTCTTGTCTATCAATAACAACACTGAATGTAAGTGGACTAAATGTTTCCATCAAAAGACATAGAGTGGCTGAATGCATATAAAAAATAATGCTCAACATTATGTTCCCCAAAGAAATTCACTTCACCTATAAAAAGACACAGACTTAAAATAAAGGGACTGAAAAAGAGAAAGAGGAGGAGTAGCTATACTTACATAAAATAGATCCCTAGACAAGCCCTGTAAAAAGAAATAAAGAAGGTTACTATAGAGAGATAAAAAGATCATTCAGCAAAAGGATATAACAGCTGTAAATATATATGCACCCAATGCTAGAAAACCAAGATTTTTTTTAACTTTTATTTTACATTCAAAGGTATATGTGCAGGGTTTTTACATAGGTAAAATTGTATGATAGGGATTTGTTATACAGATTATTTCATCACCCACGTATTAAGCCTAGTAACCATTAGTTATTTCTCCTGATCTTCTCCCTCCTTCCACCCTCTGATAAGCCCCAGTGTCTATTGTTCCCCTCTATGTGTCAATGTGTTCTCATCATTTAGCTCCCACTTATAAGTGAGAACATATGGTATTTGGTTTTTTGTTCCTGTGTTAGTTTGCTAAGGAATATGGCCTCCAGCTGTATCCATGTCCCCGCAAAGAACATGATCTCATTCTTTTTTATGGCTGCATAGTATTCCATGGTGTATATGTGCCACAATTTGTTTACCCAGTCTATCATCAATGGGCATTTAGGTTAATTCTATGTCTTTGCTATTGTGGATAGTGTTACAATGAATATAAACATGCATGTGTCTTTATGATAGAATGATTTATATTCCTTTGGGTATATACCCACTAATGAGATTGCTGGGTCAAATGGTATTTCTTTCTTTAGGTCTTTGAGGAATTGCCACACTGTCTTCCACAATGTTTAAACTAATTTACACTCCCACCAACAGTGTATAAGTGTCTCTTTTCCTCCACAACCTCACCAACAACTGTTATTTTTTGACTTTTTAATTATAGCCATTCTGACTGGTATGAGATGGTATCTCATTGCGGTTTTGAGTTGCATTTTTGCAATGATCAGGGATGTTGAGTTTTTTTTTTTTCATATGATTGTTGGCCACATGTATGTCTTCTTCTGAAAAGTGCCTGTTCATGTGCTTTGCCCACTTTGTAAAGTGGTTGTTGAGTTTTTTCCTGTAAATTTGTTATGTTTCTTATAGATGCTGGATATTAGACCTTTGTTGAATGCATAGATTGCAAAAATTCTCTCCCATTTTGTAGGTTGCGCATTTACTCTGTTGGTAGTTTATTTTGTTGTGCAGAAGTTCTTTAGTTTAATTAGATGCCATTTGTTTTGTTTTGTTTTGTTTTTTGTTTGTTTTTTGAGATGGAGTCTCGCTCTGTCACCCAGGCTGGAGTGCAGTGGTGCGATCTCGGCTCACTGCAAGCTCCACCTCCCTGGTTCACACCACTATCCTGCCTCAGCCTCCCGAATAGCTGGGACTAGAGGCGCCCACCACCACATCCGGCTAATTTTTTTTTTTGTATTTTTTAGTAGAGATGGGGTTTCACCCTGTTAGCAAGGATGGTCTCAATCTCCTGAACTTGTGATCCACCCGCCTCAGCCTCCCAAAGTGCTGAGATTACAGGCGTGAGCCACCATGCCCGGCCAGATCCCATTTGTTAATTTTTGCTTTTGTTGCAATTGCTTTTAATGTCTTCATCATGAAATTTTTGTTCGTGTCTACATCCTGAATGGTATTGTCTAGGTTGTCTTCCAGGCTTTTTATACTTTTGGGTTTCACATTAAAGTCTTTAATCCATCTTGGGTTAATTTTTATATATGGTGTAACGAAGGGGTTCAGTTTTAATCTTCTGCATATGGCTAACCAGTTATCCCCATACCATTTATTACATAAAAAATCCTTTCCCCATTGCTTGTTTTTTGTCAAGTTTCTTGAAGATCAGATAGTTGTAGGTGTCTGGTCTTATTTCTGGGTTCTCTGTTCTGTTCTATTGGCCTATGGAACACCAAGATTAATAAAACAAATATCATTACAGCTAAAGAGAGAGAAAGACCACAATACAGTAATAGCTGGGAAGTTCAACATCCACTTTCAGCATTGGACAAATTATCTAGATGGAAAATCCACATAAAAAAATCTGACCTGATCTTCACTATAGACCAAATAGACCTAACAGACATTTATAAACATTTCATCCAACAGCTGCACAATTTACATACTTCTGGTCAGCACGTGGAACATTCCTAAGAATAGACCACATATTAAGCGAAAAAACAAGTCAAAAACATTTTTAAAAAATGAAATCATATCAAGTATAACTTCTCACCACATGGAGTAAAACCAGAAATCAATAAAAACCGAGACAGTGGAAACTATAAAAACACATGAAAATTAAATAATATGTTCCTGAACGACCACTGGATCAATGAAAACATTAAGAAGAAAATTTAAAATTTTCTTGAAACAAAGGAAAATGAAAACACAGCATACCAAAATCTATGACAGGCAGGAAAATTAGTAGTAAGAGGCAAGTTTATAGCAATAAATGCCTACATCATAAAGTAGAAACATTTTAAATAAACAACCTAAAGATGCATCTTAAAGAACTAGAAAAGCAAGAGCAAACCAAACCCAAAAATAACAGAAAATAAATAATATCAGAGTTAAAATAAACAAAACTGAGGCTAAAAAAATACAAAATGAAAAGAAGTGTTTTTTTGAAATGATAAACAAAATTGGAAAACCGTTCATTAGCCACACTAGTTAAGAAAAAAGGAAAAGACCCAAATAAATATGTCAGACATGAAAAAGGAGACATTACAACTGAGGATTAGTGATTATTATAAGCAACTATATGCCAATAAATTGGAAACCCTAGAAGAAATAGATAAATTCCTAGACACATACAGCCATGAAGATTAAACCATGAAGAAAACCAAAACCTGAATAAACCAATAAAAAGTAATGAAATAGAGGCAGTAATAAAAAGTCTCCTAGCAAAGAAAACCCAGAACCTGAAGACTATATTGCTGAAATCTATCAAACATTTAAAAAATGAATACCAATCTTACTCAAACTATTCCAAAAAAATAAAATAAAATAAGGAGGAGGGAATACTTTTTTTTTTTTTTTTTTCAGAGACAGAGTCTTGCTCTGTCACTCAGGCTGGAGTGCAGTGGTGCAATCTTGTCTCACTGCAACCTCTGCCTCCCGGGTTCAAGCGATTCTCCTGCCTCAGCCTACAGAGTAGCTGGGATTACAGGCACATGCTACCATGCCCAGCCATTTTTTGTATTTTTAGTAGAAACAGGGTTTCACCATGTTGGCCAGGCTGGTCATGAACTCTTGACCTCACGTGATCCACCTGCCTCAGCCTCCCAAAGTGTTGGGATTACAGGCGTGAGCCACCATGCACGGCCATGGTCACTTCAGTCAGATGCCAAAGATAAATTTGATAAAAATTCAACATTCCTGCATGATAAAAACACTCAAAAACTACCTATAGAAGGAACATACCTTAACACAATAAGAGTCATATGTGACAAACACATGGCTACTGTCATACTCAATGTAGAAAAACTAGAAGCTATTTCTCTATGATCTAGAACAAGACAAGGATTTCCTCTTTCACCACTTTTATTCAACATAGTATGGGAAATTCTAGCCAGAGCAATGAGGCTGAAGAAATAAATAAAGGGCATCTAAATTGGAAATGAAGAAGTCAAATTACCCCTGTTTGCAGAAAATATAATCTTATAGTTAGAAAAACTAAAAATCACCAAAAAACTATTAAAAGTGATAAATTTAGTAAAGCTGAAAGATACAAAATCAACATAGAAAAATCAGTAGTGTTTCCATATGTCAACAGGAAAGAATCTGAAAAGGAAACCAAGAAAGTAATCCTATTTACAACAGATAAAAATTAAATTAAAATACCTAGGAATAAACTTAACCAATGAAGAGAAAGATCTCTACAATGAAAACTATAGAACATTCATGCAAAACATTGAAGAGTTCACAAACAAATTGAAAGATAATCCATGTTTATGGATTGGAAAAATAGATAGTGTTAAAATATTACTACTATTCAAAGCAATCTACAGATTCAATACAATTCCTATCAATATACCAGTGCCATTCTTTACAGAAAGAAAATAATATCCTAAAATTTATATGGAACTCAAAAAAAAACCTTTGAATAGCTAAAGCAATCCTGAGAAAAAAAAAATCTAGAGGTATCACATTATCTGACTTCAAATTATACTACAAAGCTATAATGACCAAAACAGTATGGTACTGGCATAAAAACAGACACATAGGCCAATGAAACAGAATGAAGAACCCAGATACAAATCTATGCAAACTTATCTTCAAAAAAGTGCCAAGAACATACAATAGGGAAAGGACAGTCTTCAATAGGTGGTGCTGGGAAAATTTGATATCCACTGGACCCATTTCTCACCATATACAAAATTAAAATCAAAATGAATTAAAGACATATCTAAGACTTTAACCTATGAAACTACTAGAAGAAAATATTGAGGAAACAATTCAGGACATTGTTCTTGGCAAAGATTTCTTGAGTAGGACCTCAAATGCACAGGCAATCGAGGCAAAAATGGGCAAATGGAATCATATCAAGCTAAAAGTCTTCTGCACAGCAAAGGAAATAATCAATAAAGTCAAGAGATAACCCACAGAATGGGAGAAAGTATTTGCAAACTACCCATCTGATGAAGAATTAATATCCAGAATATATAAGATGAACAACTCAAAAGAAAAAAAACAAATAATCCAATTTAAAAATTGGTGATAGATCTGAACAGAGATTTATTGAAAGAACACATACAAATGCCCAATAATTAAATTTTTAAATGCTCAACATCACGAATCACCAGAGAAATACAAAACAAAGCTGGAATGAGATATCAACTCACCCCAATTAAAATGACTTTTATCAAGAAGACAGGCAATAACAAATGCTAGTGAGGCTGTGGGGAAAGAAGAACCATTGTACATTGTTTGTGGGACTGCAAATCAGTACAGCTACTAGGAAGAACAGTATGGAGGTTCCTCAAGAAATAAAAAATAGAACTATCATACAATCGAGCAATCCCACTACTGGGTATATTTCCAAATGAAAGGAAACCAGTATACTGAGACATTTATACTTCCACATTCACTGCAGCACTATTCCTAATAGCCAAGATATAAAATCAACCTAGGTGTCCATCAACAGGTGAATGGATAAAAAAAAAAATGTGGTACGAATACACAATAAAATATCACAGAGCTAAGAAAAAGAAAGTAGTCCTGTCTACTTGTCTTGCAACAAGATGAATTGAACTCATACGTGGGAGCCTAAAAAATTGAACTCATGGCAACAGAGAGTAGAATGATGGTTACCAGAGGCTGTGAAGGGTAATGGGGAGACAGGGAGATTGAGGGGAAGAGCAGAGGGTTAATGGGCACAAAAATGCAGTGATAAGGAATAAAATCTAGTGCATAGTAGCACAATAGGGCTACTATAGTTAACAATAATGTATTGTATATTTCAAAATAACTATCAGAGTGGAATTGGAATGTTCCTGACATAAATAAATGTTAAATGCTTGAGGGGATGGATATTCCAATTACCCTGATTTGATCATTACAGATTGTATGCTTGTATCAAAATATCACATGTACCTATAAATATGTATAACTTGTCTTTATAACTTAAAAATGTAAATAAATAAATAAATAACAAAACAAAAGAGTAAGAATTTATTTCTATATATATAAAATTCTGGAAGGGTATTTACCAAATTGTTATAGTGATTATGTTGGGTAATGAGAATATGACTTACTTTTATTTTCTCTTGTAATGATTTTTTATATTTTCAGATTTATTTTACAATGACCATTTTCTTATGTTATAACAATAGAATAAAGCCACCTACAGTCTGCAGGAGGAAATAGAAGAGAAAAAAAATAAAATTAATCTTTATAAAACTCAGTTACTGAAGAAGACATCCCTAGCTAGATAATCAAAACTATCCAGTCACATAAAAATTAAATAAAAGTTAATCATATAGTAGGTGAGCTTCAACAATGATATAAATTGCAGTAAATTGAAATCCATTAAGTATGTTTACATTTGTAAATTAATAATATTTTAAAAAATGATCTCCTTTCAGTGGTACAGAACTAAGTGGTTATCTTAAAAACTAGTAAATAAAGGAAAAGAATAAAACATGTGTCCAACTTTTCCCATATGAACTGCACTACTAGGTAACCAAATAGGAGATGAGGGAAATGTCTCTTTATAAAAGATATTCTAATTTATAAATTAAAAATAAATACCACAATTAGAAAACATCATTTACAAATGCCAATTAATTCCATTAAATATCAATGGCTGCTAAAGTTACAAAAAGGGAGAAAACTAGATATCATGTATCTAAATCATTCCAAATACTATGTAGGTCCTGTCAAAGGGATCAAGCCTAAGTCAGATCAACTGCTGTTTGGATGTGCAAGAAATACCCATGAGAAAGAAACATGTTGAACTGCACAAGGACAGCATCTTCAAACTCCACAACTGTGGGAAATTCTACCTGTCAAATTTTCTAGTTCTTCAATAGACATGATAGAGAAATGAAAGAGATGGAAGAGAAAGACATACATTTTTAAAAGACTTAAAAGACATGTCAAAAATTTTTTAATGTAGACTAGAGTGTCTATATTTGAGTAATAAAACTGGAAAAAGGACTATACAAAGAAGTCATTACCGTAAAATCTAGAACAATGGCAGGAGGGAGTTATAATTGGGAAGAGGCAAATTAAAGGGGCTTCTCATGTGGCTGGAAAAGTTATTATTCTTGGCATGGGTGATGTTTACCTTATAGTAATTCATCAAGCCATACATTTGACTTGGATGAATTCCTGTATCTGTGTTTTATTTTTGCAATAAACATGGTTTACAATGTAAGCAGGGTTGACATATATTAGGATTCAATCATGTTTAACTTTTCTTCTTTGGGAGGAGAGGCCCCAGTGGGGTAAAAGTGAAAAGCAAAAAACTGCCTGAGATAACAAGATTCTACAAGGAGGACAGAAAGTGAACCACCGTATAGGGAAGTGAACGGTGGTGAGAATGATTAATTTCTCCAACTTCATAATTTTGTCTTGCCTAATTCATATCTCTTTTCAGAATGTATTGTGCTATCTTTGGGGGACAGCCACATGGAGGCCTAAGAGTGAAATAATCCTTCCCAGCCAAATTCCAGAGGATAATTTCTCAGGCTATCTTATATTTTCTAGATATCATATATAATTGTGCATAATGAAAAATTAAAATGTCAATAATATTGGAGATATATGTTAATTGGATCATCAAAACAAAAGTGTTCTGGAAAATATTAGCAGAAGTGTTACACATTGGTTTCCAAGGCAGCAAACTAAATCATAATTTCTAACAAAGGAATCAGTACCAGGTCATCACTCTAAGTAATAAAAACATCTCCAGGACCATAAAACAATACCTCCAATTTGTAGCATGATGCAAATTAACAAAAATGTAAATAATTTGTCCTGAGTGTCCAATAACCAAAACTTATCTTTAATTGTTTTGTCTTCACTTTTCCATCTCAGGTTTTTTCCTCCAGATACTCTTCTTTCATTCATTGACCACTATCTCAAACTTCAGATGCCAACCAGAAAAGAAATTAAAAAGGGAGAATGGATAGACAAAGGAGTAAATGGCAGGATCGTAAGTGTGGCACAAATGAAAGTATATTTTAGCATCATTACCTTTCCAAAATTGTGAAGAATGAATTGCAGAAAGGGTCAAGACACAGACACATGAGAAGACTAGTGCTGTAGTTTGGATATAGTTGTCTCCACCAAATCTCATATTGATCCCCAATGTTGGAGGTGGGGATTAATAAGAGGTATTTGGGTCATGGAAGCATGTCCCTTATGAATAGATTAATGCCCTTCCTAGGTTGGGGATGAGTGAATTTTCACTGTTTTAATTCCTGCAAGGGCTGGTTGTTAAAAAAAAGCCTGGCACCTGCCTACTCTCTCTCGCCTCCTCTCTCACTATGTGATCTCTGCACACCCAGCTCCCCTTTGCCTTCCACCTTAAGTAAAAGCAGTCTGAGGCTCTCACTGTATACCCCATCTCGAACTTTCCAGTCAGCAGAATCATGAGCCAAATAAACCTTTTTTTCTTTATAAATTACCCAGCCTCAGGTATTCCTTTATAACAACACAAAAAAGAGTAAGACAACCAATGCAAAGGATAGCCCAAATTGATCCAAAGACTAGGCCTCTTAAAACCAGACATGATCAGAATGGACTTAGCTACTATCCACAGCCATTTCTAAAATATTTTAATACAGACAAAGCCATTAGAGAGAGAAAAAAAGGTCCCTTTTAATCCACTATGGTATGTTCTAACATAAAGGATGTTTAAACAGCCTTGCCCAGCTTTCCCAGGCAAAAGACAATTGAAAGTCATCTCTATGAATAAAGCATTGTACCCTGAAAGGAGATAAAATGTTAAACACTTAACACTAAAAATAATCTAATCATAATGTCTCTTTAATGATTCAGAGGCTCTTCAATATGTAGCAATAACTAAAACTTATCATTATAAACATCAATTATCACTGCATGTATGATTTACAGATATACTATCTGAGATGTCTGGTAAAGGTCATTCTGAATAAACAACTGTATACTAAAAATACTTCAGTATATTTCCTTTTTCTGTCTTTTTCTCCAGTCAAAATTAAAATACTTTCTGAGAATATAAGTCTTCCAAAGCAAGTAAAATGACACTAAAAAAAAAAAGGCCTAATAACATTTTCCAAATCTAGGACACATGCTGTTTTTAAAATATATTTGGTCATAAATAAATATATTGAGTACGTTAATAAATGCCTCTTTCAAAAGCTCTTCACTCACAAGGACTTTAAATCACAGCTCTGAAAATAAAAGACTATTAGGAATTTGAAAAGTAAGCATAATTCAGCCCTCTCCAAGTTATTCTGCATTTTTTCAAGGTTAGTTGTTCTTATAAAACACATATAAATATGCATATCTTGTCTCTGAGTCACTCACTTCAATGTCCTGAAGCAAAAGGAAATAGGAAAGTCATAAGAGACTTTCAGATACCAGAGACTGAATGAAATTTGAACACCATCTGTAAGCTTGTGCCATTAAGAGGTTTTTTTTTTTAATTCATGGACTGCATTTATATCTGACCACAAGGCATTTATTGCTGGCTGTAAGGCTTGAGGAAGCCTGAGCAAGCTGTGTACAGCGGGCATTATGGTTTATCTGCCTATATGCAAAAACCAAATCCCATTGAGATCCATGATGCTTGAAGAAACAAAGTATTTTTATATGAAACACAAAACACATATAACCTTGTTCTTCCCATTGTAATAATTCTGTGCTAATGGAACAGAATTCAACTGGCTGACTATTTTCTGGGACAAATTTTTCTTTACAAAACTCTTTTTGGGTTTATTACAATTTTCAATCTCCCCAGCAAAGTGATTGCATTAAGATAAAGAAGGAAAATGTACATTTAAAAGTTACATTTCAAAACTAAAAACAAAAATCTTAAACACCAATTGCCATATTTATAGGACTCTTCCTATTCAAGAAGAAGTGGTTTCATTAATCTAAACAACTCTATTCTCTAATTTCTGTGCTTTGTTATTGATTTAGCAATCATTGGAGTTAAAATTGAAAAAGTCTCTTTCCCCATAATTTAATTAGTTAAATGATTTGCCTGTTTATTATTTTTTAAGCCAAACTTCCTAAACTACTGAGAAAAAACAAAAAGAAAAAGTACCATGAAAACACTCCTTACAGTGACCTGGAAGATATGTCAAATTCAGATAGGATAAAGAAAAGATGGTATTTGCCACACTGAATATAGTAAGTGCCCAGACACTGAATCCTATCTTTGTTTAAAGTACTACTGCTTGGTCTTCTCACATTCCACATTGAAATTTGTTATAATATGTAAGAGATCTATGCCACACACATGCAAGTAAACAGAATACTAACAGGATAATTATCCAACTGCATGTAAGTCATTTTAACTGCAATTTCCAAGTCAACAAACAACAAAAATAGGCTTTTAGTGGTTTAATATGTTATCAGACTACTCTCAGGACTTGTCCCTATCCTAATATGCCAGAAGCATGAATGCAGTTATATATCCAAAACACAATAATACGTCAAATACTAGGTGATCTCCCATATTGTACCCAACATGTAATATAGGATGGAGTATCTTCAACTTGTAACTTCAAATAAGAATCTGCATCAAAGTCTTGGAAATTTTGTAGAATAGCCAGGTATGATGATCCAAGTTGAGCCCATTGTTCTCCTCTAAATATTTCCCTTATCAAAAGTGCAAGAGAAGTTTTAGATGAACATGACTGTCATATTAATTCACCCCAATAATAGTTATCCTATATTCAATGCACTATGCTAGGCACTATGAGAAATTAAAAATAAAATACAATCTTTAAAATCTAGAGTGGGCTTTCAGAGTGGAATCAATCAGAAAACAAATGATAAAAAATTCAGCTTAAATTCTTTTAGCAAACAATGACATTGACAATGGAAGAATTCATAATAACCTCATTACTTCTTTATCATATTTTCCATTCATAAAAAAGTATTCCCCAAATTAAAAGTAGAGAAAAATAGCTATTGTGTGAATGTGCTAATTGGATAAATTCTTCAAATCATTCTTATTTACAAGTGTAATGAAAATTCATTTTATGAAATGTTTATACCAGTTGGTAACTCATTGGCTCCATCTGATGGAGATTTTTAAGTCCAAACAAAAGTTTGTAGAATCTTTGTCTTAAAACTCAACTATATATTTGAACTGAAGTATACATACAGTAGATTCTTTCCATCAGAAATTAACATTCTGGTTAAAAGCATCTGTATCAAATAGAAATATTAAATTTGACTTTATCCCACAGGCCCTGGAAATTGTTAGGAATAAGAATTTGACAAAAGTCAAAGGATACAAATTAGAAGAAAAGGTCTGTTTGACTCACTACGTCATGATTTTCTCAACTGAGTAGGAAAATGTTACATATGCTGGTCTTGTGCACTTCCACTCAACAATTTCAGTGGAATGCTGATACAGAAAGAAAGCATTACCTTTGAGTTCAAATTAATCAGGAGAAACTAATATATCTTCAATTTTTTTTCATTGTGCTCTTTCAAAAATGCACAGCTATATATATACCTACATTCTATATCTGCAATAGTAATTAATAATTATTCATATTTCCTGGAACTTAAAAATTATGTGTCTACCAGAGCTTAGCCACATAGAACAGGGCTATTTCTTCTGTGTTATTTTCCATCATTATCAGTTGCACTATAAAGCCGAGATTATAGGACTGGCAATCTTTCCATAAACACATCATTAAGACAGCCTCTAGGGAATTAAACCACCCAAGAGTGTTAATAGAATGAAAATACTGCCAACAAAAATGTTATTCCAGTCTCCGAACTGGATATTTGCCTAGATCTTTAAGCATTTCTACATACGCTTAATTTTAAAATTTAAGTCATCCTTACAAATTTTAAGCACTCCAACTTTAGGATAGGAACAAAGAAAGAGGCCACAAATAGCTTTGAGTTTATACTTTAGTAACTGCACTAAACCAGAGCACTTCTCCTTTCTTAGAAACAAACCTAAAGTCAGTCATAATGAGTTGTTTCTGTTCTTTAGGCAAGATTATTGTAGAAGGTTGGCTTGGCTTATCTTGTCTTGCAGAGAAACTTTGATTTTATTTTTGTCAAAGAGGAGATCATTTCATCCAAGCAAGGGGACTGTTATTTTTTATACTTTTTTCCAAAAGACATTCAATTGACCTCACCCACGATGGATATTATAGACTGACAAGTCTATTTCTTAGTGTAGGCAAGTACATTAGTTATAAAATTAATTTTCACATAAATTCAAGTTATATCTATGTACAAGAGACTCTTGTTCATCCCTCCCTAATGGAGACAGTCTGAGTGTAATTTGTTATTTGCATCAGTAATACTCATTTCCAACACTGAACATTTGGCCAGAGGCATCTTTTTCTAAAGATATTATCAAACTTAACAACTATAATTAACTATTCATAAAAAATGTTCTATTTCAACATGATGCTGAAGTGGCATCTTAATAATGAAAGAATTTCTTCAGTGAACCAAAGAAAGAAAAATGGAAATTACAAGTAAGGTTCTTATTTCACATTTAATCTAAATATTTTAAAATCTAATCTAACTGGTAAATAGAGTAATAAAAAGGAAACATTGTTTGAGCATCATAACAAGGGCTAGAAAAAAAGACTAAATAAATTTAATAAACATACTAATATTATTAGAGTAAAAGAAGACAAAATAAAATTTAATAAATTTGTTATCTAATATTATTAGAGCAAACACTCATTTAGGGATAAAAGACACAAAATACGTATATCAAAATTATACAAAACTATAATTTTTTTTAGTTTGGAGGTCTTTAAATTTAAGAGTATACTGACACACAAACAGCATCATTTCCTGGTAATGTGTACAATAAATAAAACTTCTAGCATGTTAGTTTATGATCATTAATATAAATGAATGGAAGACAATAAGGCTGGATGATCAATTTTGGATCTGAGATTATAAACAATGACAATTTCATTTTATGCAAAAAAAGTTTAATGAAATACTTTCCTAGAAAATAAAAAACTGAAGGAATTTATCACCACTGGACTGGCTTTACAAGATATGCTTAAGGGAGTCTTACATCTGAAAACAAAAGAATGATATCTATCATCATTTAAAAAACACAAAAAATAAAATCCCACTGTTACACTAGATACAAAAATGAGAATGAGAAAGGAGTCAAACATTACCACTACAGAAAACCATCAAGCTACAAAGATAACAATGAGAGAGGAAGAAATGAACAAAGGATATATGAAACAACCAGATCACAGTTAGCAAAATGACAGGAATTTCTTCACCCATCAGTAATAGCCTTTAGTGCAAATGGATTAAACTCCCCCACTTAAAAGATATAGACTGGCTGAATAATAAGAAAACATGACCCAACTATATGCTGCCACAAGAAACTCATTTTATCTGTAAAGTCACATATAGACTAAAAGTGAAGGCATGGAAAAAGATATTTCACGGAAATGGAAACCAAAAATGAGCAGGAGTGGCTACACTTGCATCAGAAAAAAAAGAGACTAAGTCAAAAACTGTAAAAAAAAAAATGACATATACAGGATCAATTAGCAAAAGGATATAACAATTCTAAATATATATGCACACAATGCCACAGCACTCTGATATATCAAGCAAATATTCTTAGATCAAAAGGGAGAAATAGACTGAGATAGAATAATTTTGGGGACTTTCGCACTTCACTCTCAGCATTAGACAGATCATCTAGAGAGAGAATCAATGAAGAAACATTGGATTTAAATGAGCTTTAAACAAATGCACGTAACATTTAAAGAACATTTCATCCTACAGCTAAAGAACACACATTCCTCTCATGAGAACATGCAACATTCTCTATAATAGACCATATGTTAGGCCAAAAATACAAGTCTTGAAAAATTTTTAAAAATTAAAATCATATCAATTATCTTCTCAGAACACAATGGGATAAAACTAAAAATCAATAACAAGAGGAATTTTGGACCCTTTAAACATACATTGTTTGGAAAATTAAATAATAGTCTCCTGAATAACCATAAGGACAATGAAGAAATTAAGAAAGAAATAAAGTTTCTTAAAAGAAATGAAAGTGGAAATACAACATACCAAAATCTATGGGATACATCAAAAGCAATTATAAAAGGAAGTGTATAGCAAAAAACACCTATGTGAAAAACAGTAGAATAATTTCAAACAAACAACAAAATGATACACCTCAAGAAACTACAAAGCAAAGAATAAACAACCTCAAAAAGTAGAAATGAAATAATAAAGATGAGAGCAGAACTAAACAAAATAGTCTAAAAAATACAAAGCCTCAATAAAATGAAAAGTTGATTTTTTGAAAAAATAAACAAATTGATACTCCACTAGCTAAAATAAAACCCAATTTTAAAAAGTCCGAAATGAAAACGGAGAAATTACAACCGATACTGCAGAAATACAAAAGATCATTGGAGACTATTATGAACAGTTATACATTAACAAATTGGAAAAGCTAGAGGAAATAGGTAAATCCCTGGACATACACAATCTATCAAAATTGAATTAGGAAGAAATTGAAAACCTGAACAGAACAATAATGAGTAACAAAGTAGTATTATAATACAAATTCTCCCAACAAACAAAATCAAAAGACCAGATGGCTTTACTGCTGAATTCTACCAAGCTTTTAAAGAAAAACTAACACCAATTCTTTTGAAACTCTTCCAAAAATTAAAAGAAATTTTTTCTTACTCATTCTAAGAGGCCAGCATGACCCTGATACCAAAACCAAAGACACGACCAAAAATAAACAAACAAACAAAAAACCTACAGGCCAATATCCCTGACGAACATATATGCAAAAGTCACTCAACAATAATATACCATGATCAAGGGGAGATTTATCCTATGTATACAAGACTAACTCAACATACACAAATCAATAAATGATACATCACATCAATAAAATAAAGGACAAAAAAAGTATCCACCTCAATAGATGCAGAAAAAGTGTTTGATAAAATTCCATATCCATTCATGATAAAAACCCTCAACATATTAGACATAGCAGGAACATATCTCAACATAATAGAGACCATATATCACAAACCCACAGCTAATATACTGAATGGGAAAAAGCTGAAAGCCTTTCCTCTAAGAACTGGAACAAGACAAGGATGCCAATTTTCACTATTTTTCTTCAACATAGTACTGGAAATTCTAGCCACAGCAATCAGGATAAAGAAAAATATAAAAGATGTCCAAATGGGAAATAAGGAAGTCAAATTGTTACTCTTTGCAGATGAAATAATTTTATATATAAAAAAACCAAGGACTCCACCAAAAACTTATTAGAACTGATGAATAAATTCATTAAAGCTACAGGATAGAATATCAACATACAAAAATCAGTAGCATGTCTATATACCAACAGCAAACAATTTGAAAAAGAAACCAATAAAGTAATTCCATTTATAATAGATAGAAACAAAATAAATACCTAGGAATAAACTTATCCAAAGAAGTGAAAGCTCACAAGAAAACTATAGAACATTGATGAAATAAATTGAAGAGAACACCAAAAAAAGAAAGATATCCATATTCATGGCTTGCAAGAATCAATATTGTTAAAATGTCCATACTATCCAAAGCAATGTACAGAGTCAATGCAATCCCTATCAAAATACCAACATTCTTCACAGATATAGAAAAATAACCTAAAATTTATATGGAAACACAAAAAAGAAACCCTGAACAATCAAAGCAGTCCTGAGCAAAAGAACAAATCTGAACGCATCACATTATCTGACTTCAAATTATACTAAAATGCAATAGTAAGCAAAACAGCATAGTACTGGCATAAAAACAGACACATAGACCAATTGAACAGGACAGAGGGCTTAGAAATAAATCTACATATTTACACTCAACTGATTTATGACACTTTCCAAGAACACATTGGGTAAGGGTGACCCTCTTCAATAAATAATGCTGGGAAAATTGGATATTCATATGCAGAAGAAAGGAATTAGATTCTCTGGCATATCTCTCCACATATATAAAAAGCAACTCAGAATGGATTAAATACTTAAACTACAAGTGGATTAAGTTACAAACTATAAAAATATTAGAAGATTACATTGCAGAAACACTTCTGGCAAAGATTTTATGACTGACTTCAAAAGTACAGAAAACAAAAATTAAAATAGACAAATGGGACTATATCTAACTAAAAAGTTTCTGCACAGCAAAGTATATAATCAACAGAGCAATGAGACAATCTGTAAATGTGAGAAAATATATCCAAACTATTCATTTGATAAAAGACTAATATCCAGAATATATAAGGAATCCCACAACTCAATAGCAAAAAAAAAAAAAAAAACCCCACCAAAAAAACAAATAACCCCATTATAAAGTGGGCAAAGGATCTGAGTAAACATTTCTCAAAAGAAGACATATAAATGACCAACAGGTATATTTTTTAAATGCTCAACATCACTAATCATCAAGAAAATGCAAATTAAAAGCACAATGTGGTATCATTTCACTCTAGTTAAAATGGCTATCATCAAAAAGACAAAAAATAGCAGATGCTTGCAAGGATGCTGAGAAAAGGAGACTTACACACTGTTGTTGGGAACACAAATTAGTATAGCCATTACAAGAAGCAGTATAGAAGTTTCTCAAAAAACTAATAATGGAACTATTATATGATTCAGCAATTCTGCTACTTGGTATTTATCCAAAGGAAAGGAAATCAAAATACCAAAGGGATATCTGCGCTCCCATGTTTATTGCAGCACTATTCACAATAGCCAAGATATGGAATCAACCTAAGGGTCTATCAACAGATGAATGGATAAAGAAAATGTGATATATTTACGCAATGAAATACTATTTAGCCATAAAGAAGAATGAAATCCTGTCATTTGCAGCAACATGAATTGGACTGGAGGATAACATGTTAACTGAAATAATCTAAGCACAGAAAGACAAATATTGCATGATCTCACTCATATATGAGACCTAAAAAAGTGTATCTCATGAAGGTAGAAAGAAAAACAGTTATCAGAGGCTGGGAAGAGTCGGGGAGGAATGAAAAGAGGTTGTTTAATGGGTACAAACATACAATTAAATAAAATAAATTAGTTTTAGTATTTGATAGCACAGTATGGTGACTATAGTCAACGTAAATTATTGTATATTTCAAAGTAGCTAGAAGAAAATATTTAAAATGTTCCCAACACAAAGAAATGATAAATGTTTGAGGTGATGAATATCTTTAATACTCTGATTTTATCATTATACATTACATGCATGTATCAAAATATGACATGTACCCCATAAATATGTATAATTATTATGTATCCATAAAAATAAATTATTATTTTTAAACCAAAAACAAAAAAATAAAATAAGAAAGCTGAATAGAGAGGGGTTAAGTACTTTTTGCAAGGTTATACAAACTTGAACCCAGGAACTATGAAAATAAATAAACTGATTCCATCAAAAAGGAAATTCATCTAATCTGGCATTTAAAAAATCATTTTTAAATTAATAAATTAAACTCATACCTAAAGTAAATATGATTTAGACTTAAAAGTAGGTTTATTATTAACCATAAGAGTAATAATCAAGCTTTGACAATTCTAATCATTTATGGCTTTTTATAATTCTAACTAGCAAGTGCTTGATTATAACTTATCTATGCTATAACAATGACAACAATTACATTATCCAAGACCTTACCTCTAAAATTAACAAAAGCACTAGCATTATCTTATGAAAGATGATCATAAAATAGCTCTTATATCTTTATCTTTGTGACTGCAACATGGTTTGAAAATACTCTGATAAAAATCAAATTTGCCCAAAGGCATGCTTAATCTAAACATGAAATGTCTCAAAGCTGAACAACTATAAGGTGAGCAAAAAATAAACTAACTAGACCTACAGAGTAGCCTACTTTCTTCCTTAAAGTAAAGAGACTGGAAAAAAACCTAATTACTGATCTGTTTCAACTCAGGTTTTCTCTTTAATACACTAGAAGTTAAAAGGCATCACATCAAAACTATATGCCTGCGGAGAAAAATGTTGCTATAGAAAACCACCTGGTTTCACATCCATATATTTAAAGCTTAGCTATTATTCTTTTTCTCTTTTTTGATCCTCTAAGACTTGCTGCACTGGAGACTCCTGAGTACTACTATTTCATTGCAGTGATTTTTGATCACATATCATAGACAATTGACTAATGTACGCTTAAATGACCTTACAATTAAGCAAAATGATTGTTTGATAGATTTTTTTTGTAAGTGCAAAGAAAAAAGAGAAGATACGAGGAGTCAGCCAAAATATATATGTATATAGGTAAAAATAAGAGGATAAAAATATATAAGAAATATCTGTAACTTTCCCTATCCTGTCTTTCTAGCTTTATCAGCCATTTATCCCCCAAACTAATGATCTGTATTCCTTGATACAGGATTACTGGTCATTTCCTCAACTGTGCTTTCTCACCTCTGCACCTCTGCCCATCTTTATGATTTAAATAACATACACCTTTAGACTCAAAAGAGATCCCATATCTCTAATTTCAGCAGTGCCCCTAAGCCCTAAACACATATGCAACCAGATGCTCTCTTTTTTCCTGAACACTTTTACCCATTTATATCGATTTCCTTTATGGAAATCTTTAATGTATTATGATGTGTATTATAGTTATATATATTTGTCATATCCCTACCCTCAATGACTGCAATTTCCTAAAAGTCAGTGACCAAAGATTACAGTTGTTTTTGTATCTTCCGCAGTGCTCAGCACAGTGCCTTTACCCACAGTAGTTACTTAATAAATGTCTATTTATTAAAGTTCTGAGTTTTGTTTTCACTCTCTAGCTCTTTATTATTATTTTTACAATCAATAAAAAATGATTTCTGGTGTGCACTTTGTGCTGTCTTCATAGCTTTCTCCACCTAGATCCACTGCATAAAAGGACTGGTGAAATCTTGGTTGCTTCCTTTAAAAAATTAAAATTATTTTTCCTTCTCAACTATCAGGGATCAACAGTACCTTGTTAATAGTCCACTGTTAATGCAAATGTAATTCTATCTTTTTTAGAGATAAATATTATGAAAGTTTTTTCACAAACATTTTCTTTTTGTTCACAAACATTTTTGTTTTGGGGTAGGGGGAGTGGAAAGGATGCCTACCTACAATGAAGTATGCCCTCCACTGCTCTGACTAAACTATGAAACCCACTCTTAAAGTAGATGGTGTAGATGAAGAGTTAAGAATTAAGGAGGGCAAGTGAACTAAAAGAATTATTTTCAAAACCTACTTTCCTCCAGTAAAAGTATATTATAAATTTTAAGAGAAGTGTTGATCAAACTCTAGTATGGTTGCATTTGGTACATTGGCTACCAAAGTACTATTGAGCAGGTATGTACACTACATGGAAAAGATCAAGAACAAGGTAGTCCTCAGTACCACATAGGTAGCCCTATTTTGTATACCTAAAAATCTCAAGGAAAAAAGTTCATATGGAACCAAAAAAGAGTCCACATTGCCAAGACAGTACTAAGCCAAAAGAACAAAGCTGGAGGCATCATGCTACCTGACTTCAAACTATACTACAAGGCTACAGTCACCAAAACAGCATGGTACTGGTACCAAAACAGAGATATAGACGAATGGAACAGAACACAGCCCTCAGAAAAAAATACCACACATCTACAATCATCTGATCTTTGACAAACCTGACAAAAACAAGAAATGGGGAAAGGATTCCCTATTTAATAAATAGTGCTGGGAAAACTGGCTAGCCATATGTAGAAAGCTGAAACTGGATCCCTTCCTTACACCTTATACAAAAATTAATTCAAGATGGATTAAAGACTTAAATGTTAGACCTAAAACCATAAAAACCCTAGAAGAAACCTAGGCAATACCATTCAGGACATAGGCATGGGCAAGGACTTCATGTCTAAAACACCAAAAGCAATGGCAACAGAAGCCAAAATTGACAAATGGGATCTAATTAAACTAAAGAGCTTCTGCACAGCAAAACTACCATCAGAGTGAACAGGCAACCTACAGAATGGGAGAAAATTTTTACAATCTACTCATCTGACAAAGGTCTAATATCCAGAATCTACAATGAACTCAAACAAATTTACAAGAAAAAAACAAACAACCCCATCAAAAAGTGGGCAAAGTATATGAACAGACACTTCTCAAAAGAATACATTTATGCAGCCAACAGACACATGAAAAAATGCTCATCATCACTGGCCATCAGAGAAATGCAAATCAAAACCGCAATGAGATACCATCTCACACCAGTTAGAATGGCGATCATTAAAAGTCAGGAAACAACAGGTGCTGGAGAGGATGTGGAGAAATAGGAACACTTTTACACTGTTGGTGGGACTGTAAACTAGTTCAACCATTGTGGAAGACACTGTGGTAATTCCTCAAGGATCTAGAACCAGAAATACCATTTGACCCAGCCATCTTACTACTGGGTATATACCCAAAGGATTATAAATCATGCTGCTATAAAGACACATGCACACATATGTTTATTGTGGCACTATTCACAATAGCAAAGACTTGAAATCAACCCAAATGTCCATCAATGATAGACCGGATTAAGAAAATGTGGCACATATAAACCATGGACTACTATACAGCCATGAAAAAGGATGAGTTCATGTCCTTTGTAGGGACATGGATGAAGCTGGAAACCATCATTCTCAGCAAACTATCGCAAGGACAGAAAACCAAACACCGCATGTTCTCACTCATAGGTGGGAATTGAACAATGAGAACACTTAGACACAGGAAGGGGAACATCACACACCGGGGCCTGTCATGCGGTGCGGGGAGTGGGGAGGGATAGCATTAGGAGATATACCTAATGTAAATGATGAGTTAATGGGTGCAGCACACTAACATGGCACATGTATACATATGTAACAAACCTGCACGTTGTGCACATGTACCCTAGAACTTAAAGTATAATAATAAAGAAAAAAAAGAAAAAAGAAAGAAAGAAAGAAAGAAAAGAAAAAGAAAAAAATAAAATAATTGTTAACCTAAGTCACAAGGTCCGTGAAGCCTAGAACCTTGTCTTTAATCTGCTTGTCTACTCTAACACCCAGCAGAACATCTGGTATTTCTAAGAGCCAGTGAATAATTACTGGGTGGATGGATGAATGGACAAATAAATGATTAATTAGTGCTGTTTTACCACATCCCCTAAATTTCATATGATTCCCAAGACCCTAGAATTATTAAATATCTAGGTTCAGAATTTTTATTTTCTTCAGATTTCCTCAAGAGTTGAATTTTGTCAGGGTTACAGAATTTTAATCTGCATATGAAGGTAGAAAAGTTGATAGTGATCATTCTTGGACCAGTCATAATACTCCTCAGTATCCCCATCTCCATGTTTTCTGGCCTCTAGGTAACCTGGGGACAGAGTAAATGCAACAGGGAAACTGAATCTTAGTCGAGTTTCCAGATGTACTCCACCTTCCCAACTTGTGGACAAGCCTAATAGTTTGAGTTCCTAGAATTGGCCTACAGGATTCAGACTGAGAGCAATCTTTCATTCACTCCTACTGCACCGTGATCCTAGTAAACACCATTAGGCATCATACCTGACTTTACATCTCTGTGCAATGCTGGACCATCTGCCACTCTTCTCAGGCCACCCATTAGATTGTTCCTTTAGAAATATACATCATTATATTAACAAGATTTTTCAAAAGAAGGACATTTCTACAGAATGAATCTCTCAGCATAAGTAAGTGAATATATGTTACAACATATCATTTAATAGGAAGGTAAAAGTCATGTTAATCAGTCATGTTAATCATTGTTAGACTCAATAGATTCGTAATGCATCAGCAAATTTAAAATCTTATAAAGAACCATGTGATAATATTGCACCGATTTAAGTTAAAGTTTTCTCTAGAAAATTGCATGGTTGTCATTGGTAATAGAGATAAAATCTATGGCCCAAGAACAAAATGTAAGCAACCTCCTATTTTTCTGAAAATATATTTTAAAATAAAATATAGGAAAATTTAACTTACATGACTTCAAGGTAGTTTCATCTTCATAAAAATTAAAAGTATTATAATATTTTAACATACTAGTTAGGGCCATAGTGCCCTTCTCAAGCCCAAGAAACACGGTAACAGGAATCTTTGTAAGCATGTGGGGCTGCTGGAAATTAATGATAAATGAAAGGAATGCCAGATGTACCAAGGAACTGCAGAAGCCTGATCCAGGCTTGCCCTCTTCCAGTGGGCCTAGTGTCATTTTTTGTGGATGGTGAATTTTTCGCTGGTTCTTAAACTTCTGCCAATGAACAGATAAAGAAAATGTGGTATACACTATGGAATACTACTCAGCTATAAAAAAAAATAACAACAAAATCTTTTCCTTTCCAGCAATATGAATGGAACTGGAGGTCATTATATTCATCTAAATAAGCCAGGCACAGAAAGACAAATATTGCGTATTCTCACTTGTACGTGGGAACTTAAAATGTGGATCTCATGTAGATAGAGAGCAGATTGGTGGTTATAGAGGCCAGAAAGTACACGGGTGATGGAGGAGCAAAGAAGGATTGATTAATGGATACAAACACACAGTTTGATGGAAGAAATAAGACCTAGTGTTTGATCAATTAGTAGGGTGACTATAGTTCACAATAATCTACAGTATTTTTTTAAATAACTAGAGGAGAATAATTTGAATGGTTCTAGCAGAAAAAAAGACAAATATTTAGATGATGGATATCTCAATTACACTGATTTTTATCTATATGTTTTTTTAACTTCTATTTTGAATTCAGGGATACATGTGCAGGTATGTTACATAGGTAAACTTGTGTCATGGGGATCTGTTGTACAGATTATTCCATCACCCAGATATAAAACTGGATAAAGAAAATGTGGTACATATACATCATAGAATACTATGCAGCCATAAAAAAGAACAAGATCATGTCCTTCACAGGGGCATGGATGGAGCTGGAGGCCATAATCCTTAGAAAACTAACACAAGAACAGAAAAACCAAATACCACTTGTTGTCACTTATAAGTGGGAGCTAAATGATGAGAACATATGAACACATGGAGAGAAACAACACACATTGGGGTCTATTAAAGAGTGGAGGGTAGGAGGAGGGAGAGGATCAGGAAAAATAACTAATGGATACTAGGCATAATACCTTGATGAGCTTTACAAATTTTATGAATGTAGAAGGTGGGGCAAGATGGCCGAATAGAAGGCTCACCGATCATACCCCAATCACAAGGACACCAACAAAAACTACACAGAAAAAACACCTTCATAAAAACCAAAAGTAAAGTAAGCTCTCATAGTAACTGGTTTTAACTTCATATCACTGAAAGAGGCACTGAAGAGATTTTTTTTAAAGTCCTGAATCACTGATGCCACCCCTCCACAGTGTGGTGCGGAGAGCATCTCTAGGCACTGGGGGAGGAAGAACACAGCAATTGTGGGGCATGAACTCAGTGCTGCTCTGCTAGAGCAGAAAGGAAAACCAGACCAAACTCAGCTGATGCCTGCCCAGAGGGGCAGCATTTAAACCAGCCCTAGCGAGAGGGGAATTGCCAATCCCAGCAGTCCAAACTTGAGTGCCCACAAACCTTGCCACTGAGGGCCAAAGGGCTCACAGTCTCTAAGTAAACTTGAAAGGCAGTTTAGGTCACAAAGACTGCAACTCTTAGGCAAATCCTAGGGCAGAACCAGGCTGAGAGAGAGTAGATTTGGGGTACATGTGACTGAGATGCCATGAAGGAAAGGATGCAGTCCTGGTAGCATTCATCAGCTGCTAACTGAAGAGCCTTTGAACCCTGAATAACCAGCAATGATACCCAGGTACTACATCGAGGGCCTTAGATGAGCCTCTGAGACTTGTGGGCTTCAGGTGAAAGAGACTCAGCGCATTACCAGTGGTGATAACTACGGGACAAAACTCCTTCTGCTTGAGAAAAGTAAAGGGCATTTTGTCTTGCACCTTAGGTACCAGCATGGCAGAGCACCAAGAGGGCTCCTAGGGTTCCTGATTCCAGGACTTGACGCTTGGATGGCATTTCTAGACCTGCCCTGGGTCAGAAGGGAGCCCACTGCCCTGAAGGGAGTCCTGGGCCAGGCAGCTTTCTTGACAAGCTCACTTAAGAGCCCTTGGGCCTTAAAGAAACATTGGCTAATAGGCTGGCAGTACTCCTTTTGGCCTGGGGTGGCAGTAGCTACAGGGTGAGGCTTCTCTGCCTTTGGAAAGGGGAGAGAAGAGTGAGGAGGACTGTGTCTTGTGGTTTGAGTGTCGGCTCAGCCGCAGTAAAATAGAACACCAGGTAGACTCCTAAGTTTTTTTACTCTAGTCCCTCTGGACCTACCTGGGCCTGAGGGACCTCACCACCCTGAAAGGAAGCACACAGGCCTGGTTGGCTTTGCCACCTGCTGATTGTAGGTAGAGCTCCAGGGAGGTGAGCGAACATAAGCAGTAGCCAGGGAATGGCTACAGTAGGCCTTAGGCAAGACTTAGTACTATGCTGGCTTCTGGTCTGACCCAGCACAGTCACAGTGGTGGAGGTCACGGGGTGCTTGTGTCACTCAACCCCCAAGCTTTGGGTGGCTTGGAACAAAGAGAGAAACACTGTTTGTTTGGGGAAAAGTAGGAAAGAAAACAAGCGTTTCTGCCTGGCGATTCAATATAAATTGCCTGAAGGGCAAAATAACCGATATAAAACAAGAATCTAACAGGTCTGACAGAGCTGAATAACACAATACAAGAATTTCACAATGCAATCACAAGTATTAACAACAGAATAAACCATGTTGAAGAAAGAATCTCAGAACTTGAAGACTGGTTCTCTGAAATAAGGCATAAAAATAAAGAAAAAAGAATAAAACGGAATGAACAAACCTCTGAGAAGTATGGGATTATATAAAGAGGATGAATCTATGAATCATTTGTATCCCTGAAAGGGAGAGGGAGAAAGCAAACCACTTGGAAAATGTATTTCAGAATATCATCCACGAAAACTTCCCCATCCTTGCTAGAGAGGTCAACAGTCAAATTCAGGAAATACAGAGAACTCCTGCAAGATTCAACATAAGAAGATCATCCAAGACACATAATCATCAGATTTTTCAAGGTTAAAATGAAAGAAAAAATGTGAAAGGCAGATAAAGAGAAAGGGAAGGTCACCTACAAAGAGATCTCCATCAGGCTAACAGCAGACCTCTCGGCTGAAACACTATAAGAAGAGATTGAGGGCCTATATTCAACATTCTTAAAGAAAAAAAAATGGGCTGGGCACGGTGGTTCATGCCTATAATCCCAGCACTTTGGTAGGCCGAGGTGGGTGGATCACAAGGTCAGGAGTTTAAGACCAGCCTGGCCAACATGGTGAAACCCAAGTCTCTACTAAAAAAAAAAAAAAATTAGCCAGACGTGGTGGTGCATGCCTGTAATCCCAGCTACTCACGAGGCTGAGGCAGGAGAATTGGAGAATTGCTTGAACCTGGGAGGTGGAGGTTGCAGTGAGCTGAGATTGGGCCACTGCACTTCAGCCTGGGTGACAGAGTGAGACTCCATCTCGGAAAAGAAAAAAGAAAATAACAAAAAATCTTCAACCAATAATTTCATATACAGCCAAACTAAGCTTCCTAAGTTAAGGAGAAATATGATCCTTTAAAGATAAGCAAATGTTGAGGGACTTCATTACCACCAGATATGCCTTAAAAGAGATCTTGAAAGGAGCACTAAATACAGAAAGGAAAGACTGCTACCAGCTAATACAAAAACACACTTAAAAACCCAGACCAGTGTCACTATAAAGCAACCACACAAACAAGCTAACATAATAACCAGCTACCAGCACAATGACAAGATCAAATCCATGCATACCAATACTAATCTTGAATGTAAGTGGGCTAAATGCTCCACTTAAAAGGCACAGAGTGGCAAGCTGGATTTAAAAAAGCAAGACTCAATGATATGCTGTCTTTAAGGGACCCATCTCACACATAATGACACCCATATACTCAAAATAAAGGGATGAAGAAAAATCTACCAAGCAAATGGAAGACAGAAAAAAGCAGGGGTTGCAATCCTAATTTCAGACAAAACAGATTTCAAACCAACAAAGATCAAAAAAGACAAGGAAGGGCATTAAATAATGGTAAAGGGTTCAGTTCAACAAGAAAATCTAACTATCCTAAATATGTATGAACCCAACACAGGAGCACCCAGATTCATAAAGCAAGTTCTTAGAGACCTACAAAGAGACATAGGCTCTCACACAATAATAGTGGGAGACTTCAACACTCCACTGACAATATTAGACAGATCATTGAGGCAGAAAATTAACAAAGATATTCAGGACCTAAACTAAGCATTGGACCAAATGGATCTGACAGACCTTTACAGAAGTCCTCACCCAAAACCAGCAGAATATATATTCTTCTCATCACCACATACTCTAATAATTTGACATAAAACAATCCTCAACAAATGTAAAACAACCAAAATCATACCAAACATCCTCTCAGACCACAGTGCAATAAAAATAGAAGTCTACACAACGAAAGTAGCTTAAAACCATACAATTACATGGAAATTGACTACATACCTCTAAATGAAATTAAGGTAGAAATCAATGAATTCTTTGAAATAATGAGAAAAAAGATACAAACTATCAGAATCTCTGGGACACAGCTAAGGCAGTGTTAAGAGGGACATTCATAGCGCTAAATGCCCACATCGAAAAGGTAGAAAGATCTCAAATTAACAAGCTAACCTTGCAACTGAAAGGATTAGAGAAAAAAGAACAAATCAACCCCGAAGCTAGCAGAAGGTGAGAAATAACAAAAATCAGACCTGAACTAAGGAAATGGAGACACGAAAAAACATTCAGAAGATCAATGAATCCAGGAGTTTGTTTTTTGAAGAAATTGATAAAATAGATAAGCCACTAGCTAGACTAATCAGCTAGACTAATTAAGAAGAAAACAGAGAAGATATAAATAAACACATTAGAAATGAAGGGAATCTTGCTACTGACCCCACAGAAATAAAAACAACCACCAGAAACCACTATGAACAACTCTACGCACACAAACTAGAAAACCTAGAGAAGATGGATAAATTCCTGGACACATACACCCTCCCAAGACTGACCCAGAAAGAAACTGATTCCCTATAGACCAATAATGAACTCCAAAAGTGAATCAGTAATAAATATCCTACCAATCAAGAAAAGCCCAGGACCTGATAGATTCATAGCCAAATTCTGTCAGATGTACAAAGAAGTGCTGGTACCATTCCTACTGAAATATTCCACAAAAATTGAGGAGGAGGGAGTTCCTCTTCAACTGATTCTATGTGGCCAGCATCACCTTGATACTAAAACCTGGCGGATATACAATAAAAAAAGAAAACTTCAGGCCAATATCTTTGATGAACATCAGTGCAAAAATCCTCAACAAAATAGTTGCAAACCAAATCCAGCAGCCCACCAAAAAGCTAATCCACCATGATCAAGTAGGCTTCATCCCTAGGATGCAAGGTTGGTTCAGCATACACAAATCAATAAAGGTGATTCATCACATAAACAGAACTACAGACAAAAACCACATGATTATTTCAATAGATACAGAAAAGGCTTTTGATAAAATTCAATATCCCTTCATGTTAAAAAAAAACTCTCAGTAAATAAGGTATTGAAGAAACATACCTCAAAATAATAAGAGCCACATATGACAAACCCACAGCCAACATTATACTGAGTGGGCAAAAGCTGGAAGTATTCCCCTTGAAAACTGGCACAAGACAAGGATGCCCTCTCTCACCCCTTCTATTCAACATAGTATTGGAAGTCCTAGCCAGAGCAATTAGGCAAGGGAAATAAATGAAAGGCATCCAAATTGGAAGACAGAAAGTCAAACTATCTCTGTTTGCAGATGACATGATCCTATATCTAGAAAATTCCATAGTCTTAGTCCAAAAGCTCCTTCAGCTGATAAACAACTTCAGCAAAGTTGCAGGGTACAAAATCAATGTACAAAAGTCACTTGCATTCCTATATACCAACAACAACCAAACCAAGAGCCAAATCACAAAGGTAATCCCACTCACAATTGCCATGAAAAAAATAAAATACCTAGGAATACAGGTAACCAGGAAGGTAAAAGAGCTCTACAATAAGAATTACAAAACAATGCTCAAATAAATCAGAGAATACACGAATAAATGAAAAAATATTCTATGCTCATTAATAAGAATAATCAATATCATTAAAATGGCTATACTGCCCCCAAGCAATTAACAGATTCAATGTTATTCCTATCCAACGACAATGACATTCTTCACAGAACTAGAAAACATTATTTAAAAATGTATATGGAATCAAAAAAGAGCTCAAATAGCCAAGGCAATCCTAAGCAAAAAGAATAAAGCTGGATGAATCACATCACCCAACTTCAAACTGTACTACAAGGCTACAGTGACCAAAACAGCATGGTACTGCTACAAAAACAGGTACGTAGACCAATGGACTAGACTAGAGAGCCCAAAGGTAAGGCCACACATCTATGACCATCTTATCTTTGACAAAGTTGACAAAAACATGCAATGGGGAAAAGACTCCTTATTCAATAAATAGTGTTGGGATAACTGACTAGCCATTTGCCGAACGTTGAAGCTGGACCCCTTCCTTACACCATATACAAAGATCAACTCAGTATGGATTAAGGATGGGAGTGGTGGCTCATGCCTGTAATCCCAGAACTTTGGGAAACTGAGGTGGGTGAATTGCTTGAGGCCAGGAGATCGAGACCAGCCTGACCAACATGGTGAAACCCTGTCTCTAATAAAAATACAAAAAAATTAGCTGGGTGTGATGGTGCACACCTGTAGTCCCAGGTACTCGGGAGGCTGAGGCACAAGAATCACTTGAACCCAGGAGGCAGAGGCTGCAGTGAGCAGAGATGGTACTGCTGCAGTCCATAAAGACCCTGGAAGACAACATAGGCAATACCATCCTGGACACAGGAACAAGTGAAGATTTCATGACAAAGACACCAAAAGCAATCACAACAAAAGCAAAAATTGACAAATGGGATCTAATTAAACTAAGAGCCTCTGCACAGCAAAAGAAACTATCAACAGAGTAATCAGACAACCTACAGAATGTGAGAAAATATTTGCAAACTATGCATCTGACAAAGATCTAATACCCAGCATCTATAAGGAACTTAAATTTACAAGAGAAAAACAACCCCATTGAAAAATGGACAAAGGACATAAACAAACACTTCTAAAAATGAGACATACATGTGGTCAACAAACACATGAAAAAAAGCTCAGCATCACTGATCATTAGAGAACTACAAATCAAAACCACAATGAGATACCATCTCATGCCAATCAGAATGGTTATTATTAAAAAGACAAAAAACAACAGATCCTGGCAAGGTTGTGGAGAAAAAGGAACCCTTATACACCATTGGTGGGAGTGTAAATTAGTTCAGCCATTGTGGAAGACAGTGTGGCGATTCCTCAGAGACCTAGAGGCAGAAATATCACTTGATCCAGCAATCCCATTACTGGGTATATTCCCAAAGGAATTAGAAATTATTCTATTATAATGCACGTGTATGTTCATTGCAGCACTATTTACAATAGCAAAGTCATGGAATCAACCTAAATGCCCATCAATGATAGAGTGGATAAAGAAAATGTGGTACATATACACTATGGAATACTATGCAGCCATAAAAAAAATGAGATCATGTCCTTTGCAGGGACATGGATGGAGTTAGAAGCCATTATTCTCAGAAAACTAGCTCAGAAACAGAAAACCAAACACTGCATGTTCTCATTTATAAGTGGGAGCTAAATGATAAGATCTTATGAACACAAAGAAGGAAACAACAGACAATGGGGTCTACTTGAGGATGGAAGGTGGGAGGAGGCAGAGGAGCAGAAAAGATAATGACTGGGTACTGGACTTAATACCTGGGTGATGTAATAGAATGTTCAACAAGCCCCTGTGACATGCGTTTATTTATGTAGCAAACCTTCACATGTACTCCCAAACCTAAAATTAAAATTAAAATTAAAACAAAGAAAACTACAGACCAAAACCTCTTATAAATATAGATGCAAAAATAATCAGCAAAATATTAGCAAATTGAATCCAACATTGTATAAAGACATTATACACTGCAACCAACTGAGATTTATACCAGGTATGCAAGACTCACTCAACATTTAAAACTCAATTATATAATTTACCACGTCAACAGGCTAAAAAAATCACATGATCATATTTATAGATGCAGAGAAAACGTTTGAGAAATGCAACGCCCATTCATGATGAAACCTCTCAGCAAACTAGGAATAGAGGGGAATTTTCTTAAGAATATCTACGACAAGAATACAGCCAACATCATACTTAATGGTGAGAAAATCAAAGTTTTCACACTAATATCAAGAACAAGGCAGGATTGTCTCCTCTTTTCACCTCCTTTTCAACATTGTACTGGAAGTACTAGCTAATTCAGTAAGGCAATAAAAGGAAATAAAAGGTGTACAGAAGGGAGAGGCAGAAATAAAACAGTCTTTGTTTACAGATGGCATGATAATCTACGTAGAAAATCAAAAAAAAAAAAAACTCCTGGAACAAATAAGCAATCATAGCAAGGTTGCAGGATACAGGGTTAATGGTTAACATATAAAAGCAAATGTGAAGAATGCTGCAATAAACATGGGAATGTAAACATCTCTTCTACATAGCAATTTTATTTTTCTTTGGATAGATACACAGTAGTGGGATTGCAAGATCATATGGTAATTTTATTTTTTTTAGTTTTTTGAAGACTCTCCACACTATTTTCCAACACGATTGTACTAATTTACATTCTCACTAACAGTCCACAAGATTTCCTTTTCTCCATATCTTTGCCCGCACCTGTTATATTTTGTCTTTTTGACAACAGCCATTCTAACAGGTGTGAGGTGATATTTCATTGTGGTTTTAATTTGCATTTGCAAACTTAAAAAAGAGGGTTTGAAACTAAAAATACAATACCATTTACATTAGCACCCAAGAAAATGAAATACTTATGTATAAATTTAGCAAAATATGTAAAAGAAAAGCTATAATACTCTGATGAACAAAATCAAAGAACTGAATACATGAAGAAATATTCCATGTTCATGCATAGGAAGACTCACTATTATCAAAACATAGATATTACAGACATATTAACAAGTCCTTTCCAAGTTGATCTATAGATTCAATGCAACCCAAATAAAAATCTCAGCAAGTTATTTTGAGGATATCAGCAAACTGATAGTACAGTTTCTGTGTAAAAGCAAGACTCAGAATAGCCAACACAATATTGAAGGAAAAGGACAAAGTTGGAGGACTGCCACTACCCAACTTTAAGACTTACTATAAAGTCACAGTAATCAGGACAGTGTGGTAGTGGTAAATGAGTAGACAAAGAGATCAAGAAGACAGAATAGAGAGCTCAGAAATAGACATAAATACAATCAATAGATATTTGACAAAGGCATAAAGGCAATATAATGGAGAAACACAGACATTTCAACAAATGATGTTACAACTGGTCATCCATATGCAAAAAAAAAAAAAATGAATCTAGACACAGACTTTCCACCCTTGATAAAAATTACCTCAAAGTGAATCACAGACCTAAGTGTAAAATTCAAAACTATAAAAAGCCTAGACTATAACAGCAGACAACCTAGATGACCTGGGGTATGGCACTGACTTATTGGATACAACACCAAAGGCATAATCCATAAAACAAATCATTGGTAAGCTGAACTCTATTAAAATAAAAACTTCTCTGTGAAATACAATGTTAATAAAATGAAAAGACAAGCCACAGAAGGGGAGAAAATATTTGCAAAAGACAAATCTGATAAAAAAAATTATGATCCAAAATATATAAATAACTGTTGAAACTCAACAATATGAAAACAACAACCCAATTTAAAATGGGCCAAAGATCTTAATAGACATCTCGTCAAAGAAGCTATACAGATGGCAAATAAATATATGAAAAGACGTTCCTAATCATGTCATCAAGGAAATGCAAATACAAACAAAAATGAGATACCACTACGTATCTAATAGAATGGTCAACATGTAGAGCACTGATAATACCAAAAGTTGGTGAAGATGTGAAGCAACAGGAACTCTCATTCATTGCTTTAGGAATGTAAAATGGTATATCCACTTTTAAAGAAAGCTTGGCATTTTCTTACAAAATTAAACATATTCTTACTGTATTATTCAATAATGGTTTTCCTTGGTATTTACCCAAAGGAGTTGAAAACGTGTTCACACAAAAACCTGCATATGGGTACAGACAGCAGTCTTATTCATAATTGCCAAAACTTAGAAGCAACCAAGATGTCCTTCTGTAGATGAATGGATAAACTGTGGTACCTTCAAACAATGGAGTATTACACAGAGCTAAAAGGAAATGAGCTATAAAGCCATGAAAAGATATAGAGGAAACTTAACTGCATAGTACTAAGTGAAAGAATCCAATCTGAAGAGACTACATACTGTATGATTCTAACTATATAACATTGTAGAAAAGGTAAAACTATGGAGATAATAAAAAATCAGTAGTGTCCAAGAGTTTGGAGGAAGAAAGGATGAATAAGTGGAGCACAGAGCATCTTGAGGGCAATGAAAATACTCTGTGTGATAATTAATTATGGATACATGTCATTATACATTTTTTGCAAACCCACAGAATGTACAACACCAAAAATGAACCCTAATGTAAACAATGAACTTCGGGTGATTATGATATGTCTGTGTAGCTTCATTAATTGTAATAAATGTACCATTCTTCTGGGTGATGTTGATGATGAGGAGACTGTGCATGTGCAGGGAAGGGAATACATGGGAAATCTCAACGTTTCTCTCTTAATTTTGCTGTGAATCTATCACTGCTCTAAAAAAAAACAAAGTCTTAAATAAAAAGGAAGGAAACACACATAGACACTAAGTGATACTTCAAGTATAGTCTATTACTTAAATTCAAATAATGTTACTTCTTAGAATGTTGCTCTTGAGTGCTTAAAAGAAGATACACTGCTATCCCTTGCACTAAATTCCTGAATGCTGATATAAATAAATAAGAAACTAAGTTAATTTTCAAGTTCTGGATATCAGATTTAAAAATTCAAAAGGTATCATCTTCTCAACCTTCTGTTGAGATATTAGTGCACTCTCATAAAATTATCAACATTTTTAAAAATAATAAATTTACAAAGACAAAGGCAAAATTCTAATTCTAAGTTCAGGGCAGACACAGGGCAAGGAAGGCTAAGAAGATAGTACACAATGGTCAAAAAAAAAAGAATATTCTAGAGTTCAGAAGGTAATACACAATTTCAGAAAAAGCAGACTACAAAGAAAAATAATAATTCTTAACTGCCAAGTGAATCAGCGTTTGCTAAGTTATTGATGGGAGTCTAGTATTACATAATAAACTTGTTGCCGAGATACAGCAGAAGATATGTATCCCTACTTTCTGAGGCAACACAAAAATATATTGAATACTAGGTTGCAAAGTGCAGACAGTAGGTGCAATAAAAATTGGGAAAAATAAGAGTTAAATGTGGCCTCGTACACCAGACACCAGAGAAGGCTTTGAAAAGGAATTAGAACTAAAGCTGGTGTGGGTGTGGGGGGCCATTTTAAGAGGCAAAGCTGGAGGGAAGACATTTCAGGAAGCGGGTAGTTACTCATTAAGACAATCCCTTAAGTACTAACAATTATTTCATGTAGGTGATTTTGGTTTTCCTGATTAAATTATAATTTTGTCAGTGCTATCCAGTGAGCTTAACAAGATCTCCAACAACCCTAGCAAGACCCTCATTAAAGAGATTTGAGGAAGCAATTTGTGAGCACTTAGAAAAGGAGGTGGTGATCATTGGAACCCACCATGTAGCAACAAAGAATAAGCTCTGCCAAATAACCTCATCCTCTATAAGTCAGTCTAGTAGCCTAAGAAAAGGAAGACTATAAACAAAGTGCATATTAATTTCTGAAAAGTATTTAACAAAACCCCTTTTGTGGTGTTCTATTAAAGATAGGGAAATAGAAACTAGACGGTAATATAATTTGCCAGTTTGATACACCTAGTTGAATAATTGTATCTAACAAGTGTTGATTTATGGAGCAACAGAAGCTTCTAGCAAAAGAAATTGTACTTGGAACAAGAAAATGAAGCTATTCTAATGATTTCTTCTCATCTGATTACTAGAAAGTCAATGCTCGGTCCAGGATTTTTTTTCAAATATTTTAAGGTTTTGTTTTCGTTTTAAATTTAAATACAACAATGGCAGTGTGTCCTCTTTCCCCTTCTTTTGCCCATTGACAGGGAAATTGCAGAATCTTTTTACTTCCTGATCCCTTGGTCAGGAACAGTATAACCTCTCTCCTTTCCACCATATTCTATCCATTGAGTTTTTGTAGGTGTCCCACGTAATTGGATGTTGGATGGAGGGCAGTGGGCAGATAACAGGTTCATGAAAGGGGCACCTTAAAGGCTGCTTAGGTGTTCCTGGTGTAGGATAGACAGCCCTCCTTCCCCTTCCCCATATGGAGTCACTCCACTTTTTCTCTACACTCCAAGTTGCCCCTATGCCACCTCCTCTCGCCATTCTTATTGATAAATTATATCTGAATCTCCTCCTTTGCAAAACTTTTTTAAGCTTTTTAAGCTAGGGAAGAGAAAAATGACCTTCAGGGCACCTGTAAGAGAGCAGAAGAGTAGGGATGTACACAAAAAACACAAAGATTTCGATTTTGAGAGGTCTGTCTTACATTAATGACAAAATTGATTAGTTTTGAAAATTTAGATAATCGTAAATAAACCACTGATAGAAATAATTCCACAAAATAATTATAATCCTATCACCCATAAAAAGTCACTTTTAACATTTGTTCATTTACCATTCCAGAAATTTGTGTGTGTGTGTATAACAACAACATTATAAAAAATGAGTGAAGTTCTTACAACCTTTTTTTTACTAGATATTTTTAGCAGATCTTAAACACGGCCACAAATCATTTGTAGCTCTATTCATCACATCAAAAGGTAAGCTATTTCCTTATCACTTAGATCTGGGCTGGATATGTGAGCTGCTTTGACCCATGTGGTAAAAGTAACACGGTGTGAGTTATGGAGCTTCAAATAACTGAGACACTCCATTCAACATCACCAACCACCATTCAGATAAGTGAAGCTATCTTGGGCTCTTTGACATCAGTTAAAACCATCAGATAACTACAGCTACATAAGTGCTCTCAGAAGAGACAGGCAAATCCCCCAGATTGCTGACCCACGGTATCATGAGAAAGAAATCGTTTCTGTTTTAAGACACTAATTTTTTGAGACAAAAACTCAGTGTTAATATCTGGGAGATTCATTATACAGCCAAAAAAAAAGCCGAAACCACATTTTAGAATGAACATAATTTCTGTCAACTGGTAAATTTATGCAGTATTTTAATGGCAGTATAATACCCCATCATATGAACAAATCAAAATCTGGCCAACTTATTATCATTGGACATTTAAGCCATTATAACTTTCAAGTAGTATAAATTACTCTCCTTTTTCCACACAAAGTATCTTAAGTCATAGCTTTACATAAATAATTATTTTCTTAGAATAAACTCTTAGAAGTGGGACTAATAAGCCAAAACATTAGCAAGGTTTTGATCTGTACTACTAAATAGTTGCAGCAATTTTAAAGTGTCATTCACCAGCGATGTAACTGGAAGAACAGAAGATAAATAACCCTGAGGAGATGACTTCAAAGGACTTGAAAACAGTATTCAAATATTGAAGAACTGCATCATGTAAGAATGTTTGATCATATGGAATCTCTATAAATTAAGAGGTAATAATACATCTCAATATACAGAAATAATGTAATGATATAGCTATTAAAGTGTACTTCTTTGAAACAAGGATTCCCTATTTCTAGAAGCATTTAGGTAGAAATTAATCATTATGTTCATGGGTACCATAAGATTAGGTACCAAATTCCTCCCTTCCCCCTGCCAAGTGACCCATCTAACCCTATGTCAGTGTTAGACAGCAATGAATCTCATCTAAACATAAGCCATGTTGTTGGAATGACAGAGGCTAAAATCCTTCTCCACTCAGTACCCAGTCATCTGTCATCCCAAGACCACCTGCATTTTTCCAGAATTCCTCCAGAACCAATGCCAAAATTTAACATAGCTTCAATGAGGATTTTTCAAAAGAAACATCTCACCTACATGAAAGGGACAATAGGATCAAAATTTGGAGAAAAGCAGAGAAGATAGAGATATGGAGACAGAGAGCCCTAATAGCAATCAAATATCCAAAGGTAGCCTACTATATTAGTCAGGTTTTTCTTAGAGGGACAGAACTAATATGATATATGTGTATATATATTTAAAGGGGAGTTTATTAAGTATTAACTTACATGATCACAAGGACCGCAATAGGCTGTCTGCAAGCTGAGGAGCAAGGAGACCCAGTCCGAGTCCCAAAACTGAAGAACTTAGAATCCGATGTTTGAGGGCAGAAAGCAGCTAGCACTGGAGAAAGATGTAGGCTGGGAGGTGAGGCCCATCTCTCTTTTTCACATTTTTCTGTCTGCTTTAAATTCACTAGAAAATGATTAGATTGTGCCCACAATATAGATCTGGGGTGGATCTGCCTTCCCCGGCCCCAACTCAAACATTAATCTCTTTGGGCAACACCCACACAGATACACCCAGGATTAATACTTTGTATCCCTCAATCCAATCAAGTTGACACTCAGTATAACCCACCACACCTACTAAAACTGGATTTTAACAGCTTTTCCATTAACACTGTGATCCAGCCAGTACTTTTCAAACAAATCTCTTGGTTGAACTAAAACTGTTTTGAATTTTTGCTCTCAATCAACAATCTTAACTAACAATCCTTTCCATCAACAAGCTTACAAATTAATTATAACTGCTGGGTAAACTCCATATGGAATATTTGCTGTTGGTGATCTTGTTAAAGAATATGAAAAACATTTGACAATCTTTGACACATTAGGGATAGTTATTTTATCTAAGATATAGAATTCAAGCATAACTTACTGGCATTTGGCAAGCTTTTTAACACCACAGTGATGGGGTCTGCCCTGTGGCAAATATTTGTTAGTTTCATAGTTATTACATTCTTGGCAAAATTCCTAAAAATACAGACTCAGATTCCACAAGCTCCAGCTAGGATGGGGCTGGCTAGTACACAGTTGCCCTGGACATTCTACACTAGAAGTTCCCAAATGCTGGTGAAGTAAATGTTTACCACCTTAAACCACCTCATTTCTCTTTCCCTTTAGACTTTATAGCTATACTAGTGCTACCCGGTTCCTCCTCTCTCCCTGTTCTCAGCATTTCGCTGTTGTGTATTCAGATTAAGGATTATCAACTGGTGACTTTCAGGCTCTAGTGATGGACATGGAGGGAGGGCATTGACAGCATTTTTTTGTCCCTCACAAAGTTTTAAAAGGCAACGTATCTATACAAGTGTTATGCTTTGTCATAGAACAAACAGCCTGTTTCACATTAAATATTATTAACTGCATGATCCCTAAAGTTTGCAACCCTTGGCTAATGTGGCTAACAGTCTACAGTATAGCTTGAGTAGGGAAGCACTATTCGAGACAACAATGAGCCGTCCTTGATACTCAGGATTTACAGTCTCCAAAGGCAGTAAAGCTGAGATCCAATTTAGATCTCCTAAAACCAGACCTACCCACTCTACTCATGGTCAAATACAAGCTGCTTGGGCTCTAAAAAAACGGGATCAGAAAACAAAACACAGTGATATTAATCTTTCTACATTTTACTCCTTTTCCCTCAGAAGCCAAAATTTCATCCTATCCCAGCAGTTGAGTTAAATCAGCAGGGAAGATTGAATAGAGGTCAGAATAGAAGCAAACAAGGTGATATGAAGTGAACTATATGTGTGTGAACTTCCTTCACAGTCAACCACCTGAGAAGTAAATTTATTTGCAAATGGAAAACATGTATTACTTTTTGCTGGACATGAACTGTTTAGATATTTATGCCACTTTTTGACAAACTCTTTGGAGTACTAGTCCCAAAGAAAAGAAAAAGCTCTAGCTGAGAATTTATGCCCTCCATTGCCATTTCTCTCTTCTCTCAATGATAATCAACGACAAAGTGAATACCTCCAGTAAGATCTCAGCATCTTTCAGAAAATAAAAAATGGCCTATAACCCGCCTTTTTCCCAAATATGTTCCATGGAATGCTAGTCTCAAGAAATAATTTATGGAAAATAACACAGCTGGAGGGATTTGTTTCCAAATAAGTTTGGGCAGCACAGCACCCTCTATCGCTAACCATTATTAATACACATATTAAAAGCTTTGAGAAGCCCTAGTTTAAAGGAATACATTTAACTTTCTTTATTTCAATATAGTCCAAAGGTCCAGGATTGTCTTGGGAAACATTTTTAATGTAATTTTTTGAAATAATGTTTTCAAAATACACTCTGGGAAATTCTGCCCAAGAGCTTCTATGCATGAAAGCTTCTGATATAAAGGGGCATTTGTGCTTGATGCAGCCTTTTCCATATTTTCACTAAAACACTATGAAGACCAAAAAAACGGAAATTCACATTATCCATACAAATTAGGATTAGTAGCTGATAGTTGATATAGTTTGAATATTTGTCCCCCCCCAAATTTCATGTTGAAATGTAATTCCCAATCTGGGAGATGGGGCCTGGTAGGTGTTTGAGTCATGGGAAAGAATCCCTCAAGGGTTGATACTGACCTTGCCAAAGTGAGTGAGCTCCCAGCAGATCAGGTTGTTTAAAAGTGTGGCACCTCTCCCCAGCTATCTCTCTTGCTCCTCCCCTTGCCATGTGAGATCCCTGCTCCTGCTTCTTCCACCATGAGTAAAAGTTCCCTGAGGCCTTGCTAGAAGCTGAGCAGATGTCCAAGCCATGCTTCCTGTACAATTAAACCTCCTTTCTTTATAAACTACCCTGTCTCAGGTATTCCTTTATATCAATGCAAGAACAGCCTAACGTCAACCTAATGTCAGAATCTGAGAAGACAGGAAATTTACCAACCATCCCATTGCTGCAGATTTTCAAGTCATACAGAATTGTGCCCACAATCCTAATAAATGTTTCTCTTTATATACCCAGGAGGAGATAGAGCTTCCAGAAAACTGGTTGAAAAGGGGGTGAAGAAATGACTGGAAGGGATATTTGACATTTTAGGAGGTCTGTTGCCTATGAAAAACTTAGTAGGCAGGGAATTAATATCAAAAAACCCTTTGAAAAACTGGGTACTCAAAACTGCCATTTTCATGTTAAGTTCAGGCAGTTGTCAGCATCATACACCAGCAGAACCACAAGACATTAAACTTTCTAGATACTGGAACTTGGTTATAAAGTACACCCCCGCTGAAGATCCAGAAGGAGATTGACCACCATCCATGTGGTCAGAAAAGCCAAAAACATTTGACAAATACTGTGTCTGGAGAAACTATTCCTTTTTTACTTTTTATTTTTTGTAGAGATGGGGTTCTCACTATGTTGACTAGGCTTGTCTCAAACTCTTGGCCTCAAGAGATTCTCCCACCTCAGCCTCCCAAAGTGCTGGGATTACAGGTGGTAAACCAGCATGCCTAGCTATTTCTTTTTTAAAATGAAAGAAACAAAGTGGAAAACAAAGGGGGAAAAAAGCTCATTATGAAGCATGAAGACTCAGAAGAACAGCAGAAGCCTGAAAGTAATATATTATAGAAAACCAGAAGAAAATTTTAGGAATAATTTGGTGTTCTGAAGAAATACTTATAACATAGTAAATGAGTGACATTTAGTGAAAACAGTAATGGCCTGGGATAAAAGTACAGAAAATGATTCCAAAAGGGTAGGAAGGATTCTGTGGTGGCAAAAGCCCAGCAGTGATCCTTAGTCAGAAGATGCAAGTGAGATTGTTTACTATAATTGGAAGTATAGCCAGTGTGGTAATCAGAATATTTTGACCACAGGGAATTTGGTGACATAAGATCCCTAGGAAACAGATATGTAGCTTACTAAGGTACATTCAGACTCATAATATTTGGGAGTCATCCAATTCTCAGACCTGAGGCGATGCACACTTCTCGTACTGCTAATACTACTGCTAATATTAATACTAATAGCAAAGACACTTGAAAATCGCTGTGTCAGACACTGTTATAAATTCTTCACACGCATTTGCATTTACTTATTTGTTCCTCACAGCAAACCTGTATTATTATTATCCTTGTTTTACAAATTTTACAGATAAAGAATCTAAGGCACAAATGGGCTGGGTAACTTGCCCAAAGTCACAAAGCTAATAAGTGGCAAAGTCCAAGATTCACACCTGAGAGAATTCATGCTCTTATATTGCTATGCTTCTACCAGCTATTATGATAGAACCAAGCTGAAGCCCCTGGAGCTTCTTTTTCCCACCACAAACTAATACAGAGGCCATAAACCTTCCTAAGGGAATCACTGGGAACATCAAAGGAGTACTAGAGGATGAAATCACAAAAGCAATGTAACTTCACGACTAGTTACAGAAATAAAGGCTGAAGCTTATTGTGTTTCCTCCATCAATGGGTCATATGTGTATGTGCACATGTGTGAGCATGTGTTTAAATAATTTTAGACGTATAATTTCCCTTTACTTTTTCCTTTCCCTTGCCACTTTTTATAAAGTATTATGGTGTCTGTAACCTTACAATTCAGTCTATAGGTTGCAGAATATCAAGATAGAATCACAACAGAACTGAAGAGAAGTTGATCATAAGCCAGTCTGAAATTGCATGTGGATGGAGTTTACTTCCCTTGGTAGAACATTAGGGAGGAGAGTATGGAGGATTAAGCAGGACATAAATATGTATTTAGAAACTTGAAGAAAAGTTATTTTCTGTTACTTGTTTTATGTTTTATACTACTTTTTTGAAAATATAAATATGTCAAGCTTCTAACCAGATCCTAGATTTCTATCATTCCCACTGTTTTCATGAGCTTCCCCAAGACTCACAATAAATAACTTTTGTGTTTAATTTAACCATAATTGGTTACCATTGTTTGCAAGTAAAAAATTTAACTACACATGTTTATTCTGTGTCTATGTGTTAATTAAGGTAACTTAAGCCTATATACAGGTCTTGGGAAAGTTGCCAGAAAAAGAAGAATTTTTATAAAAATAGAGAAGAGAGAGAAAAATAAAAGAATGAAGTAATAAAAAGAAGATTAATAGAGAAAAGAAAAATGAGAGAATTTCAGCAGATTTTTAGCCAAAAATACAGATTTATTAAATAAAAATACAAGTATTTTAAAAGTCAATTCCTTCAAACATTTTAGTCTGGACAGGAGAAGAAAACTCAGCTATGAATATATACAATGATTAGCAAAGAAACCAGAACATATGAAGTATGATGGAAACCAAGGACAGAGAAAAATATAAGCACAGAGGGAGAAGAGAAAATGGGGCATTTCCTTTTTACTTAATACATCCAGGTCTTATAGAGGCATAAACAACGTAGAATGCTGCAAAGAGTTGAGAAGAACTAGGACTGAGTAAAGAACATGGTTGAGCAACGGGGCAATAAAAAGGCCAGTGGGACATTAGCACTGACAAGAAAACAAAGTAAGAATGAAATTATAAAATTTGAAACATTCACACTTCTCAGTAAATACAAAGGAAATCAATTACAAAAGTTAGAGTTAAGAGTGGAAGCAGATTCCAAACCAATTGGAATTGCCACCTCTAGAAAAAAAATAAAAGTCAACAACAGATGAATCAAAGGATTTCTAAGGACCAGTGACTATCCAACATGAATTTGTAATGGATCCAGCAATAGTGAGAAGCTCTGAGAGCAGAAGCAGAGAATGAGACTCACTCAAGCATGGGAGCCATCAAAGCAGGAGCAACAGAAGGCCTAAAGGACAAAGATGCCGGGGGGGGATGTGAATGCCCACCTGGTATGTATTTATGGAAAAGTGTGTGCTTTTTTACTTTACCTAATGGGACAAGCATAAAAATAAGCATAGCCCCTTTACCTAAAACAAATCCAGCCAGGCTTTATGAAAATTATTTAGCATTCTTGTAAAACATTAAATACCAATCTGTACCAGGGCAATGGTATAGCCACTGCATAAAGTGAGTTTTAACATGATTTTGTATTTGTATAGGCCTTTATAGTTCATAAAGCACTTTCATAGCATTTACTGAATTCTTACAACTGTAAGGTAGTATAACCTAAAGGAAGGCTGATTTGATAGGCCCATTCACATAATAGCCAGATACAGCATTTACCTCAACATATTCCCAAAGTGGTACCTTTCATGGCAACAAACCAGCCTGCAGCTATCAGTTGCCACCAGCCAGGCTAATTCTCTCTGATTGTGTCTCACACTTGTCCACTTTCATCAGCCATAGCTACTCCTATCTGTACCCACTGTGAGAACACTCATATTCCTAGGAAGTGTACTGTCTTCAGATATTCCCAAGGCTGCCAGTACTAATAGAATCAGAGCAATGCTGAGGCCTAGGCAGGAACCAGGAAACAAGCTCCAGTATAGCTCTGTGTAACACACTGCCACCTGGATCACAAAGCAACTAATCTTTAATCAGATTCTCAAGGAGTCTCATGAGAATAATTCTGTCAGCTTTTCATCCTTGTCCTTAACCCTCTAATCAAATAAGTACATACCCAGTACCAGTAAAAAGATCTGGTCTCAAATCACCTTCTCTATTTTTCCCTCTCATCTGTGTCTAACTCATTTCCTTCCACAGAACAATCTAGTTAATTACAGATGTCAACTTTCTTAAAAGCAATATTCTCCCAGGTTCCAAAAGCCACAATGTCACTATAACTGCACTTTGGCAGATATTGAGATCTTCATATATCTAAAAGTTTCATTGTAATAGCTTTTTCTGAAAACACAGAAAATGTCCACCCTGAAAAGTGAATTTAAATTCACCCTGAAAGGCGAACTAAATACTTCACTGAAGATCTTTTTAATAAATAATTTTAGGTCAATGAAATATCCTTAAAGAAAAAAAAAAGTAAACTTGAGTCCTGTCTTTGTTCCTGCTGCTGTGTAACAAAATACATTAGACTGGGTAATTTACAAACAGAAATTTATTGCTCACATTTCTGAAGACTGGGAAGTCCAAGATCAAAGCACCAGCAGATTCAGTATCTGTGGAAGTCTTGTTCTCTGCTTCAAAGATGGCATGTTCTTTCTGCATCCTCACATGGTAGAAGAGCAAGGGGGGCTAACAAGCTCCTTCACAATTCTTTTATAAGGGCACTAATTCCATTTATGAGGGCTTCGCACTTATGACCTAATCACCTCCCAAATCCCCACTCCTTCTAATCCCATCATCTTGATGATTAGGCTTCAAGATATAAATGTTGAAAATACACAAATATTCAGACCATAGCAACCCTTACCCCAAATCAAAAATAAAATAAATTTTGGAAAAACATCTAAATGTTGAAGGATGAAACAATAATGTTGCCAGAGAATAATATAGGAGACTATCTTTATACTCTTGGCATTGGGAAATATTCCTTAAACAAGGCTAAAGACACCAGCCGTAAATAAAAAGATTGATAAAGTGGACTTTATTCAAGCTAAAAACATCAGCTGTTCAGGAGAAATCATAAGGGAATAAGTAAGCAAGTTAATAAATGAGAAAAGATATTTGTGATAAATTTAACAAAGTACTTGAACCCAGAATAAATAAAGAACACCTACAAATCAAGAAAAGGTAGACAACCCAAAAGAAAAATAAGCAAATGCTATGAGCAGGCGCTTTGCAAAAGACAATTTCCAAATGGCCGACAAACATATAAAAGAATCCTCAAATAATTAGTCATCAGGGGAATGCAAATTAAAATCACAATATGATACCACTATATACTCATAAGAATGACTAAAATTGAAAAGATAGATAAAACCAGTGTTACAGAGGATGCATAGCAACTGCAACTTTCATACAGTGTTAGTAGAACTGTAAATTGGCACAATACTCTGAGAAACTGTTTGCCAGGGTCTACTAAAGCTGAACATATATATACATCAATTATTAGCTGTATACTAAACACGAATGCACACATACGTTCACCAAATGACATGTGTAGGAACATTCCTGGAAGGATTATTTTCAAAAGTTCCAAAGTGCAAACCACTCAAAAGCCTATCAATAATCAAATAAATAAATTTTGATATATTCATTGAATGGAATACCAAATATTGATTAAAATTCATGAACTAGCCGAGTGTGGTGGCTCACGCCTGTAATCCCAACCCTTTGGGAGGCCAAGGTGGGTGGATCACCTAAGGTTAGGAGAAGACCAGCCTGGCCAACATGGTGAAACCCCGTCTCTACTAAAAGAACAAAAATTAGCCAGGCATGGTGGCCAGTGCCTGTAATCCCAGCTACTCAGGAGGCTGAGGCAGGAGAATCATTTGAACCCAGGAGGCAAAGGTTGCAGTGAGCCAGGATGGTGCCATTGCACTCCGGCCTGGGCAACAAGAGTGAAACTCTATCTCAAAAAAAAAAAAAAAATTCATGAACTGCTGCTGCAAACAAATACATGGACTAACCTAACAAACATAATGAACAAAAGAAGTTAAACACAAAACAGTTTATATTAAGTGATCTATTTAAATAAAGTTCAAAAACAGTGTTATTTCAGAAAATGAATGTGGTGACCCACATTTTAAAGCATGTGTTTAAACGCACATGTAAAAAAGATGTTTCCAAGAGTGCTCTTTGAGCACTATGCTGAGAACAGTGTTATTTCAAGGAATAGATGTTGGGACCACACTGTAGTGCATGTAGTGAAGTAATCAAATGCACATGCTTTTTAAAAATAATAAAATAATGAAATAAATAAATAAAAGTTCAAAAAGATGCAAAGCCAAGCTATGGTGTTAGCAGTCAGTATAGTGGCTACCTTTGGGGTAAGAATGGGTGGAGGCCCTGACTGGAAAGTACCATGAGGGGGCTTCCTGGAGGCTTGTAATAGTCAATTTTTAATTCTGGGTGCTCATTCAGGTGTTTACTTTGTGGAAATTTTATCATAGAGTTGCATACTTATGCCAGAAGAAATCTGTATGTATTTGTATTCTCTAATAAAATACAATTATTTTTAAAAATTCTCCCCAGAAAACATAACTGCTTGAAACTTTATAGTTCAGAGAATTTCTTGGCTGATATCTACAGTCATCATTAGAAATCTTTCATATTTTACTGTGAACTTAGAGCAAGATAATTTCTAACAATAGAAATTCCTAACAGCTAGAATTCTTGTTAATTACCATAAAGACTAGAGGGAGATAAAAGATGATTAAAACAAAAATTGTCATTAAAATTAAGTTGGAATTGTATACAAAGCCTTGTACATTTTAAATCTTTAACTGAATAGCTATTGCAAGTAATATTTTCGACACTATAAGAGGATACAGAGACGAAGAAAATACAGGCCTTACCTTTAATGTCCTCATCTCAAGAAAACAAAAGAAGTAAGGTCAAAATCTATAATTATAAATGTGGTTTTCATGAAATTACTGTCTATCTCTGACAAGATCATGAGCACTTTAAGAGCAGGGATTGTGCACGTTTTCCTGAATTCCTAATATAGTTTCAGTAACAAGGTGGAAACTAATTATAAATTGAATAAGAAAACAGATGGATAAATGGATGATAGATAAATGAGATTCGCACTGCTTTGAGAAGTCGAAGTAGAAAATACATTCAGTTATCTGGGATGGAGGGTAGGTGATTGTGTAAGGTTTAAGGAAAGAACGGCATTTTAGATATATTTCATAGAAGTTTGACATTTAGTTTAAATTTCATTTTTTCTCTTGAGAACTATAAACAGTAGTTGAGGAGTCAGAAAATTATTTTTTAATTTTGCACTTCAAATACATTGCATGGGCTTACTTACTGCCTTCTAGTTTTTTATTATGAATATATGCATACATGATAAATACATATTATATATGTAGGCATAAATATATGTGTCTGTGTGTGTGTGTTTGAGATGGCCCATGTACATCTTTTTTTAGTTGCAAGTCTATGAACTATATGCACCTACAGTATTATCAAACTATAACAAAACATTGTACAAAAAGCATTCCTTATTTTGTGACTGAAGCCATATTTTAAAATAATGCCATAATGTCAAAAGTTAGGAAAACTTTAGAAACTTTATTTTGAATTTGGTTTAAATGAATATTGGGAACATAAAAGTCTTACCCTGGATTAAACTTGAAAAAAAAAACTGTTAACATTATTAGATTATTGTAATATTTTAGGTGGCATTTCTTTTTTTTTTTTTTTTTTTTTTGAGATGAAGTCTAGCCTTGTCACTCAGACTGGAATGCAGTGGCGCCATCTCGGCTCACTGCAACCTTTGCCTCCCAGGTTCAAGCAATTCTCCTGCCTCAGCCTCCCAAGTAGCTGGGAGTACAGGCGGGCGCCAGTGTGCCCGGCTAATTTTTTTATTTTTAGTTGAAATGGGCCATGTTGGCCAGGCTAGTCTCGAACACCCGACCCTGTGATTCACCTGCCTCAGCCTGCCAAAGTGCTGGGAATACAGGCGTGAGCAACTGTGCCCAGCCTTAGGTGGCATTTCTAAGTATTGGATTTGACATGATCTTGGCTAAATAGGGGCGAGAAGCACTATATTCATTCAGGAGACAAATGACAGCATGAAAAAACTGGAAGGTGAAGGCTGCAGTCAAAATTATTTTGTGTTATTTTTTCAGAGGACATTTTTAATTTTAAGGAATAAAATAAAGTGAATAAAGCAAAAGGTAAAAATATTTTTTAAACCACATGACAACAATATGAATGGGGAAACAAAGGTGGCCATGCTTTGAGGTGACTGGAACTTTAATGAAGATTCAACTCTGATTTCTGGAGCTATGAAGAATGGACTTTTGTGGACTAATGGAAATATGCTGAAATGGATGTATTAAAGGTCGTTTTTACAGTGAACATTTTTGAGAAAGGGAAACCCCCGGGAAAATGAAGCAAAGACATTTTGGAGGAAAGATGGCAGAGCAGGCAGAAGCTGTACATGTTCCAGCAGATGAATCTGAGTAGATCAATAGGCTTCTTGAAAAATCTGTTAAAGCAGTTTCATGGGTCTGACAACTGGAGCAAGATGACAACCCACGGTGAAAATTCCTGTTTGGGTTGGGCTGTCAAGTTTGTGGGTGCAACAAAGGAGAACTTGTACATGACAGAATCAGACTGCATTAGTTAGCTGCACAGTTGTTAATCATGTTACATATAAGCTAAAAATGTTTTTGTTGTAAAGTGGAAAGACTCACATGATAATTGTGTTCACTCAGACATTTGCTGTGAAAATAGGGAGTGTTTTAGCCTTTTTAAGTGTCTTAGTCTCTATAATTAACCACGTGCCTGCAGAGTCTAAAAGACTTCGAGTGATTTCTGATTGTGTGTCCTCTGATGTGCTCAATGGACAGGAGCATAAGTGGTGACTTCCTGACTCTATTCGTACTTCAGTATAACACAATTGTTCTTTGTACTCACTTTACATTTGGAAAAGTAACATTCTGCTGTGGGAGTAGAAGAGCTTTGTGTTTACTGTTCCATTTTAATTACCTTCAAATGATCTGAATCTCATCAGATTCTTTGTTGGAATTGGCAGTATATGATGAATTTGATGCATTTAGACAATACCCCTCGAATTTAATGGGAAGAGCCATGAAAGCAGCTTTTGATTCTAATGCAGATACTCAGAGAATCTAAGCTAAAATTTAATGCATAAAAATCAGTTTTGTTTCTGCCAAAATAAATATACTGCTAGAATTTGAGAATAAAGTTCATCTTTTTCTAATTATTTTTATTTACTTGCATCTCTATATTTAATACTATTTTTTCAGAGTTTTTTCTCCTACTATTCTGAGTAGCTTAGTATTATTCACACATTAAAATAAATGAAATGACCAAACGAAATCATTATTTTTGTTAAATCAAGTATCATAATGATACATCCTTGTAAACATATTGGAAAAAAATTCACTAATCAACCCAAGTTTATTCAAGAGTGATATCCTTTCTAAGGACCACATATTGTAAATGATGAATAGAACCAGAAGACTCATATAAGAATGAGGATAACCATTCCCCAGGCAAAATTTAAAAAAATAAAAAAATAAAAAAAAGTTGTTTCTAAGGCTTTCAGGCTGGTATTTTTAGTGTTCATAGTTCATATTATCTCTTTGGAGAGAATACTATGATCCTTAGAGAGTGGTATGGATTCTGTAAAATATGTTCAAAGCCATGGTCTCTGATAAAAATGATTGAAATAACTGTCTTTCTCAATGCTTTTGTTTTGCTATAACCTGAACTTGGTCGAGGTCGTGGGTTTAAGACCTTTGCAAGACAATTAGATTGTTTTTCTTCTCTGTTAAAGGTTACCATAAAAAAAAAATCTGTTTTCAATACATGCTCTTGGTCTGAAAGGTGATAAGGGAAAGGAATGTGTATAGATCAGTGCAAATATTTCACTGATCCTTGAAAATCAATCTAAAGGGCATATCCTACAATAATAGCAGTATACTGTAAGAGACCAGAATATACCACCCCAAAGGATTATTTTGAGCTGATTATTTTAAGAAATTGCAGACACAAAAGAAGCTCTGAAAACAGAGAAGTTACCCTTTTGAAGGGAAATTTACACCTATATAGTAAATCGTTTGTAAGGGCATCTCCTGCTCAGCACCAGGAAGAAAAGGATGACTCTGAATCAGTAGAAATGCTTATCAATGGAGAAGGCAGTAACTTAAATCTATATAATAAACCTTATCTTTGTTTATCTTCTTTCCCTAGGCATCTCCCCATGACTGTCCTTTCCCCAACTCTTTTTTTCTATGTTTCAGTGGATGATGGTATTCAAAGCCATCTCTGAGATTTCATTTCTCTGAGTGTGTCTCATTTATACATGAGGTATACAATTGACCTGTGAAGAATGTAGGGGTTAGGACTACTTACCACAACACATTTGAAAATCCACAAATAATGTCTGACTTCCAAAAACTTAACTATTAATACCCTACTGTTGACCAGAAGCCTTACAAATAACATATATACTCGATTAACACATATTTTGTATGATATATCTATTATATACCGTATTCTTACAATAAAGTAAGCTAAAGAAAGGAAAATGTTATTGAGAAAATCATAAGGAAGATAGATTTACTATTCATAAGTGGAAGTGGACCATTGTTAATGGAATAATGATGAAGTTCATAAAGTTGGAAAGGAGAGCTTCATTTCTCATTAACGGTTGCAGCATACAGGTTGGCCATTCTGGCAGACTGGAAAGAATAGCCTTTGGTCAGAAGCCAGAAACAGACACTTTGAGGGAGGGGCAAACGGAACAGGAATTTATGCTGAGTGAGGTGGCCAAATATACATATTCAATAACCTATAGAAGGAGTATTGAATATTTATGAAAGGAGTAACAGGCCCATGCACAATTCAGCTTCAAGCCCCTTCATGAATTGCAATTAACAAAAATCGTGGTGTTGGCATGATTTGAGAGTGGAGTTTTGGGTCCTCTGATGTCAAAAGGTGAAGTAGAGCAGGGGGTCCCCAAACCCTGAGCTATGGATTGGTACCAGTCAGTCATCTGTCAGGAACTGGGCCTCACAACAGGAGGTGAGCAGCAAGCGAGCAAGCATTACCACCTAAGCTCTGCCTCCTGTCAGATCAGGGGTGGCATCAGATTCTCACAGGACCGTGAACCTTACTGTCAACTGTACATGCGAGGGATTTAGGTTGCATGCTCCATATGAGAATCTAATGCCTGATGATCTGAGGTGGAACAGTTTTATCCTGAAACCGTCCTCCAACCCCAACCCCAGTCTGTGAAAACATTGTCTTCCACAAAACTGGTCTCTGCTGCCAAAAAGGTTAGAGACTGCTGAAGTAGAGGACACAAAAACCCTCAGTGTGCATCCTCCGTAGACTGGCCAGAACCACTCCAGGATGGCTGAGTTCACTTTTGGTTCCGTGTATTGGCTCTGTAATATGAACAGGGAAAGGCCTTATCTTTGGGGGCTACCAAGTTTTACTGCTTAGAATTCTATATTACATGTTTGCAGTTTTGTAAATCTACCACTCAAAAATAGTCTAAAATTGTCTGCTAGCATGGGTGCTTTATATTGTGGTAGGCTAGGAGGAAAGATATTTGGAGCAAGTTATGCTCTACCAACATAGCTAGCTGGGTGACACACAGCAAGTGCTTAATAATTTAATTATGTCCAAAAAAAAGGTACCAGATAGAGGTAAGCAAGGAAGACTTCATTTAAGACTATTGTAATGGGAGAGAGAGATTTAACACAACTCTGAATATAATAGGCACAACTGGGGATTTATGGGCAGAGCGGTGGACTTATTGGATAGAGAATTACTAAAAGGAACATGATTAGATAACAAGACTTGGAAAAGAAGAACTTGATTAGATATTACAGTTAGAGGAAATGGGATTCTATATAAACTAGATAAGCATAATTCTTGCTAAAAGCAGGCTCAGCAGACCAAAGACAGAGTCTAATCAAGAAAAGAACTTGAAGGAGCCTGACTAGTTTATTCAAGAAGGGAATCCTTGTCAGTTCGTAAGTATGCAATAGCCCTCTCAGATGCTTGAGAGTATATCAGACAGGTATGTGATTGTCTCATTTGCTGATCTAAAAGAACTTTAGTTAGAACTCCTATTTTTCAAATAGAGATTTTGTTTATCCAAACTTCAAAGTTCCTGTGTTCTTGCCCGTTGCCTTTACCCTGAGTTTAAGAAAAAAACAAAAACTAATGTTACTCTCCGAATTACATCATACAGATGAGTAACATGCTTTTCCTTAATGTATGCTTGTGACAAAGATTGTCCCCTTGACCAAACTTCAGTCAGGCTCCTCTTCCCAAGCAGGCCTCAAACTTTGTGCTTCCACCTTTGCATTGCCCAGTTTTAGCAAAAATCCTGTGAGGTCAGTTTATCAAGCATCTCCCACTCTCAATGTCTGATCACCCTGAATAACTGACCAAATTTCTCATCCCCACCATCCCCATGTGATATTGGATTAGACTGGCCTTCCTTCAGGAAGAATTATGTTAGGTCAATTTAGCAAGAATCAACCCACCTTCTTAATAATTTTTCATCCACCAACCCCATTAATCTAATCCTTGGCTATAAATCTCCTCTTCCCTGTTGCAGTTAGAATGGACCCCAGTCCTATACTGAGGTCTCTTTTCCCCTATTGCAGTTTTTCCTCAATAGTGTAAGTTTTTAACCATTTCAACTACTGTCAAGCTCTGGTTTTTCTTTAACACTTGTTCTCCCTTACTATATGAAAAGGAGTTTCTGACATGGATTTTATTTTATTTTTTCATTTTTAGAGATGGGGTCTTGCTCTGTCACCCAGGCTTGAATGCAGTGGCACAATCACAGCTCACTGCAGCCTCAACCTCCCAGAAACAAATGATGCTGCCACCTCAGCCTCCAGAGTAGCTGGGACTACAGGCACATGCTACCATGCTTGGCTAATTTTTTTTTAATCTTTTATAGAGTCAGGGTCTCGCTGTGTTGCACAGGTTGGTCTCAAACTCATGGACTGAAGTAGTCATCCCTCTTTGGCCTCCCAAAGTGCTAGAACTCCAGATGTGAGCCACTGCACCTAGCTAGGTTGACATATTTTGAGGGAGCGATACCAGACTATCGAGGAGGCTCCTGTACAGTTGTTGATGCTGATTGCTACAGTATATAAGCAGTTGGCATTAGATAACTAAAAACAGGATGTGGAAGAAAAAGAGCAGATGTATCAGCCAGGCTTTACTCAAGATGTGCTGTGAGGCCTTGAGATTTCACTCAGACTTTGATTTGGTAAAATAAAATAATCATTGTATCTTACATTTTTAAATGTCTGTCTTATGATGAGTGTACAATAATTATTCACTGAATGACTAATGCTTTGCACTAGTCTGTTTTTAAGTTCTCACTGTTTCAAAGAGATTTAGTTTTGTTTGTCTGAATAGTGATTATTATGTATTTTATAAGCATTAATGAAAACATGAAATTCATTATTCATGCTCAATGTTTAGAAGAGGCTTCAAGGTAAGGAAAGGAAAGACATAAGACAGTAATGCAAAAGGAACTAATAGAAAGAAAGAATAAGAAACTAAGAATGTATTTCTCTGAGATTTTGGGATAAGAATGATGGTGTGAAAGGATGGAGGAATGGAGGAAACCAAGGGATATTAATGAGATTAGTTAGAAAAACTGTTTTCCACTTGGGATATAACATAACCACTTCTGAATACTAAGTTTAGGGTAAGCTTTTATTAATTTTGATTCTTTCAATTTAAAAATCATAAGCTCTTTGAGAACACAAAAACATTTTTTTTATTTCATACATTTCTCAGTTAAACCAAGGGGTTTAATACATGTTACTGAAGTATTCTGTTCTCCATGTAAAGTGCTTTATCTTTCAAATGCATTATGTCATACCAAATGAAATGAATACCAAAGCATGAATATGTCTTCATCAGGCAGGTGACATACTCACATATTTTTTTAAAGCATCATAAAGCATGGCTATATTAAGGTTGGCAGTTATCACAAAGAAAATGCCAAAATTTTTTCACCAAAGGAATTTCAAAATCTATGTGAATTTGCATTTTCATATCATGTTATAATAAATATTACATCATTTTAATATAGTGCCATTCATTTACAGTCACTTAATTATACCCAAAAATAGTTTCCTGTACTACTTTTTTTTTTTTTTTTTGTATTTATTGATCATTCTTGGGTGTTTCTCAGAGAGGGGGATGTGGCAGGGTCATAGGATAATAGTGGAGAGAAGGTCAGCAGATAAACACGTGAACAAAGGTCTCTGGTTTTCCTAGGCAGAGGTCCCTGCGGCCTTCGGCAGTGTTTGTGTCCCTGGGTACTTGAGATTAGGGAGTGGTGATGACTCTTAACGAGCATGCTGCCTTCAAGCATCTGTTTAACAAAGCACATCTTGCACCGCCCTTAATCCATTTAACCCTGAGTTGACACAGCACATGTTTCAGAGAGCACGGGGTTGGGGGTAAGGTTATAGATTAACAGCATCCCAAGGCAGAAAAATTTTTCTTAGTACAGAACAAAATGGTGTCTCCTATGTCAACTTCTTTCTACACAGACACAGTAACAATCTGATCTCTCTTTCTTTTCCCCACATTTCCCCCTTTTCTTTTCGACAAAACTGCCATCGTCATCATGGCCCATTCTCGATGGTCGCTGTCTCTTCGGAGCTGTTGGGTACACTTCCCAGACAGGGCGGCCTGGCAGAGGCGCTCCCCACCTCCCAGACGAAGGGCTGCCGGGCAGAGGCGCTCCCCACCTCCCAGACGGGGCGGCCGGGCAGAGGCGCTCCCCACCTCCCAGACGGGGCGGCCCGGCAGAGGCGCTCCCCACCTCCCAGACGGGGCGGCCGGGCAGAGGCGCTCCCCACCTCCCAGACGGGGCGGCCGGGCAGAGGCGCTCCCCACCTCCCAGACGGGGCGGCCGGGCAGAGGCGCTCCCCACCTCCCAGACGGGGCGGCCGGGCAGAGGCGCTCCCCACCTCCCAGACGGGGCGGCCGGGCAGAGGCGCTCCCCACCTCCCAGACGAAGGGCCGCCGGGCAGAGGCGCCCCCCACTTCCCAGACGGGGCGTCCAGGCAGATGCGCTCCCACCTCCCAGACGGGGCAGCCAGGCAGAGGCGCTCCCCACCTCCCAGACGAAGGGCGGCTGGGCAGAGACGCCCCTCACTTCCCAGACGGGGCGGCCAGGCAGAGGCGCTCCCCACCTCCCATACAGGGTGGCTGGGCAGAGGCACTCCCCGCCTCCCAGACGAAGGGCGGCCGGGCAGAAGTGCTCCTCACTTCCCAGGCAGAGTGGCCGGGCAGAGACGCCCCTCACCTCCCAGATGGAGTGGCCGGGCAGAGGCGCCCACTTCCCAGATGGGGCGGCCAGGCAGAGGCGCTCCCCACCTCCCAGATGGGGCAGCCAGGCAGAGGCGCTCCCCACCTCCCAGACGAAGGGCGGCTGGGCAGAGACGCCCCTCACTTCCCAGACGGGGTGGCCGGGCAGAGACGCCCCTCACTTCCCAGACGGGGCGGCCAGGCAGAGGCGCTCCCCGCCTCCCAGGCAGGGCGGCCGGGCAGAGGGGCTACCCGCTTCCCAGACGGGGCAGCCGGGCAGAGGGGCTCCCCACATCCCAGATGATGGACGGCCAGGCAGAGACGCTCCCCACTTCCCAGAAGGGGTAGCGGCCGGGCGGAGGCTGTAATCTTAGCACTTTGGGAGGCCAAGGCAGGCGGCTGGAAGATGGAGGTTGTGGCAAACCGAGATCATGCCACTGAACTCCAGCCTGGGCAACAATGAGCATTGAGTGAGCCAGACTCCGTCTGCAATCCCAGCACCCCGGGAGGCCGAGGCGGGCAGACCACTTGAGGTCAGGAGCTGGAGACCAGCCCGGTCAACAGGGCGAAACCCTGATTCCTCCAAAAATACAAAAACCAGTCAGGTGTGGCGGCGCGCACCCGCAATCCCAGGCACTCAGCAGGCTGAGGCAGGAGAACCACAGGAGCCCAGGGCAGGGAGGCTGCAGCGAGCCGAGACCATGGCAGTACAGTCCAGCCTCGGCAACAGAGGGAGACCGAAGAAAGAAGAGGGGAGAGGGAGACGGAGAGGGAGGGGGAGGGGAGGGGGAGGGGAAGGGGGAGGGAAGGAGGAGGGGAGGGGGAGGGGGAGGGGAGGGGGAGAGGGAGAGGGAGGGGGAGAGGGAGAGGGAGATGGAGAGGGCTACTTCTTTACTTTCAGCTACAAGGAGGAGGGGGACGATTGGCCAGCCATTGCAGTGGAACTAAAGAACAGTGTGTGTCAAAAAGAGACTATTTAGAATTAAAACTGTTGGTGAAATTGGAAGTGGCAGTTAAAATTGTAGGTGGAATTTCTGTGAGAAGAATGTAATTATCCAAACTGGATTTTAACCAACACACCTGAGCACTTCAAAAAAATATTTTTAATACCACAAATAAATACCTCCTTTGTCCCATCTCTCAGTGGAAAGACACCTATTCTTGGGGCAGGTTGAATTCCTGAGGTTTTGCTTTAGTTCTGGCTCAGTAGAAAAAGTGCCACCTACTGAATTGCCAATCTCCTTCCTGTGGAGATCTTTGATAGAGCAAAGAAAACCATTATTAGGTATTTTATGGTTCTTATTAGCATTTGATATCTTAGAATCTGTATTCAAATACTTTTCATTATGTAGGTCAAAAGTTTTAAGTTCAAAAACTCTACCAAGGTCACAACTAAAGATCACTGATGTCATTTGGCCTGGGGCGGGGAGTGGTTTGAAAATTATTTTCCTCTTGTATCTCAACCAAGAACATATTTCTCCAATTACACAAAACACGTTAGAACTCCTTTCCAGGATGGCAGCTAGGGCAGAACACCTACAGGGCAGAACGTTAAGGAATACTGAAAGCTGAGGTTAGAGAGCAAAGAGGCAGTGCCAAGCAGAAGTTGATGATCCCTCACGATATTATGTGAAGCACACAACAAGTATTCCTTTGAGCATTTTGGAGGAAACAAAACTCTCCTTTGAACATAATTGTGAAAAAATAAAAACTTAGACAATTAAATTTAACAGACTGAGTAAGAATGATTTACAAATCGGTCAGCCCTCAGAAGCAGAAACTGTTCAGAAAGCTCGACTCTGCAATGTGGGTAGGTAGCATTTATGAACAAAAAAGAGGTACTGAAACAGCTTGATTGGTTACAGCCCAGTGTTTGCCTTATTTGAACAAGTTCCAATCAGTTGGTAGCCTATGATTGGCTGAAGCTTAGCTGCTATGATTGGCTAAGACGTCCTAAATTAGACTCTCAGTTTATGTGTTAAATTAGGTTGCATTCCTTGCATAGGAACTCAAGGTATGAAGGCATCCTAGTGCCAAGTATAGTTTACTAGTTGTTATTCAAAACCTGTGTTTCAAGTACTTTTCACATATGAACTAAAAATGTAGTAATTTAGTTATACGGACTCTAAAACCATAAAGCCACATCTTTATGGCTAACTACTAATAAGGTAGAAAAGTTCATAGTCTCTACACTGCCCCTTACAGGATGTGTGACTCATTTTCCTCATTTGTTTTCAGGGACATTAATAACAGAGGCCATCCAACAGAATTGTTGTATTAGGTTAACTATAAAACACCTAGAAGGGGACTGGGCCATAATGAGTGCTGTATAATTATTTGGTATTATTAAAAGGAAAACTTTAGACAAATAAATTTTAACAGAGTTAAACTGAGCAAAAAATGATTCACAAATCAGGCAGGCCCCAGAACCAGAATAGGTTCAAAGTGACTCCAAGACTGTCACATGGTCAGACAACATTTACGGACAGCAAAAGAAAAGTGATGTACAGAAACAGAAGTGCAATACAAAAACAGCTGGATTGGTTACAGCTCAGCATTTATCTTATTTGAACATGGTTTGAACAGCTGGTCACCTGTGATTGGCTGAAATTCAGCTGCTGCGACTGGCTCAAACAGCTACTTGTTACTAGAGTAGGTTATAGTCTGTTTATACATCAAGGTAGGTTACAATTCACTATGAATAAGGAAGCCTTTGGAACAGTATGTACTTTCTCCATACATACCTAAAATATGTATGGAGAAAGCTTTAGAACAAACTTAATTCAATTTGAGATGACTATTATTATCTCAAAATGGACTAGCCCTTTCCAAGAAACTCAATGTACACTCAGAAGAGGATACCAGGAATTGAAGACCACAAGAAGAGAAACTCAGGGCTAGGAGAACAGAAATACTTATCTTGGTCATATCTGCCTAAAAACCTTATCAATTCCATAATGACATATATGCCAATATCAGAATTTCCCTCTATATTATGTATAGACTATAATATTAACTTCTACTTTAGCCAATAAAAAGTATGTAATTCTCATTTTGGCACATGAGTTTAGGCATTCTCAACAACGTTTCCCACTTTTTTTTTTTTTTTTTTTTTTGAGACAGAGCCTCATTCTGCTGCCAGACTGGAGTGCAATGGCGCGATCTCGGCTCACTGCAACCTCCGACTCCCTGGTTCAAGCGATTCTCCTGCCTCAGCCTCCTGAGTAGCTGGGATTACAAGCACGCACCACCATGCCCAGCTAATTTTTGTATTTTTAGTAGAGACAGGGTTTCACCGTGTTGGCCAGGATGGTCTCGAGCTTCTGGCCTCATCATCCACCCACTTCAACCTCCCAAAGTGCTGGGATTACAGGCGTGAGCCACCGCGCCCAGCCTCTTCTACTTTTTAATAAAGTTTTCTGTTTAAAAAAATCCATTCAGGTATTTTAAGGGCATAAGCTGCTGGGCAGCCAAAATGAATGGCAGACATACTGTTTGCTAAATCAATATTATCTAGCCTAGGTGGTCCTTTCATATTCTAGTGCCCAGAGTAGATAAAACCAGGTAAAAGTACGCTTTACAATGTTTTTAAATAAATGATTTATATTACAATATTATTTTTGATTACCAAAAATTAGAGAAGATAGTAAAAAGAGTTTCTATATAACTCCCTCCCAGTTTCTTCTCTTAACATCTTACATTTGTCATAATTAATAAGCCAGTATTGACATAACATTATTAACTAAAGAGTCCATACCCTGTTCGTGTTTCCTTAGTTTATGCCTAATATTCTTTTTTTCTGTTCCAAGATTCCATCTGGAGTCCTACATTAGATTTGGTAGCCATTTCTTCTTAGGCTGCTCTTGAATGTGACAGTTTTCAGACTTTCTTTGTTTTTGATGATCGTAACAGTTTTGAAAAGTTCTGGTCAGATATTTTACAGAATGTCCTTCAATTGGCATTTTCTGATATTTTTCTCATGATTCAAATGGGATTATGTGTTTTGGAAAAGAAGAAATTTATGCAGTTACTTAATCAGTAAAAACTCATGGATATTTATTTTTTACTTTAGATTGTAATCCAATACAACTTTATTTTGCTGCTCAAATTGTTCCAGCTTTCGTAATTGGGAGCTGTTTCTCTTGGCTCCTGTGTCCTTTTGAAATACCCTTGTCATTGTGAGGTTGTTATTTTGTTGGAACAGGGTGGGCTTTTTTAGTTCTCCCTTACTTTTTTGCACCATACTATGTTCCAGGCTCATCTTGTATATTTCCTACTCCAGTACTAAAATAAGCCATGAAGCCCTGGTTTATTTTATTGGACAATGGTATTAGAAACAAAGACCTGGGTGCTAGCTGTGCTTATTGCTACAAGCATGTCATTGTTTCTAGGTTCTCTCAGCTGAAGCAACAAGAAAAAAATATATATATAGGTGTATCCTAACTTTGAATCTGTATAGATAAAGTTGGGAAGAACTTCTATTTTTATCAATATTTGATTTTCCAATCCATAAACTACAAATATCTCATATTTATTTGAATTTTCCTTGATTCCTTTCATCAATGTTTTATAGTTTTCTGCATACACAACCTGTACATATTTTCTTGGATATATACCTAAGTAAAATTTTTTGTGCTATTGTATATGGTCTGTTTTTTTTTTTAATTTCAAGTTCCAATTGTTCATTGCTGCTACACAGGAAAACAACTGCCTTTTGTATATTAAGCTCGTGGCTCACAATTTTATGGGTTTTACCTGCAAACATGCCACCAGGTACTCACAAGAACCAAAAAAAATCACCATGTGTTTGACTGATGGATGGGGAAAGTGATCATTTTGGAATGCTAAAACAAAAGCCTACTCTCCAATGAAAAAGCCATTACTAAAGTTGTATCTCCCATAGGCAGGAGAGTAATACCCAACTCCAGCCCCCTCTAGCCTTTCATCTAAGTGGTGAAGAAAATGAATGTTAAGAATTACTTGTGAAGGTCACTCCAGGGACATAGGCCCATTAAAAGACTAAGATTTGATCATAAGATTATACAGCATTTTCCTCCCCAACTCTTTTTCATCACATTAACAATAAAACAGTGAATTATAGCTGAAAGAGCTGCAAAGCTCAGACTCCATGAAAGATCTTAAGAAAACCCAAAGCCAACAGAGAAAACAAAAACAAGGACACTAGTGAAATTTATTATCTGACACCAATAGCTACAACAAATATTGAACATAGTCCAACTGCTAGTCAGATTCAGATAAATCTCACACTAATGTCCTATTAACTTCAATACCTGTTACCCAATATATCATGTCCACATTACAACAAAAATTTGTAAGGCATTCTAAAAGGCATGAAAAAAATTGAATTGAATTCAAAATTTAAAAAGAAATACACTGTCAAAGAAACAAAAACTGAGGTAATTCATAGCCAGCAGACCTTCCTGAAAAGAAATGTGAAAAGAAGTTCTTCAGAGAGAAGGGAAATATGTCAGAAACTCAGATCTACACTTTCACAAAAGAAAAAGTATCAGAGAGAAAATAACTGAAGGTAAAATAAAACCTTTTATTATTATTCTTAATTGTTCTAATACATAATATTTTTTCAAAGTGATAACAGTAACTTTGTATACATTCTATCTAATTCTACTTCTTTATTAGTTCCAGGAGATTTTTGGTAAATTGTTTGGTATTTTTCTACACAGATAATCATGTCATCTGCAATTGAAGATGGTTTTACTTCTTTTCCAATCTGTATATTTTCTATTTATTTTTTCTTGTCTTATTGCATTAGCTAGAACTTTCAGTAACATATTAACAGCAGAGGTGAGAGAAGACATTCTTGCCTTGTTCCTAATCTAAGGGAAAAAGCATGCACTGTCCCAACAATAAGCATGATGTTATATGTTGGTCTTTTGTAGACTGTTTTATGAACTTAAGAAATTTTTCCTGAATCTTGTTTGCTGAGAGTTTTTATTATGAATGGGAATTGGATTTTCTCAAATGTTTGTGTTGTGTCAGTTGATATGATGCTTTACACTGATTAATTTTTAAATGTTGAACCAGCCTGGCACACCTGGAATAAATCTCCCTTTTTCAGGATTTATCATTCTGTTTATACATTGTTGGATTTTGTTTACTACTATTTTGTTGATTTTCTTGAACAGTTTTTGTCTGGCTAGGCATAGTGGCTCACGTCTGTAATTTCAACACTTTGGGAGGCCAAGACTGGCAGATCACCTGAGCTCAGGCGTCCAAGACCAACCTGGCTAACACGGTGAAACCCCGTCTCTATTAAAAATACAAAAAAACTAGCTGGGTGTAGTGTCAGGAGCCTGTAGTCCCAACTTCTCAGGAGGCTGAGGCACAAGAATCGCTTGATCCACGGAGGCAGAGGTTGCAGTAAGTGGAGATCACACCACTGTACTCCAGCCTGAGCAACAGAGCGAGAGGCTGTCTAAAAACACACACACACACACACACACACACACACACACACGCACACACACAAAAAGTAGATTTTGTGTCTGTGCTCATGAGAGATAACGGATTATAGTTTAGTTTTCAGGAGTTTTAAAATAAACTTTAAGATATTTCTTTCAAGTACATTCTACATTATTCAGTTAGCCATTTTATACAAAGATTAAGCTATGTACAGTCCTTCAACAGAGAATCCAATGGGATATGGTATAAAATGGAAGGCAGGGCAGTCTGATTATTATGACTTAGGAAGTAGTCAAACCCATATATTTATTTTTTAAATTACCATTATGATAAAAAATTAATAATCTTCCTTACATAGAAGTTGCTTTTTATTTCAGTTTAGCTCTCTAAATAATAAAGTTGATTAATCCAAAAGTGAAGAAATTTTTTAAGCCATCTTTTTTAAAATAAAAATATTTTAGCTCTTTGAGCACTTTTTGCAAGGAGATAGTGATATATCAAAATAAAAACTCTAAAATATACATTCCCTTTGAGACAGTATTTGGAACACTTGGGTCAAAGAAGGAAAAAATATAAGAATGGAACAGAATCCTGAAATTGAAATTTGGAGAAACAATTTTAGCACTAAATCTTAATTACATATATGCAAATATTTGTGTGTGCATGCACATATATACATATATCTGGGTTTTTTTCAAGGATATGTATATTCTAAACCTATTACAACAAGTTTAATAAAGTTTTCTATGAAATTAGTTACATGTGCTAAAATCTTATATATTTTATCTTTGTTCCTAAACTGATGAGTCCATCATTAATTTTCCTACCAAACAATATTTGAGAAATGATTTCTACTTTAAGTGAATTTCATCACATGTAGAAGAATTATAATCTTCCTTTTTAAAGGAAGAACTATAGTAAAATTAAAAGCTTTAGTGTGAAAATTAGTGATTCATTTCCCAGCAACTCCTATTATTGTCAGTTAGGAATAATTGAAATTCACAATGTTTTTTATGATTTATATTGATATCTTAGGTACTTAGAATGGACTTGGAAGGAAATGTTTTGAGAATAGCTAGCATTAGCTAATGTTATGTATCTCCCTATCCAGAAGAGAAAAAGAGTACAAAAATTGAATAAATTTAAGGACTCTTAGCCCTCATTTTAGTTACCTTGAGTATAATCCAGTTACAAACATCATGCAACACATGCTGTATACTTAGTATAAGATGTTTATTTGTCTTTGTCAGTCTGGTCATGCAAAAGAACTGTTAAGAATTATAGAAACAGTCAGGCACGGTGGCTCACGCCTGTAATCTCAGCACTTTGGGAGGCTGAGGTGGGAGGATCACCTGAGGTCAGAATTTTGAGACCAGCCTGGCCAACATGGTGAAACTCTGTCTCTACTAAAAATAGAAAAATTAGCCGGGCATGGTGGCAGGCACCTGTAATCCCAGCTCCTTAGGAGGCTAAGGCATGAGAATCGCTTGAACCCAGGAGGCAGAGATTGCAGTGAGCCGAGATCACGGAATTGAACTCCAGCCTGGGCGACAGAGTGAGACTGTCGAAAAAAAAAAAAAAGAATTATAGAAACAAACTCATCAATGAAGTCTCCTAACAATCTCTTCTTATGTGTTTACAACTTACTTATCATATCACATCTCCAAATAGTAATTTGTTCTAATTGTTGGTGAGGCATTCAGAAGTCTACTTTATATCTCTGTCCACCTATAAGATTCCAAATTAAGTTCATTTGTGCTATGATTACATGAGAGAGAATAAATCCCAAACAGGGATATTTTATTGGAGAGCATTTAAAAATATAAGATAGTATACTGAAATGTTAAGAATGCAAAGCATTTGATTTCAAATCAATGTTTGGCAACAATAGCACTTCAATACCACGAAATCTGCCTGCAACTAACAGCACAGATGTGTAAACAATTAGAATAGTAGTATTTCTAAGATGCTTCTTTCAATGTCAATATATTGTTTCCTTCTTCCCCTTCTATGAAAATTTCCTTTTACCTTTTTGTCTAACCTCCTGATTTCCTTTTGTGTCCATACAGAGAGACTGAATGCCAAGAATAAAATTGACATCAAATCTCACACGGCTTTCCTAACACTCGAGAATAGCCCACTATTAAAAAGAAATGGCTGCACTCCCAAATACAGTTTTACAGATATATTGCCTGACACTTCAGATATGTTCAGTTCTACAACGATTCTGCCTGCAGACTGTTCACTTTACTTCTTCTTTTTTCCCTCCTCTATAGTGTTTCTCTCCCTTTTCAACATTTCCCTCTGGCTTCATTTTAGCATGTTCTCTTGAGTTCTCACCTTTTCCCCTCTTTCCGTTCTCATTTTTTCTTTTATAGTTTGTTGCTCTCTCGTGCTCTGCTGGGATTCTTCCCAGTCACTCTTTGGCTTCATGTACATGCAATACGGCAAACTAAATCTGACAAAAGCCTGTCTATTGTTCATCACAGCACCTTTTCAACACATACCAAGTGGTGGGAGAGCTAGGGAATGGAGCTTCCTTGCATGTTAGTATGAATTATTCGGAATGTTATCATTGAAGGCTAGTGATTCCACATTTTCCATTTTAGCACTTGTTTCTGACACCTACGTCAGGCAAATTTTGTAAGCTTCAGATACAATCCTTTGATCTTCTGTAATGAAGGCAGCCATAAATAAAGAAGAAAAAGTTTGGTTCATATGTAAGATTTAGAGGGTAATAAAATATTGATATACTTATATATGTCCTACATATACAAGGAGTTGTCCTTGTGAAAACTGTATATAAAAGGTAAAGCATATAAGTATAAATATTCAATGTGGTCATAGCAAAGAAAAAAGTATCTCTCTAGATTCAAAATCCTGAAAAAAAGACAACAAAACAAAAATAAATAAATAAATAAATAAATAAATAAATAAATAAATAAATCATGGAAGAGGTGGTAGAATTAAGACCTGAATTATGATAACAGAATTAGAATGGGAATTCCAACCATACATATCAACAATAAGCTAAAATTTTACTTTTGTGCTAGTCAAAACAATAGAAATAGTCTGCTTGTGTTTCTGCAACTAGAACCTCTTAGTCATTAAAATAAATCTATTTTACTAGTCATGTGAGGGGCTTCCAAGTGCAAAGTGTACCAAAACAAGATGAAAATACTGATCATGCGTAGAGGTGACATCTCTGGTGTCCTGACCTCTGAAATTTTATGATATATTCAGGACACATACCAATGGAAATTTCTGTATCTATTTGATCTATTCTATGGTTTGCTATCTATTTTCCTAAGTGAAGAAGTTAGGGAAGTGGGTGAAAAGAATGAGGGTCAGAAAAATACACCTAAAAATAAAACTTAAATAGATCCCCTTTGTAAAGTACATGAAACAACTCACAGGGCCATGAGAATACACTATCGGTCAATCTTAACCTTACTTTATTGTGAGGTTTTGTGCTATCAGCTTCACTGACAACTAGACTAGCAATCAACAGTATCAATCTACAGTTATTTGTTTTCTTAGCAGTTTCATGAGTATCGGTTTTTAAGCAGAATACTAGCAGGAGTTATTTTTCAAGATCGCTTTAAAGCTACCAAAGGTGCCTTTTGCCAGAGTAAAGCTAATTAACTCTAAAATATCAAGTCAATATTCTTATTAATATTGTATTCATTATTTGTGGGGAAGAAATCAATGTGTCCTGATCAAAATGTAAATATGCACAGTGATGCACTCACACCGGGGAACTTACTATTTTTTCTAAGCAAGCACATTTGAATCAGTAAGACATGTATTAGGCAATTGTCTTTGAATTCACTGAAACAATGCCCTCTTTGCTATGACTATGTCTAGTAAGATTTTTTTTTTGATGTTTTAGAACTGAATTTATTCTCAGCATAGATGAGCCTGGTGCCACCTTGAATATCCACCATTCACAGACTGCCACTTTGGCCATGGGAACTCACATGTGCAACTTGTTTCCATGACAGCCTGTAAATTACAGGTCCCAAAGTCAGCTGCAAGGAAAAGAGAAAATAAATTAAAAAAAAAAAAAGACCCTCGCCCTAGTTTTTGGCAGACTTATCCCGATATTGCTGATGGTTTTTTGGTTTGGTTTCAGAAACCACCTCTGTCATAAGGGAGACACTGAGATTGTGCTTTCTCCTGCAAATTAGCAATTAGAGGCAAGCTGTCTTCTGTTAGGCAAAAATCTAATACAAGACTCAGGGAGGAAAGAAAGTATTTTCAAAAGCCATGCACTAAATGAGGGTCTCTTCAGGAACAGGCCACCCTGTCCTACTGTTATCTACTTTTAAATCTCTTCTTATGGACAACAACTGCTTCAATGAAGGCAAAAGCATCAAAACTCTAACTTTCTAATAAATAATATGAATATAAAACATTTGAATATTCAGAAAAAGTCTAAAATTCAAATAAAGTTTAAGACCTACAATCATCTTTAATTTATGTTTTGACAAACAAACATATTTCTCTGTAGGACTATCTACTCTGGCAGCAAACCAAATGTTGAAACCAAAACAATTCAAATATGGCATTTTGTAGGCAGGGCAGTTAGAAGCTGACATGAACCCAGCATCTACCTCCACCCTATATATTATCATATTTAATTTTCACACGGGTCCTAGAAGGGACCCGTTTTATTTCCATTTTCCAGTTGAGTTGAGGAAACTAAGGCTCAGAAGTGCTAAGTAAATTGTTCAGATCAATAAGTGGAACAATCAGAATTCAAAGTAAAAGAATCAACTCAAATTCATCCACTCAACCTACCATTGTCATCTTTAAATATGGAATTCAGAGGAAAAGTATTATTTACTTTTATACTTTGAAAAAAACTCTCTTCAAGGTAATTTATATATTAGGATTTCTTTTACCATACACATATACTTTGCAATAAAAGACAATATAAACAGATTAATGCACCCAGCTGCCTGGCTTATTATGGATTTCACTCATTTAAAAAAAAAGGAAAGGAAATAAATGCAGTCATTTGCCACATAGCAGGCCACTGTGCTTTTATTATCAATTCAGTTTCTGTGCATGTAGTTCAAGGACAACATAGGGCCTGATATAGAGCCCCTTCTTGATTTATACTTTATTTCCTGTAGAACAACAGATTACAGTATGCCTTTGTTTCAGATAAAATCAGGACGTATAATGCAGTGTTGTACTGACCTCCACATGATGCTAACATTTTTGCTTCAAATTTATACAGATTTTAAATTTATTGCCAAGTCTGAAAAGCCTGGCTAAGATAGTCATTGTGTCATACTAGCTTTCTGTTTGGATCCTGTGTTGATCCAAACATCACCCCTAAATAATCATAAAAGCAGTGCTTTTGCAGATGTATTTGTGCTGGTCTGAGTTCTTAGTTCATTTAAATAACAATGAGCTGAAAATGTACTGAAAATCATACCTCAGCTTTTTGTCCTTTTCAGCATGTTTCACTAAATTATACTTTAGTTTAAGTCTATGTAGGTAAGTATATCCAGTTACCATGAGCCAATTTAATTATATTTTGTACTTGCCCAATTACTGACTTGAAGCAAGTCTTTGACTAATAATAACGACTGCACATTACTAATGTTAGCAAAGGAAGTCCTGAAAGCACTATTCTTTCTCTGTCTATATGGTGGACGTTCCTTTTCTGTTGCTTAAAATATTTCTTTGAATTCTTACTGCATACACATAAAATTCAAATTCCCACTGCATTCAAGGTCTTCACAAGTAGTCTTCCCCCTGACCATTCACTCTTCTATGAATCAGAACACAAATGTTAAAGCCTATTAGATCTGAATTCAATTACTGGCTCTGCCATTTTCTATCTATATATATTTAGAAAATTTTTATTTTTGTTTTTACATTACCTGGGCTGATTCCTTTTTTGCAAAATAAGGGTAATAGTACTTGACTCACAATTTTCGTGAAGAGTAAATGTGAAAAAAACATAAAACACTGAGAACAGTGATTGGTCATTTCTGCCAATGCAAGACTTCATCCAGTCCTTCCCCACCCACCCCCAGTTCTTTACCAAATTTTCTATGTACCCTGTCCTTTAGCAACACTGAACAATTTACCTTTCCCCAAATAATAAATGTATTCCTCATCCATTCCTTGACACATAGCACACACACTGCCTGGAATAGCCTTTATACCCTTCTTTTTGCTGCACTACTCCTTTGTTTCTGGGTATCACTTCCTTTATGACACCTTTCTTGACCTCTCTCCCCATGAGTTCCGAGTTCTTATTCTGTATGAGTTCTTGTTTTGAACTCATGCAGAATTTTGTACATACTTCAATTATAACACTTAGGATTCTAATTGCATGTTTCTAATAGTACTTCCCTAATAACCTGAGCCCTTCAAGGGCAGAGTTGGCACCTAAACCATCATTGTGTCCCGAGTACCTGGTGTTTAATATTTGTTGAATAAAATAATTATGTGCTTAATAAATCATGAACACTATATTCCACTTCTTTTTAATGTGCATTCCTATCCACACCTAAAACAAGACTGCTCTATTGTTCTAGGACTTGAACTTAATAAGAACTGGACAGATATCTGTGTGATTAAACATAATGTGAACAACAGGAACTGGTGTTGTTAAGGGTGAAATATTGATCAGTGAAGACAGGAGGAGAATTAAGTGGACTTAAAAAGAGAAGGGAACATGGGAACACCACCTTCATTTATCATTCCCATTTTAATTTTACTTTTGGAAACTTGACAAATGTGTAGCAGTAATGTCTTGCAGAAGACAGATTTCATTTTCCCCTTTTAACTTTTAAAAATCAGGCTCTAGGAGGTAAAAATCCAATCGGAAAATGTGTTTTGTGTTAAAATTATGAGATGGATTGTCTTAAAAAGCCTTGGTGACGAAAAACAGCATAAGAGAAGGTAGACAGTTTGCCTGAGATAAGAACATCAACCTTCCTTCTTAAAAACAATAAGAGGAGTCCAGAGTTGAAATTAGAAAGCACTCTGGAGGGAGAGCTATATATTCCCATGTCAAAAGTCTCTTCTGGTCTGCTGACCCAGGCAGATGCTCAGGTTGATTGACTTCATCTCTATCACCAGCAAATGGAAAGGCAGTGGTGACTAATGACTTTCCCAATATCCATCTTTTTTATTTAAAGAAGTTAGAAATATACCTTGACATAGATGCTGAAGTAGGTATCATCTGTCTTTTTGGCCTGATATAAGGTTCATAGTTTCTTAAGAATCTGAAGTCAAGGGAATTGAAAAATTGAAATAGGTGTTCTCAAAGATCAGATTAAAATTTTTTGCTGACTCCTAATCGTCTTGAGATCTTGAAATTTCTTTAAGTGTGTACAAGAGATAGCAGTAACTAAGGTGGGAAATGTATATGCTTACATCTATACTATAAGTTTTATGTAGAATTGAGATATGAGATGTATTTATATATTGTGTAGTGTACTCAAAGTTATTTCTACTATCTGACCACTAGTAGTATATTTGTAAGTTGGTTTTATGAGACATGTATCTTAACACATGCCTTCTCCCTGAAATTGTCTCTCTCTCTCTCTCTCTCTCACACACACACACACACACAACACATACACACACACAAACTCTTCTGTCTCTTTCTTTCCAATTCATCCTGTACAAAAAATAAAACTTTGTAAAATACAGATCTAATAATCTCCTATCTCTGCTTAAAATTTAATGATAAAATTTAGTCCAACTTTAAAAACCATTAGCAAACACTTCCAATTAAGTTTGTCCCATTTTTCTTCTCTATTCTCAAACAATGATCTGTGCTTCAAACAAATCTGACTAGACACTAACTTCTGGTGCTTTGAAGAACTCAGTTTCTGTAATACTCTCAGCTGCTCATTTAGCTGCTCATTTACTTCTTTCTATTTCCTGTAATTGTCTGCATTTAAAACAACTTTATACAATTATTAAATGAATTCATTTTTGCATAGAATTTCAAATAAGTTAGGTGATGATAAATTTCCTCTGGACTTCTGTCCAATTCCTCTTCCCTTTCCAGATGGGCAACCACTGTTGCATACTCTTTTATATACAGTGACATAAATATGTGTAAAACATATAACCACATGTCATATATACTTATAAAATATATGACTTTTGTATGATTACATGTTTGTTTTACATAAATAATATCATACATCAATACTTTTTAAATTTTTTTCTTATCCATTTTCCTGAGGATCTTTTCACATCAGTAATAAAGATTTCCTATGATCAAAGTTTCAGTATATAAAATCAATGTATAAAAATCAGTAGCATTTCTATACACCAATAACATCCAGGCTGAGAGTCAAATAAAGAACACAATCTCACTTAGAATAGACACAAAGAAAATAAAATACCTAGGAATGCAGCTAACCAAGAAAGTGAAAGATCTTTATAAGAAGAACCATAAAACACTGCTGAAAGAAAGCAGAGATGGAACAAATACATGGAAAAACACCCCATGCTCACGGAATTAAAAGACTCGATATCATTAAAATGGTCATATTGCCCAAAGCAATTTACAGATTTGATGCTATTCCTACCAAACTACCAACATCATTCTTCACAGAATTAGAAAAAAATTATTCTAAAATTCATATGGAACCAAAAAAGAGCCTGAATAGCTAAAGCAATCCTGAGCAAAAAGAACAGAGCCAGTCATCACACTGCCTGACTGCAAACTATACTATAAAGCTACAAAATATATAGCTACATACACAAACAGCAGGGTACTGATTCAAAAATAGACGCAGAGACCAATGGAACAGAAAAGTCAGAAATAAAGCTGTGCGCCTATAACCATCTGATCGTCCATAAGGCCATCAAAAACAAGCAATGAAGGAAGAATTCCATATTCTATAAATATTGCAGGGCCAACTGGCTAGCTATGGCTATGTATGGAAGAATGAAACTAGACCCTTACCTTTTACCGTATTTAAAAACAAACCCAAGATGGATTTTAAATGTCAGACCTCAAACTATAAAAATCCTAGAAGAAACTCTAGGAAATAACCTTCTCAACATCAGCCTTGGCAAAGAATTTATGGCCAAGTCTTCAAAAGCAATTGCAACAAAAACAAAAATAGACAAATGGAACTTAATTAAATGAAAGCGCTTCTGCACTGCAAAAGAAATCATCAACAGACTAATCAGACAACCTACAGAATGGGAGAAAACATTCACAAACTATGCATCTGACAAAGGTTCACTATCCAGAATCTATAGAGAACTTAAACAAATCAACAAGCAAAACACAAATAACCCCATTAAAAATGTGCAAAAGTCATGAACAGATACTTTTCAAAAGAAGACATATAAGCAGTCAACAAACTTTTCAAAAATGATCATCATGAATCATCAGAGAAATACAAATCAAAACTACAATAAGATACCATCTCACACCAATCAGAAAGTCTATTATTAAAAAGTCAAAAAAACAACAGATGCCTACAAGGCTGCAGGGAAAAGGGGACACTTATATGCTGTTGGTGGAAATGTAAATTAGTTCAGCTACTGTGGAAAGCAGTTTGGAGATTTCTCAAAAAACTTAGTACTAATGTAAGACCCAGCAATCCCATTACTGGGTATATACACAAGGGAATACAGATCATTATACCAAAAGACACACATAATCATATGTTCATCACCATGCTATTCACAATAGCAAAGACATGGAATCAACCTAAGCACCCATCAATGGTGAATTGGATAAAGAAAATGTGGTAGATATACACCTTGGAATACCACACAGACATAAAAAAATAAGGAAATCATGTCCTTTTCAGCAACATGGATGGAGCTTGAGACTATAATCCTAAGAAAATTAGCACAGGAACAGAAAACCAAATGTCACATGCTCTCATTTATAAATGTGAGCTAAACATTTAGCACACACAGACATAAACATGGGAACATTAGACTGCAAACTACTAGAGAGAGGAAGAAGGGAGGAGGTTGTGGGTTAAAAAAACACTACCTATTGAGTACTATGCTCACTACCTGGGTCCAATATACTCAGGTAAAAATTTTATGAATGTACCCCTTGCATTTAAAATAAATGCTGAAATATTAAAAAGTGAATAAATAAATAAAAGGTTTGCTATAATCTTCCAAGTGTGACCATGCCATGCTTTATTTTACCATCCGCCCCCAATGGATAGTTGGATTACCTGCGTTTTTGCCATTGAAAAAAAATGCTACAAAAACCCAATGAACATGACTGTGCACTATGTTTTCTAAGATACTGCTATAGTTTTAATGTGTCCCCCAGAATTCATGTGTTAAATATTAGTCCCTAATGCAACAGCATTGGGAGGTGGGGCCTAGGGGAAGTGTTTAGATTATGAGGGCTCTGCCTTCATGAATAGATTAATGTAACTATAAAAAGGGCTTGTGGCAATGGGTTGTCTCCTTTTTATTACTTTTATTTTTAAGTTCTGGGGCACATGTGCAGGATGTGCAGGTTTGTTACATAGGTAAACGTGTGCCATGGTGGTTTGCTGCAGCTAACAACCCATCACCTAAGTATTAAGCCCAGCATGCGGGTTCCCTCTCTTGCACTCTTGCCCTTTTGCCTTCCGCCATGTAATGATGTAACAAAAAAGTTGTCAGATACATGTTGGTGCCTTGATTTAGACTTCTAGCCTCCAAAATTGGAGCCAGTAAGTTTCTTTTCATCATAACTTGCCCAGTCTCAGGTATCCTGTTATATCAGCACAAAACAGACTAAGACAGAAACTGGTACCAGAGAAGTGGAGTGTTGCTATAATAAATACTTGAAAATGTGGAAGCAGCTATGGAACTACATATAATGGATAAAGGCTGGAAGAATTTAGAGGAGCAGGCTAGAAAATGCCTATATTGCCGTGAACATAGCAATAATGGCACTTGTGGTGAGGGATTAGAAGAAGAGGAGAACTGTAGGGAAAGTATAAAATGTCTTAAAAATTACTTAGGTGGTTATAAACAGAATATTGGTAGAAATACGGACAGTAGAGGCCATTCTGATGAGGTCTTCGACAGAAATGAGGAAGAAAGTATTGGAAACTGGGGGAAGGCCATCCTTGTTGTAAAGTGGCAAAGTACTTGGCTGCATTATGTCTATGTCGTGGGCTTTATGGAAGGCAGAATTTAAGAGAATTGAGCTAGGATATCTGGCAGAAGAAATCTCTAAGCAGCAAATATGGAAGGGACTGTGTGGCTTCTCTTAACTGCATATAGTAAAATGTGAGAAGACAGAAATGATTTAAAGATGGAATTAATAATTAAAAGGGCAGAACATAGAGATTTGGAAAATCCCAAGCATGAACATGTAAACAATGAAAAGGCATATTTAGAAGAGAAAATCAAGGGATTGAGCAGTGACTGTTTGGTAAGGAGATTACCATAGAGAGAAGAAAGCCCGGTGCCATTCATCAAGACAATGGGAGAATTATCCTAAAAGCATTTCAGAGATCTTCAAGGCTTCCAAAACCTTTCTACCCTCAAGTCCCTTGCACTTTGAGGTTTTGAGGGAGAGACCTAGGAAACTCTTGAGAATTTGGGTTTCATTGCCCAGAGCTGTCTCAGTCCTCTGCTCCCACATTCTGGTGCTGCTATCTTCAGCCACCTCAGCTGTGGCTCAAGCAGGCCCAGGTGTAACTCTGGCCCTGTGGAGGCATGGCTGCCTCCACCTAGATTTCAAAGGATGCTTCAGAGGCCTGCTGCTTGGGCAGAGCCACTGCAAAGAGTCCTGACTAGGGTAATGCCTTGTAGAGCCATCAGATGAGGGCCACTCCTAAGACTTTAGACCTGTAGTGCCACCAGCATGCCACATCAGCCTACAGAGGTGCAGGCATGAGACTCCAACCCATGAGAGCTGCTCAGTGAGATGAGTTCAGCAAAGGCACAGGGTTAGAGCTGCCTGAGGCCTTGGGGGCCCAACTCCAGTTTTAATGTGCCTAGAAGACAGGACACAAAGTCAAAGATTATTCTCAAGCCTTAAGATTTAGTATTGTCTACCCTATTAGCTTCTGAACTTGGTTGGAACCTGTTACTCCATTCTTCTTGCCTATTTCTCCTTTCGGAATGGAAAAATCTGTCCTATGCCTGTCCCACCACTGTATTTTGAAAGCAAATAACTTGTTTTAATTTCACAGGTTTACATCTAGAACATAATTTGCATCAGGATGAATGGTACTGTGTCTCAGTCATACAATGCTTAGATTTGAGACTTTGGACTTACATTTTAAAGTTGCTGCTGAAAGACATTGAGACTTTCAGGGCTTTGAGATGGAATGAATGAATTTTTCATATGAGAAGAGCATGAATTTTGGGTACCTGGGCAGAATAGTGTGTTTTGAATGTGCGCCCCAGAATTCATCTGTTGGAAATTTGATCTCCAATGCAACAGTGTTGGGAGGTGGCGCCTAATGGGAGGTGTTTAGATTATGAGGGCTCTTCCCTCATGAATTGATTAATGCCATTATAAAAAGGGCCCTCTGGAGTGAGTTTGCTCTCTTGTGCTCTCACCCTTCCACATTTTGTCATGTGATGACATAGCAAAAACAGCCTCACCAGATGTCTGTGCCTTGACCTTCTCGGCCTCCAGAACTGTGAACCAATAAATTTTCATTCATTATAAATTACCCAATCTCAGATATTCTGTTACAGCAGCACAAAATGGACTAAAACGGAAGCTGTATTAGCTTGAGCTAACATCACAAAATACCACAAACTGTGTAGCTTAAACAAGAGAAAATTATTTTTCACAGTTCTGGAGACTGGAAGTCTGAGATCATGGTGACAGCATTGTTGGGTTCTTGGTAAGGGCCCTCTACCTGGCTTGCAGATAGCTAATTCCACCATGAGGTTCCCACTCTCATGACCTAATTATTTCCCAAAGGCACCATCTCCAAATACCATCACATTGGGGATTAGGGTTTTAACATATGAACTTTGGGGACACACATGCAGTCTATAGTAGATATATGGCTAAGAAAGGAGTTTCAGAGAGGAAAGTTCTATCAGATTGTCTCCTGAAAGACTGTCTCCATTTACATGCTCACCTAAGTGCTTGAAACTGCCCATTATCCTCTAACAACGCTACCACCTATCCTATACCAGCACTGGCACCCTGACCTGAGACTTTCAGCCTCCAGAACTGTGAAAAATAAATTTCTCTTGTTTAAGCCACCCACTGTGTGGTATTTTGTTATGTCAGCTCAAGCTAATACAGCTTGTTTTAGTCGATTTTGTGCCGTTACAACAGAATACCTGAGACTAGGTAATTTAAAATGAATGGAAATTTACTGTTTCATAGTTCTGAAGGCTGGAGAGTTCAAGATCAAGGCATTGACATCTGGGGAGGGCCTTTGTGCTGTGTTATCATATGGCAATGGTAATCTATCTTTTTCCTAATTTTTGAGAAAAATTTGCTATCTCATTTTTTAATTTGTGTCTTCCAGTTACTACTGAAGTTTTAAAAGAGGAACAATATTTATTGGCCATTTGTACTTTCTCTTTTTTTAATTACCTGCTCATTTTCTTTGCTAATTTTCCTATTGGGCTTTTGCTTTTTTTTAATTTGAAGCAGTTTTTTATATCTTCTGAACACTAATCCACTGTAATCTTTATGAAAGCAAAGGGTTTTTTTATCTGTTTTGCTCATTACCAGACCCTAGGGTCTAAAAGAGCACATGGTACATAGTATGTGCTTGATCAATGTTTACTGAAAGAATGAAAAGGCATATAAATAAATAAAGAGGTTGTAAACATTTTCCATTGTACTGCTTAACTTGACATTATTGTATCAAATTTAAATAAAAGTTTTAAATTTGAATATGATCACATTTATCAATCTCCTTACTAAATATCCTACATTTTGTGTTTAATCTTATAACCATTCCCACCATGGGTTAAAAACAGATTATCCTTCATCCACCTCAAACTATATGCTTCTGTTTTATTCATTTTCACTCAATTTAATACATTCTTCTCGATTCTGATGTCTATAGTCTCAATGAAACAGTAACTTTATCAATATTTATCAATTAAGAAGTTGGTCCATATGCAACATCATAAGACGAATTTTAGAGAATATCATATTCCAGGCCAGGCACAGTGGCTCACACCTGTAATCCCAGCACTTTGGGAGGCCAACAGAGGTGAATTTCTTGAGCTCAGGAGTTTGAGACCAATCTGGGCAACTTGGCAAAACCCCATCTCTACAAAAAAAAATTTTTTTTAATTAGCCAGGTGCAGTGGCACACCTGAGGTGAGAGGATTACTTGAGCCTGGGAGGTCAAGGCTACAGTGAGCCATGTTTGCACCATTGCACTCCAGCCTGGATGACAAAAGAATATCATACTCCAGATACACTGAATTTTTTAATTTCTGAAAGACTTAAAATACAATGTAACTACCCACTATCTTGAGTCACTGCCCTTCAAAAACACATTCAAACATGGGTCAGTAAATGAGGTAATGTTTCTGTAACAGTGTCCTCTCAGCAATCTCAAGAAAAGGGCTCTAGGAAGTATGTTTTGGAAGGCAGCACACTATTTTCATTTCTATTCAATTTATTATTTAAAATTAAATTACACAGTACAATGGGCCCTGGATAAAATATTCTAAATAAGATAGAGAATGTCAACACCACAATTCTTTGTATGCATGCTAAGCAAAACTCAGAGAAGCAAAAACCCTAGGATATGATGTCAAACAAAGCTTTCAGAAACATAGCAACAATACGTTTGGAAAATAAAAAGTAAGATGTACACACCAAAGTAACCTTGGGAGCTAAAACAAAAAAGGCCCCTGTGAATGTTTCTTATCACAGCAATATTCTCTGGAAAGGATGGACAGTCATATCTGTCTTTTTGACCACATTCCCACTCCTGAGTAGTAGCATTGTCAACATATAATATGAAAGCCATCAATTCATTCTGACAGTGTTTGCACTTCAGGTGGTAAGAAACTCTGTCGGCTAAAAGAAGGAAAAAGAAAGAAATCAGGGAGTAATATCTTGGACCAAGATTAGAAGTATAGCAAACTATGAAAGAAGACAGTTGCAAATAAAAAGTGTTCTAAATAAGAGAGAACTGAACTTTTAAAGAACAGAGGCAATAGGCCTATGCTCATTTAAATAAAAGCAAAATCCTCTATGATTTATTACTAAACTTTGCATACAAAGATGGTTGTGACAGATTATAGTACTCATTTTACTCACCCACTGAATAGGCCAGCATATGACTAAGAACATTTTCCTTGTTGAATATTCATCTACATAGTACTTTTCTTCTATAAGCAGAAATTATTAATCAAATATAGCCTCCTTAATTCTGAACTATAATTGTGCAGAAGTCAGTGGAGGAAGTCATTTCACAGAGAAGTAACTCAGACACAGGGATATAAAATGAACCCTCCAAGAAGATTCTGGACGCATACATAGTACATAACAGAGTACAAACAAAAGTTTACTAGTTGCTTGTCAGGCATTTATTGATCATGAGTCTAGCAAGCCTTTGTTGTAGATTCAAAAATTAAGACTAAAATTCTACCCTTAATATATTTAACGCTTGTTGATGACCCATAATTCACACACAGATACACACACCAAATCAAAAAGCAAAGGTAGTGTGCATTTAAGAGAGTGATTTAGCAAGTAAAGTATCATTTTCACCAGTTTTAAAATCAAGTCTGCTTCTAATTCAGCTTTACAAATGGAAAGTATATAAATTGGAGTAATCCTAAATCACCACAAAAACTTAAAAACACAAAATGTCTTACTTTGGAAAATGAAATTTAGACTCAACAAATTTTATTGGACAACTACTGTATGCTAAGTGATAAGAATACAAAACTATGTTGGAAAATGGTCCTTGTTATTAAGATGCTCTCGATCTAATGAAGTCTACTCGGAGGGAATTTAGAGAATTCAAGACCCAGTGGACCACAGAAGAGAGATATTAAACTATACTTGAACCATAGAGGATCTGAAAGAAAAACCTTCTAATATTGAGGACACCATATGCCAAAATACAGGATATGAATAGCATTTGGTAACAGTTCTAAAATGGTGGTGTAGCACGTTGAAGGAGTAGGACATTAAAACTGAGGAATTAGTTAAGGGATTTATGTGTCACATATGAGAATTCAGAATGTATTTAATAGCCTCTGGCCACACTATTTTTTCCGTGAAGCAAAAAGTTTCTCCTTCAATACTCTACACCCACAATCTTATTCTCGTGTCACCTTCCTACTTTCCAATCTTCATTGCACTGGATGACTAATCCCTTTTAGCCTCTGGCTACATTCACTATTATCACCTCCCTGACCATCACTCACCTCTCATTCTCTGGCTTCAGCTCTATTGGCAGCTTCCTCAATACTATCAATGCACTCCCATCCCTAAGAGAAAAACACATGCATATACACACAATAAAAATGATTACGATGACACCTTTGGGGCTGCCTCTCTTCTCTCTCTTCATAATGAAGAATGTCAACTCCTCAAAGAAGCAGTCTAAATTCCCTCTCACACAATACACCTCACAGTCACTCTTCAACCTACTACCACACAGTGTCTATTCCCACTCCTCCACCAACACTCTTCTGACAGTGGTCTACATTCTATTCCATTTCTTTTCTGCACTTGTCATTGCTAATCACTCCCTTGAGTTCACTCAGCCATCATGCCTGTGCCTTTCCCAAAATATCCTATTGCTTTCTCCTTTCCTTCATCTGTTTCTTTTCACTCTCCTTTGCTGACTATAATTCTTCAAACTACTACTGTGTTCCCTCCTCTAAACTAAAAGAAACCCCTCAGTTAATATTTGAAATTTTTTTAATTAGCCTTAAGTCACACTTATTAATTGTCTTCTATGGGTCACAACTATCTTTCACTCTTTGCCAAAGGAGACAGGTGGTGTTCATGATAACCCATAAGTAATTTTCTATTGCATAACAAATAAAGATTAAACCCTTGGCCAAGCATCAGAAGGCTTCTGCTCTGGGCCCCTACCATCCTTAAGTCACTGAAGCTCCTTTCCACCCACTCACCACACAGACTGATTACAATCAACTTATTATATAAAAAGTGAAAAATGAAGCAGAAAAAAAGATAGACTTGGCCTGAGTACAAACCTATTCTGTAATATCTTTAGCAAGTTAATTTATCTACCTAAACCTAAATGTTGTTACTTGTACAACTGTGATGATACCTAATTCTTAGTCTCCTGATAGAATTAGAATTCTCCTTGTAGAATGACTGGCATAAAATGTGCCCATCCAATATTTATTTTTATAATGACAGTAATATTTGTTACTATGGTCAGGCACTATATATATGTTAGCTCATTTAATCCTCTCAGAAACCTTTTCAGGGAGGTAGTCTTACTACCCTCCATTAGAAACAAGGAAACAAAGGCACAGTGAGGTTAACTAACATGCCCAGGAGCCCAAAATTAGAAAGTGGTATAGAGTCATATTTTAGAGCAACTTACAGGGAGCCTTGAGTGTATCAGTCCTTAAATAAATCATTAAACCCAAACAGAATACTGTTCTCTACTATGCCTTTGCTCGTACAGTTCCCTTATTGAAAATTCTTACTTTGTCTCTTCCCCACTTCATATTCCACTGAATATTCCCTTCTTTCACAGCCCATCTCAAATCCTCTTTGATACCCCTCCCTTACTCCAATAACATCTTACTGGTAATTTTTATATCACTTACCAAACTAACTTGCATCTCACATCTTTGCGCTTATGTCTGTTTTTGCAATTATCTTGAGAGATCTGAGGAGATACAGATCATGTTTGTTTTCTGTTTTTCATCTTTGAACCTTCTGTAGCAATTTGGCACAATGCATTGCCTTACATAAGTGTTCAATAAATCTTTGTCGAATTCACTTTTAAGATTACCAGAATAAATCTCCCAGGATTTTATCAGAATAACATATTTTTACTTTAAAAAATCATGATATCTCCCTTCAAACCCCTGTGATATTTATGCATTCTCAGACTAGGCCGGATTTTTCAAGCAGATGCAACTGGGAGACTGGTCCTGGAGGTTTACTTTTTTATGTGATTTTAGTGGTAGGTCTCTTCCCTAGTCAAAAAGAGTACTGCATCAGATTTTATTGTCCATGTGAATGCATTCATTGAAAAGCAGACCTCCAAAAGGACGGGTTGAACCATGCTGGGGTTCAATCATGCACAGATAAGTGAGCACTTATTACAAAACATCTACTTAGTTTCCTGGTATGTATGAGCCTTTCCAGTGTGCACAATGTACTAAAAGCTGCTGAACACAAAAATGTTCTTTATCCAAGTAACACCAGTGCCATCTGCAGGAAGAGCTCAAGCAGCAGTTGTGTTTTTATTTATATATTTCTCTTCAGTCTCATCAGAAGGCTTTGTCATGCTTTCACCTGATGAAAACCATTATAGAGCTCACCTACTATGGAAGGTTTCCATCCATTTTCCTTGGTGGATGGAGAAGGTATTGTTAAAATATAAGAAACCATAACATAGCTGAACTAGAACAATCTAGTTCATTCAGTTCCCCCAATAACACTAGAAATGAACAAACAACCTCAAACAGTGATAAACAAAAGGGTCAAAATCACTACTTAAAACAAAATCAAGAGCAATGAAATGATGAGAGTGAACATTCTGTGCATATGAGCACTAATGCTAAAATCATCTCAACAAGGAGGAAAAAAGAGAGGAAAAGCATCTACTGAGATAATGTCTATTTCTAAAGATAAACTGGTCATGATCCTCAAAAGCATGAATTATAATATTGAACTAGTGTTTATCAAGAATAATCTACATCATTCCACTTGATCAAATAAATCAGGTTTTTAAACTACCAATAAATTAAATAGTAATTAATGGTCATCTGTAGCAGAACCACTCTAACTGAACCTACTTATATAAGCAAAAGCAAATTTCATAAGACCATGCCAAAATGAACAAGTCATACTACATCTCATTTCTTTCATATTTCTCTTCAAATACATTCGTTACAGTTTTAGTTTTGTTTTGCGATGGATGAATATAATTGTGTACCTCAGTCTGGTGGGGTCCCCAACTGTGATCCACAAAGGAGAAAAATTAATCAAGTTTTATCACATGTGAAGCATGCCAAATCCCCAAGGGTGTGCAAGACTAGCAAACTTTCCCACTTTTTTCTCATGTTTTCTGCCACTCTTTTTAAAAGAGGCCTCTCAACTGAACTTCTACATTATGAATGCTTAACTCTGCACACAGAGTAGAAAATCATTTCTATGTCTATTGAGAAATGCTGAAAATTCTATCCTGCCCAACATATCTCTCCCATCGGCCTACCAGAAAATCTAACTGGAGAGTATGTATCTAACAATTACCATGAGGAAACAACTTTAAAGATCATAGATGCTACTTATAGTTGCTGAAGTTAACATAGCTGCAGAACTATGTAAATAGCCCTGAAAATCAAGATTGAATTGAAATAATCAAGCTTAAATTTGTAATGTAGCCTAATTACTATGACAATATAGGTAGTATTGATAATTGCTAGAATATGCCTATATTTCAAATATAACAATAAAATGAGTTACCCTATTAAAAAAATAAACAAGCAAACAAAAAACTCACTGGGCAGGTAGAAGGTAATTGCAATAGAAATAAATCAACAAAGAATAATATTTTACTAGAAATTAGTGGGAGGAAGGAAATGAAAAGTATTGTGATGATATTGTAACATTCCTGAGCCCATTCTAGAATACACTACTGAGACAGGACACAAAATAGACACAGTTGTAACGAGGAACTCTATCAGCTCTTGTGTCTCATTCAGTGCAAACAAAGCATGGGACAAGTCTTCATAGTTTGAGCACCAAGAAAGTCTAGAAACTATTTAGAGACTTAAGGTCAAAAAATGAATGGGTTGGTGAAGCAAAAGTGACATGAATTTAAGGGTTCAAGGGCCCTGTCACACAGAGGCTTACGATGACCAGCAAGGGAAAGGTTGAAGTAGACGGCTTGATATAAGTCCAGACTAGAGTAAGTCAAGAATTTGAAAGTTCAGAGAGATATTCAGGATTTTATGGCATGCAATCCTAAAAGGGAAGATAGGCTGAAAGGACTAGAGCCTCCCCAGGAATCATTCTGATTATTCAATCAAAAATTATTTTATTAGGAAAGAAGAATGTGAAGCACCAAAATAAACACAGTGGTCCAAGCAAGTCATAGACTAAGACAGTAACACATGGTTTTAATGACTACATGACAAAAATTAAAATATTATCCCAGACTAGGAACAAAGGCATAACCACCAAGGGTAAATATGAAAGCTGCAAAGCACTTTGTTTAACAAAGAGGATAAGAAGAAACAAAATTTATACAATATGTATATTAACGCTGACTGAAATGAAGATAAGGATTCCAAAGCCCCATTCCCTCCCACTACCACACAGGTGCCTGAAAGGGCTCTTGGAGCACTGTCTGAAACCGCAGGCCTAGGTCAATGTACAAGTTGCTCTGCATAGATAAAAAGACCTTTCTCCTAATGCTATCCCTCCCCGCTCCCCTCACCCCACAACAGTCCCCAGAGTGTGATGTTCCCCTTCCTGTGTCCATGTGTTCTCGTTGTTCAATTCCCACCTATGAGTGAGAACATGCAGTGTTTGGTTTTTTGTCCTTGCGATAGTTTACTGAGAATGATGATTTCCAATTTCATCCATGTCCCTACAAAGGACATGAACTCATCCTTTTTTATGGCTGCATAGTATTCCATGGTGTATATGTGCCACATTTTCTTAATCCAGTCTATCGTTGTTGGACATTTGGGTTGGTTCCAAGTCTTTGCTATTGTGAATAGTGCTGCAATAAACATACGTGTGCATGTGTCTTTATAGCAGCATGATTTATAGTCCTTTGGGTATATACCCAGTAATGGGATGGCTGGGTCAAATGGTATTTCTAGTTCTAGATCCCTGAGGAATCACCACACTGACTTCCACAATGGTTGAACTAGTTTAGAGTCCCACCAACAGTGTAAAAGTGTTCCTGTTTCTCCACATCCTCTCCAGCACCTGTTGTTTCCTTACTTTTTAATGATTGCCATTCTAACTGGTGTGAGATGGTATCTCATTGTGGTTTTGATTTGCATTTCTCTGATGGCCAGTGATGATGAGCATTTTTTCATGTGTCTTTTGGCTGCATAAATGTCTTCTTTTCAGAAGTGTCTGTTCATATCCTTTGCCCACTTTTTGATGGGGTTGTTTGTTTTTTTCTTGTAAATTTGTTTGAGTTCATTGTAGATTCTGGATATTAGCCCTTTGTCAGATGAGTAGGTTGTGAAAATGTTCTCCCATTTTGTAGGTTGCCTGTTCACTCTGATGGTAGTTTCTTTTGCTGTGCAGAAGTTCTTTAGTTTAATTAGATCCCATTTGTCAATTTTGGCTTTTGGTGTTTTAGACATGAAGTCCTTGCCCATGCCTATGTCCTGAATGGTAATGCCTAGGTTTTCTTCTAGGGTTTTTATGGTTTTAGGTCTAACGTTTAAGTCTTTAATCCATCTTGAATTAATTTTTGTATAAGGTGTAAGGAAGGGATCCAGTTTCAGCTTTCTACATATGGCTAGCCAGTTTTCCCAGCACCATTTATTAAATAGGGAATTCTTTCCCCATTGCTTGTTTTTCTCAGGTTTGTCAAAGACCAGATAGTTGTAGATATGCAGCGTTATTTCTGAGGGCTCTGTTCTGTTCCATTGATCTATATCTCTGTTTTGGTACCAGTACCATGCTGTTTTGGTTACTGTAGCTTTGTAGTATAGTTTGAAGTCAGGTAGTGTGATGCCTCCAGCTTTGTTCTTTTGGCTTAGGATTGACTTGGCAATGCGGGCTCTTTTTTGGTTCCATATGAACTTTAAAGTAGTTTTCTCCAATTCTGTGAAGAAAGGCATTGGTAGCTTGATGGGGATGGCATTGAATCTATAAATTACCTTGGGCAGTATGGCCATTTTCACGATATTGATTATTCGTACCCATGAGCATGGAATGTTCTTCCATTTCTTTGTATCCTCTTTTATTTCATTGAGCAGTGGCTTGTAGTTCTCCTTGAAGAGGTCCTTCACATCCCTTGTAAGTTGGATTCCTAAGTATTTTATTCTCTTTGAAGCAATTGTGAATGGGAGTTCACTCATGATTTGGCTCTCTGACTGTTATTGGTGTATAAGAATGCTTGTGATTTTTGTACATTGATTTTGTATCCTGAGACTTTGCTGAAGTTGCTTATCAGCTTAAGGAGATTTTGGGCTGAGACAATGGGGTTTTCTAGATATACAATCATGTCGTCTGCAAACAGGGACAATTTGACTTCCTCTTTTCCTAATTGAATACCCTTTATTTCCTTCTCCTGCCTAATTGCCCTGGCCAGAACTTCCAACAGTATGTTGAATAGGAGTGGTGGGAGAGGGCATCCCTGTCTTGTGCCAATTTTCAAAGGGAATGCTTCCAGTTTTTGCCCATTCAGTATGATATTGGCTGTGGGTTTGTCATAGACAGCTCTTATTATTTTGAGATACGTCCCATCAATACCTAATTTCTTGAGAGTTTTTAGCATGAAGGTTGTTGAATTTTGTCAAAGGCCTTTTCTGCATCTATTGAGATAATCATGTGGTTTTTGTCTTTGGTTCTGTTTATATGCTGGATTACATTTATTGATTTGCGTATATTGAACCAGCCTTGCATCCCAGGGATGAAGCCCACTTGATCATGGTGGATAAGCTTTTTGATGTGCTGCTGGATTTGGTTTGCCAGTATTTTACTGAGGATTTTTGCATCAATGTTCATCAAGGATATTGGTCTAAAATTCTCTTTTTTGGTGGTGTCTCTGCCCGGCTTTGGTATCAGGATGATGCTGGCCTCATAAAATGAGTTAGGGAGGATTCCCTCTTTTTCTATTGATTGGAATAGTTTCAGAAGGAATGGTACCAGTTCCTCCTTGTACCTCTGGTAGAATTCGGCTGTGAATCCATCTGGTCCTGGACTCTTTTTGGTTGGTAAATGACGAGTTAATGGGTGCAGCACACCAGCATGGCACATGTATACATATGTAACTAACCTGCACATTGTGCACATGTACCCTAAAACTTAAAGTATAATAATAATAAAAAAAGAAATAAGAATTAGTAAATTTTCCTAAAACTATATAATTATGTTTTCTTTCCTAGAGAACAAAATTTCTATGACTCAGATAAAGCATTGGGATTGTATTTGTTTTGTATTACTGTGTAATAAATTATCACAAATTTAATGGGAAAAAAAGTTGGCATTCTTACTTCTATTGTAGCCTTATTTGAATTTAGTACTTGACCATACATCAACATGTGTGTGAAAATTTTGGTTGATATATGAAACATTCAGAATTTGAATCAGACGAACCCAGTGAAAAGCCCTCAGGGAAAATGATTGTATTAACATTGTATAGTTGGCAATCAGGTAACAATTCGAATGAGACAGTGATATCCATTGGGGTCTGGCTTCTTAAAGAAAGCATTACCTGTTCCGTCTTCTGTAACAAGAGCATGCACTTTGAGGAACCTCCAGTATCCTTCCCGATTTAACTCAAAAGCATCTCTGTTAATAAACTTGGAGACACAGCCATCTTTCCCTAACTGAAAAGAATAATGAAAAAAAGTTATATTTTAAAAGAAGACTGTAAGAAATAGCTATAATAGGGAAAATGTGTGACCTCACTGAAGCAACTTTAAGAATATTGTGGCCGGGCGCGGTGGCTCACGCCTGTAATCCCAGCACTTTGGGAGGCCGAGACGGGCGGATCACGAGGTCAGGAGATCGAGACCATCCTGGCTAACACGGTGAAACCCCGTCTCTACTAAAAATACAAAAAAAAATTAGCCGGGCATGGTGACGCGCGCCTGTAGTCCCAGCTACACGGGAGGCTGAGGCAGGAGAATGGCGTGAACCCGGGAGGCGGAGCTTGCAGTGAGTCGAGATAACGCCACTGCACTCCAGCCTGGGCGACAGAGCAAAACTCCATCTCAAAAAAAAAAAAAAAAAAAAAAAAAGAATATTGTATTACCCGTTTTAGTTTTATAAAATAATCCATTGTTTCTATAATTATATTTTCAGTTCATGTATTTACTATAACTACATGTGAATTTTTAATAAATATTAACTCTTACAATATTGTGTTTTTAAAAAAAAAAAAAAAACACCTTTCTTATTTCATTCCTGACCCACATTTCCAGCTCTCCTGCTCCCTACACGCATACATGTGCATGCACACATGCATCACCCACACTGCCCTGCTGATTTCTGCCCTTGTGCAGTTCCTCACTTCCTCCTCTACGCTATTTTCTTTCAAGTGAATTGTATTCTCCTACAGGAAGCTGAAGACTATAAAATAAACTAGCATGAACAGAACCAGAATTTACACTTTCATGTGTAATCATTTCCCTCACAGAAAAGTCTTTCTGGTGCTTCCATTCAAACATTTTCTGACCTTATCAGTGAGGTAAAGAAGCTAGGAGAGTGTTCTCTAGTTTATGTTTGGTTGCAAACAGATGGGCAATGACAATGTATACGTCCAACATTTAATTCACTATTAAGTTTTCCAGCTGCATGATCAAACGTGGAAGTTTACCTATCTAATTAAACACTGTTGGGGTTTTCCTCCTGAAGACTCAGCCTGATGCTCTTTTTACCAAGCAGAGACAGGCACTCCAACAAGTAGCAGGCAATATAAAAGGAATGGGCTCCACAGGGCAGCATAGCTTCCAACTTTAGTGTGAACTTCTGAGTTACAGAAGAATTAGTGAGAAATGTTCTCTCATAGCATTATTAATTAATTACACTACTAATTCTTTAATTTGTTCTATATTTACAAAGACCAGAGCCACTGTGAACACATTTTCTGCCTAACTCAGAAACTCAAAGCAAGTGTTTCTCCTATGGTTCTTCTGTCTAAATTCCTTGCCTTGAATAAAACGCAAAAACTTGCAAAATTCACCTTTATCAGGTCCACAAGAGTGCTTCTCTTTTAAGGTAGTTTAACCCAAAGAGTCTTTAGAAGAGGTCCTTTCCTGATTCTGTTTCCAAAGAAGATTACTAATATGGACAGATCTAAAGCCCATAAAGAGGCTTAGAAACATATTTGAACAAAATCTTTATTGAGACCTTAATATGTAAACGTTGTGTAATCTCACAAGATCAACATTTCGAGAGATTTCAATTCTTAAAAATTTTTTAAATTATGTAGTTATGTAGAACTTTTGCTGGTAGTTACTAAAACAAAGCCAATTTATTGCCTACACTACCGAGCATACTATGTCCTAGCAATAAAGAAAACTATGCCAAAAATGCATCGATGTTGTTCTTTCATGAGACAAATTCTACAGAGACTAATAATAGGTGAGTAAAAATTAAACTATGTGAAAATTAAGAGAAGCAATGAAAGTTTCAAAAAGTGTGAAACGTCTTCGACTTTGTATTATCTAGCTAAGGTGTAGACAGTAAAACGACCAAAAATATATCAGAAAGGTTTTATATTATTAACTGAGTGAACATTTGACTATAAAGCCAAGTCAAATTAACAGATAAAATAATGGGAGGAGTAAAATGATCCACCAAATAGAGAAGGAGAAAAAAGACAAAGGCTGAAAGATAATGCAATAGTAATTAGTCAATTAAATAAACTTAGTACACTACATTTTTATGTAGATAAATGCAGAACATGAGAAGAGAATTTCAATATGCATAAATGTATTTACTCTAAACAGATCATATCAACTATGATGTATAGGCATACCTCCTTTCATTGCACTTCACAGATATTCAGCTTTTTACAAATTGAAGTTTTGTGGCAACTCAGCCTTAAGCCAAGCCGATCAGTGCCATTTTTTCAACATGTGCACACTTCCTGTCTCTGTGTCACATTCTGGTAATTCTCACAATAATTCCAACATTTTCATTACTATTATGTATAATGATCTGTGGGCAGTGATCTTTGATGACACTATTACAATTGTTTGTGGGAGCCATGAATGATGTCCATATAGAATGAGGAACTTCATAAATGTTGAGTGTGTTCTGACTGTTCCACCTACCGGCTGTTCCCCCATCTGTCTCCCTCTCCTCAGGCCTCTCTATTCCCTGGAACACAACACTATTGAAATTAGGCCACTTAATAACCCTACAATAGCCCCTAAGTGTTCAAGTGAAAGGGAGGGTTGCACATCTCTCACCTTAAATCAAAGCTAGAAATAAGCTTAATAGGGATGGCATGTCGAAAACCAAGATAAGCAGAAAGCTAGGCCTCTTGCACCAAACACCCAAGTTCAGAATGCAAAGAAAAAGTTCTTAAAATAAATTCAGGCCAGGCACGGTGGCTCACGCCTGTAATCCCAGCACTTTGGGAAGCCGAGGCAGGTGGATCACGAGGTCAGGAGTTCAAGACCAGCCTGGCCAAGATGGTGAAACCCCATCTCTACTGAAAATACAAAAATTAGCCGGGCGTGGTGGCAAACGCCTGTAATCCCAGCTACTCAGAAGGCTGAGGCAAGGAATTGCTTGAACCCGGGAGGCAGAGGTTACAGTGAGCCAAGATCACACAACTGCGCTCTAGCCTGGATGACAAAGCGAGACTCCGTCTCAAAAAAAATTAAATAAATAAAATAAAATAAATAAATTCTAAGTGCTACTCCAGTAAATACAAATAATAAGAAAGCAAAACAACCATATTACTGATATGGAGAAAGTTTTAGCGGTCTAGATGGAAAATCAAACCAGCCACATTTCCTTAAGCCAAAGTCCAATCCAGTGCAAGTCTCTAACTCTCTTCAATTCAGTCAAGGCTGAGAGAGGTGAGGAAGGTGCAAAAGAAAAGTATGAAGCTAGCACAGGTTGGTTCTTGAGGTTTAAGGAAAGAAGCCATCTTCGTATCATACAAGTGCAAGTTAAGCAACAGGTGCTGATGCAGAAGTTGCAGCAAGTTATCCCAAAAAATCTAGCTAAGATCATTGATGAAGGTGGCTACACTAAACAATAGATTTTTAATATAGACAAAACAGCCTTCGATTGGAAGAAGATGTTGTCTAGGACTTTCATAGCTAAAGAAGAGAAGTCAATGCCTGGATTTAAAGCTTCAAATAACAGGCCGACTCTCTTGATAGGGGCTAATGCAGCTTGTGACCTGAAGTTGATGCAATGCTCATTTACCATTCTGAAAATCCTAGGGCCCTTAAAAATTAACCTAAATCTACTCTGCATGTGCTCTGTAAACAGAAAAACAAAGCCTGGATGACCACACATCTGATTACAGGATGGTCTCCTGAATATTTTTAAGCCCACTATGGAGACCTACTGCTTAGAAAAAAGATTTTTTTTCAAAATGTTACTGCTCATTGACAATATACCTTGTTACCCAAGGGTTCTGATGGAGGGGTACAAGAAGATTAATGTTGTTTTCATACCTGCTAATACAATATCCATTCTTCAGCCCATGGATCCAGGAGGAATTTTGACTTTCCAATATTATAATTTAAGACATACACTTTGTAAAGCTATAGTTGCCCTAGATAGAAAACTACGGGAAAGCCTGGGTGTGAGGCTCAAATATCGGTGTTTACCAATCCCTCCAAGAGAGTCCTATGCATGCCAGTTTGCAAACCGCCACACTAGGGTAACTGGTCTCAGCCACACACAAACTGTTAGAAAACCAGTTGTCTTTCACAAACCTTTGGTCCTTTATGTTAGGCCTGTCCAACCAGGACTCTATCTTTCTTAAAGGTCATTTTATTTCTTAAGCCCTATTTCCTGCCTTTGCCGCTGAACCTTGACTGAGGCTACCCTAATATTCTCCAATTTGAAATCCTGGGGAGAAGGAATGAGAAAAATTCATTATTCAAGCAACTATTTTGTCTCCTGCAATTACTTTCTTCACACCTGGTATTTCAGGGAATAGCCACTTAAGTCCCTCACAAAATTTTTTGCAACCAAATCCTAGAACACATGCTACAAATGTCACCTATATTTGTATAACAAACAAAGCCAGGCAAGTAATCCTTTATAAATCAAAGAAAATCCAGGCAAAATTATACCCTCAAACAAATTTTTTTTTTTTGCAGTGGAAGTACATGATTCCCACTTGTCCTTCAGCTCTAGGAAAGCTTTTGTATTTTGTCAAAATGGCAGGCCGAAGGCCCAAGAGGCTGAATCTGTACATCAACCCTCTTTTTCTTACATATTTGCCCACAAATGCCACCAGCAACAAATTAGTGGTAATAGGATTATTTAATCTCATCAAATACTTTGTAAATACTTAGATATTTTCTCTATCCCTTATATACCTTCAAAGAGACAAATGTTCTACACACATGAACAATTTATTGTATAATTTCATAAGTCAGTAATAACATGTAGTCAATATCAATCCATAAAGAAAACTGAAAAACACTTACCTTATTTTAATATAAAGAGAAAAAACTCAAGAGTTTGATTATTGCTTTCTTCAAACTGCATTAGCTGGAACAATATAATAAATGAAATTCCAAATTAATTGTCAATTCAAAGTTTCCACAGAGGATAGCCAGTAAGGGCATACATTTTTTATAGCTACTAAAATAGTCAATGTTGCTTTGCCTTTATGTAAAATTTAGCAAATGACAAATTTCTTTGAAGTAGAAACTTTAGAGTATACTGCAGTATGTGTGTTACTATTAATGGTGATATAATCTTATGAATACTGCTAAGGATTTTAAGCATCAACTGTACAAATAGCCAGGTCAGCCATCAAGTGTACCAAGATGACCTTCCATTGAGACTCTGCCACACTCAGCCGTCCCAGATCGAAGACTACTATTTTGTGGCTATTGGCCCTCTTCACCTAGCAACACAGTTGGTTGCTTTAAAGATTTACAGTCATGTGTCACTTAACAACGGGGATACATTCTGAGAAATGCATTGTTAGGCAATTTCTTCATTATGCAAACATCATGGAGTATACTCACACAAACCTAGGTAGTATAATTTACACACTTAGGCTATATAGTATATATTGCTCCTAGGCTATAAATCTGTACAGCAAATTAAATACTGTAGGGAATGTTGCAGGCAATTGTGTGCAATGGTAAGTATTTGTGCATCTAAACATATCTAAACATAGAAAATGTACAGTTAAAATATGATATTATAACCTTATGGGACCACCGTCGTATGTGCGGTCAGTCCGTCATTGAATAAAATGCCATTCTGCAGCACATGACTGTACTTTATTTCTTTGTGTGACCATTAGGGTAATTATAAACCATTATAAGCAAATATAATTTAGTTTTCTTATTTGTATAAACAATCCTGTATTCATTTGCTTAAATGCGAGCAATTTCAAGGGTTTTTTTAAAACTAAGTCAATTCAAGAAATCATGGGGATGAAGAATGGTAATGTACCATTAAATGAAATTGAAAGATAACAAAGTTCATTTTAATAAGTAATTTCCATTTCCTTCCACATCAAAACTTTTGCCAAAGCAATTAATAATAAAAAAATTAATTAACTGTATTCTTTCTTCAACCATATATGAAGTAGTCAAAGAGTAGGAGCAAGAAAGAGAAGGATGTGGTATCCGGACACATCAAAACAAACCACAGTCAGTGATCCAGAGTTGTTTACAAGCAGCAATTTAGTCTTTAATATTCCTGAAGTTCTATAAAACAGATTTCTGTCATAGATAGCTCTTATTATTTTGCGATACATTCCATCAATACCCAATTGATTGAGAGTTTTTAGCATGAAGGGTTGTTGAATTTTGCCAAAGGCCTTTTCTGCATCTATTGAGATAATCATGTGGTTTTTGTCTTTGGTTCTGTTTACATGCTGGATTACATTTATTGATTTGCGTATGTTGAACCAGCCTTGCATCCCAGGGATGAAGCCCACTTGATCATGGTGGATAAGCTTTTTGATGTGCTGCTGGATTCGGTTTGCCAGTATTTTATTGAGGATTTTTGACAAACCCACAGCCAATATCATACTGAATGGGCAAAAACTGGAAGCATTCCCTTGAAAACTGGTACAACACAGGGATGCCCTCTCTCACCACTCCTATTCAACATAGTGTTGGAAGTTCTGGCCAGGGCAATTAGGCAGGAGAAGGAAAGAAAGGGTATTCAATTAGGAAAAGAGGAAGTCAAATTGTCCCTGTCTGCAGATGACATGATTGTATATCTAGAAAACCCCATTGTCTCAGCCCAAAATCTCCTTAAGCTGATAAGCAACTTCAGCAAAGTCTCAGCATACAAAATCAATGTACAAAAATCACAAGCATTCTTATACACCAACAACAGACAAACAGAGAGCCAAATCATGAGTGAACTCCCATTCACAATTGCTTCAAAGAGAATAAAATACTTAGGAATCCAACTTACAAGGGATGTGAAGGACCTCTTCAAGGAGAACTACAAACCACTGCTCAATGAGATAAGAGAGGATACAAACAAATGGAAGAACATTCCATGTTCATGGATAGGAAGAATTAATATCATGAAAATGGCCATACTGCCCAAGGTAATTTATAGATTCAATGCCATCCCCATCAAGCTACCAATGACTTTCTTCACAGAATTGGAGAAAACTACTTTAAAGTTCATATGGAACCAAAAAAGAGCCTGCATCGCCAAGTCAATCCTAAGCCAAAAGAACAAAGCTGGAGGCATCATGCTACCCGACTTCAATCTATACTACAAGGCTACAGTAACCAAAACAGCATGGTACTGGTACCAAAACAGAGATATAGATCAATGGAACAGAACAGAGCCCTCAGAAATAATGCCGCATATGTACAACCATCTGATCTTTGACAAACCTTAGAAAAACAAGCAATGGGGAAAGGATTCCCTATTTAATAAATGGTGCTGGGAAAACTGGCTAGCCATATGTAGAAAGCTGAAACTGGATCCCTTCCTTACACCTTATACAAAAATTAATTCCAGATGGATTAAAGATTTACATGTTAGACCTAAAACCATAAAAACCCTAGAAGAAAACCTAGGCATTACCATTCAGGACACAGGCATGGGCAAGGACTTCATGTCTAAAACACCAAAAGCAATGGCAACAAAAGCCAAAATTGACAAATGGGATCTAATTAAACTAAAGAGCTTCTGCACAGCAAAAGAAACTACCATCAGAGTGAACAGGCTACCTACAGAATGGGAGAACATTTTCACAATCTACTCATCTGACAAAGGGCTGATATCCAGAATCTACAATGAACTCAAACAAATTTACAAGAAATAAACAAACAACCCCATCAAAAAGTGGGCGAAGTATATGAACAGACACTTCTCAAAAGAAGACATTTACACAGCCAAAAAACACATGAAAAAATGCTCATCATCACTGGCCATCAGAGAAATGCAAATCAAAACCACAATTAGATACCATCTCACACCAGTTAGAATGGCGATCATTAAAAAGTCAGGAAACAACAGGTGCTGGAGAGGATGTGGAGAAATAGGAACACTTTTACACTGTTGGTGGGACTCTAAACTAGTTCATCCATTGTGGATGTCAGTGTGGCGATTCCTCAGGGATCTAGAACTAGAAATACCATTTGACCCAGCCATCCCATTACTGGGTATATACTCAAAGGATTATAAATCAGCTGCTGTAAAGACACACGCACACGTATGTTTATTGCGGCACTATTCACAATAGCAAAGACTTGGAACCAACCCAAATGTCCAACAACGATAGACTGGATTAAGAAAATGTGGCACATATACACCATGGAATACTATGCAGCCATAAAAAATGAAGAGTTCATGTCCTTTGTAGGGACATGGATGAAACTGGAAACCGTCATTCTCAGCAAACTATCGCAAGGACAAAAAACCAAACACCACATGTTCTCACTCATAGGTGGGAATTGAACAATGAGAACACATGGACACAGGAAGGGGAACATCATACTCTGGGGACAGTTGTGGGGTCAGGGGAGGGGGGAGGGGGGAGGGATAACATTAGGAGATATACCTAATGCTAAATGACAAGTTAATGGGTGCAGCACACCAACATGGCACATGTATACATATGTAACAAACCTGCACATTGTGCACATGTACCCTAAAACTTAAAATATAATAATAATAAAATTAAAAAAAAAGAAAAAGAAGAAAAAAACAGATTTCTGTTCAAAATATTCCAAAGCACTGAATACTTTGTCATGGAATTATAAAAATGAAAGAGCCTGCACTTTGGAGACAGATCTGTACATAAATTCCCACTGTGTGACCTTTGGCAATTCAATCAATGTCATGAACATCATCATATTTACAAATTGTGCTCTACCTCATAGGGGCTGGTACAAGGGTTGTCTCAAATGAGAGAAGTAAAGTACATCATGTGGCATCTGGCACCTAATAGGCATTCAATAAATGGTAAATATCCACCTAATTTTGAATAGACTAAGCAACCCTTTCCATTCATACCTACCCTCTCGTAATCCACTCCCAATCACACTCACAAATAAAACGATTTTATAGTCTTTTATCTCTGCAATCTATATTAATTCTGAAACAAAAACATCTACATAAGCTAATGCACACTGCTGTCTTCACTACTTGAAAATTAGCCCGGAAGTTAGCAGGTAAGTGTTCCTTTTAGGTCACCAGTTAATACAGGTGTTTTAGGTTCCCAGAAACTTTGCTCTCAGAGGAAAAATATTTCAGAGAATCTAAGAGAGCATCAGGTCAACCATAATGAGTCTGAGACCAGATGCCAGTCATAATTTTAGGCCAGCTGTTACCTCCTTTCGATTTTGAACAAAGACCTACCCTCTGAGAGAATAGTTCTCCCTCTACCTAGGAATTGTTATCAGAGAGAACTATATGAAACAGATTTTGGCAAGATTTAAAAGTCTTACTGGGCTGTAGCACAACTGTAGTAGAATGAGGTGTTGGGTAGGATAGGGATTTGTCAAAACAGTATGTGAGTGAAGACAAGCCGAGAAGCACACTTGGTCAATGATAAAGTTGTTAAACTTAGAGAAACATAGTAGCTTCAAATAAGACTCTCAGAACTTCAATTAAGTTTTATCCCCACCTGACAGCATACTGTAGTAGGTAATACCCAAGCACTAAAATCAAACAAACAAGTTTGAAGCTCATCTCTGCTACACACCAACTGTGTGATTTGGGGCAATTTATGTACATCTTCTAAGTTTCATTTTTCTCCTCTTTAAATCATAGCACCTATGGCATAGGATTGCTGTGATTATTAATTGAGCTAATAATACAAATTTCTTAGCACTGTGCCTGAAATGTGATAGGGCTCAATAAATAGTGGCTGTAGTTATCACATGGCAGATATTAGCATAGACAGAAAACCTAAATTCATTGTGACTTAAATAAAAAATAAATTTATTTTTCCTCCACATAAAACAAGTGTTGAGATAGGAAGCCCAGGGCTCTTCCTATGTTTTGTTCCATGATCCTAGCAGTTACAGTCCATCTTCAAGGGCATTTAATGGTCAAAAATGACGACAGAAGCCCCAACCATCATAGTATATTCAACTTCTTAGAGACAGAAAAAAAGGGGAAAAAACAAAGTAACTAATCCCAAATGTCTGCTCAGTTTTCAGGCTCTTTCCCATTCTGCAACAACTTTCATCCAACATCTGCTTACATCTCATTGGCCAGAACTGAGTCAAGTCTTGTTGCAAAGGGAGGATAGAGAATACAGTATTTTAGACATCCAATAAAAATTAGAGTTCTGTAAAAATGAAGTGGAAATGTGGATTTGATAGAAAACAAGCGGAATCTGCCACAATGTGCTACATTGCTTCTCATTTATCATTCCATCTTTCACTGCCTTTACTAAATTGACCATCTCTTTCTTCTATCTGGAATAATTAATGAAGTACAGACCTCTTCTCCCTTGTGTTTTTCCTCCAAGGACCCCTCTAGTATTCATCATCTCTATGAGGAGTGGTTCAAAAATGTAAATCTCTCAAGTCAGAAGTCAGATGAAGGTTTCAAGTCTCTTGCAATCTAGATAAGGTTTGTTCAATTCCCAGTTTCAAGATTCAAAGCCTTATCCAAGACTAATGCCAACTCCCATAGCTTCTATTTTCCTGATGATGTTTGATTTCAAGCTTCTGTTACCCTGTGGACCCTCTTTTCTGAACAATTCCAACCCAGTTGTAACACCCAGAACCTTTCTTGATTAAAAAAAAAGATGATTGATTGATTGATTGAGCTACTGATATTGATATAGCTCTACCTGTCTACTCTCTTATACAATGTATTTGTAAGCAAAAATAGGCATGACTAGAAATCTGCAGAAAAACCAGAAACATGACAATAATTTCAAAGGTAATATTTGACATCCACCTTCTTAAAATGTCCATTATTCACCCTACAATGATAAATCTTCACTGGCCATGTCACCATTACAGCCCCTTTTCATATAGCTCCTGTGTCTACTGCCCTTTCCTCTCCTATCTGTAACCTTTTCATCTTGGGAGAAAAATGAACTCATCACGTTTTTTACCTCGATTATTGAGACAGCCTCCTAACTGGTCTCTCTGTTTCCACTTTGCCCTCCTGCTGTCCACTTCCATCATAGCAGTCAGAAAGGTCATTTGAAAACTCATCAGTTCATGCCACTCTTCTCTCAGAATCTTTTAATAGAGTCTCATCACACTATGAGTAAATGCCAAAGTATTCACAGTTTGTCCTACATAACCTGGTCCCCTAGAAACTATTAAACGAAAGATTTAATATAATTACCATTCTTGCCTTTTTCATCAGCTCCAGCCACAAAGGCCTCCTTGCTCGAAGACATTCCTCCCCAGAGTCTTCTTCCCCTCTGCTTACAAGAGTTTTCCCTCAGTTATCAATCTGCCTAATTCTCACACTTTCTTCAGGTTTCTCCTCAATTGCCACCTCAGTGAAACCTTCCTAGATACCATTTATTTATTTTTTTTATTTTACTTTAAGTTCTGGGATACATGTGCATCTGCACAGGTTTGTTACATAGGTATACATGTGCCACGGTGGTTTCCTGCACCTGTCAACCTGTCTTCTAGGTTTTAAGCCCCACATGTATTAGGTATTTGTTTTAATGCTCTCCCTCTCCTTGCTCCCCACCCCACAACCGGTCCCAGTGTGTGTTGTTCCCCTCACTTTGTCCATGTGTTATCATTGTTCAACTCCCACTTATGAGTGAGAACAAGCAGTGTTTGGTTTTCTGTTCTTGTGTAAGTTTGCTGAGGATGACGGCTTCCAGTTTGATCCATGTCTCTGCGAAGGACATGATCTCATTCTTTTTTATGGTTGCATGGTATTCCACGGTGTATATGTAGCAGCTTTTCTTTATCCCATCTATTATCGATGGGCATTTGGGTTGGTTCCCTGTCTTTGCTTTTGTAAATAGTGCTGCAATAAACATACATGTGCATGTATCTTTATAGTAGAATGATTTATAATCCTTTGGGTATATACCCAATAATGGGATTGCTGGGTCAAATGGTATTTCTGGTTCTAGATCCTTGAGGACTCACCACACTGTCTTCCACAATGGTTGAACTAATTTACGTTCCCACCAACAGTGTAAAAGCATTCCTATTTCTTCACAGCCTCGTCAGCATCTATTGTTTCCTGACTTTTTAAATAATCACCATTCTGACTGGCGTGAGACGGTATCTCATTGTGATTTGCATTTATTTAATGATCTTTTTGATTTTAATGAATTTATTTGATGAGCTTTTTTCATGTTTGTTGGCCACATAAATGTCTTCTTTTGAGAAATGTCTGTTCATATCCTTCACCCACTTTTTCACAGGGTTATTTGTTTTATTTGTTTTTTTCTTGCAAATTCCTTGTAGATTCTGGATATTAGACATTTGTCACATGGGTAGATTGCAAAAAATTTCTCCCATTCTGTAGGTTGCCTGTTCACTCTGATGATAGTTCTTTTGCTGTACAGAAGCTCTTTGTTTTAATTAGATCTCACTTGTCAATTTTTTGCTTTTGTTGCAATTGGTTTTGGTGTTTTCATCATGAAGTCTTTGCCCATGCCTATGTACTGAATGGTTTGCCTAGGTTTTCTTCTAGAGTTTTTTATGGTTTAGGGTTTTACTTTTAAGTCTTTGATCCATCTTAAGTTAATTTTTGTATAAGGTGTAAAGAAGGGGTCTAGTTTCAGTTTTTTGCATATGGCTAGCCAGTTTTCCCAGCACCATTTACTAAATAGGCAATCCTTTCCTCATTGCTTGTTTGTGTCAGGTTTGTCGAAGATCAGATGGCTGTAGACGTGTGGTGTTATTTCTGAGGCCTCTGTTCTGTTCCATTGGTCTATGTCTGTTTTGGTATCAGTACCATGCTGTTTTGGTTACTGTAGCCTTGTAGTATAGTTTGAAGTCAGGTAGAGTGATGCCTTTAGCTTTCTTCTTTTTGCTTCGGTTTGTCTTGGCTATATGGGCTCATTTTTTGTTCCACTGGAAATTTAAAGTCGTTTTTTCTAATTTTTTGAAGAAATCAATGGTAATTTGATGGGAATAGCACTGAATCTATAAATTACTTTGGGTAGTATGGCCATTTTCATGATATTAATTCTTCCTATCCATGAGCATGGAATGTTTTTCCATTTGTTTGTGTCCTCTCTTATTTCCTTGAATAGTGGTTTGTAGTTCTCCTTGAAGAGGTCCTTCACACACCTTGTAAGCTGTATCCCTAGGTATTTTACTCTCTTTGTAGCAATTGTGAATGGGAATTCATTCAGGATTTGGCTCTCTGCTTGTCTATTGTTGGTGTATTGGAATGCTTGTGATTTTTGCACACTGATTTTGTATTCTGAGACTTTGTTGAAGTTGCTTATCAGCTTAAGGAGTTTTTGGGCTGAGATGATGGGGTTTCTACACATAGGATCATGCCATCTGCAAACAGAGACAGTTTGACTTCCTCTTTTCCTATTTGAATATGCTTCATTTCTTCCCTTGCCTGATTGCCTGTGCCAGAACTTCCAATACTTTGTTGAACAGGAGTGATAAGAGAGGGCATCCTTGTCTTGTGCCAGTTTTCAAAGGGAATGCTTCCAGCTTTTGTCTATTCAGTGTGATATTGGCTATGGGTTTGTCGTAAATAGCTCTTATTATTTTGAGATATGTTCCATCAATACCTAGTTTATTGACAGTTTTTAACATGAAGGGATGTTGAATTTTTTCAAAAGCCTTTTCTACGTCTGTTGAGATAATCATGTGGTTTTGTCATTGGTTCTGTTTATGTGATGGATTACTTTTATTGATTTGTATATGTTGAACCAGCCTTGCATCCGAAGGATGAAGCTGACTTGATCGTGGTAGATAAGCTTTTTGATGTGCTGCTGCATTCGGTTTGCCAGTATTATATTGAGGATTTTTGCATCAATGTTCATTAGAGATATTGGCCTGAAGTTTTCTTTTTTTGTCTCTGCCAGGTTTTGGTATCAGGATGATGCTGGCCTCATAGAATGAGTTAGGGAGGAGTCCCTCCTTTTCAATTTTTTGGAATAGTTTCAGAAGGAATGGTACCAGCTCTTCTTTGTACCTCTGGTAGAATTCAACTGTGAATCTGTCTGGTCCTGGGCCTTTTTTGTTGGGTAGGCTATTAATTACTGCCTCAATTTCAGAACGTGTTATTGGCCTAGACACCATTTTTACAATAGCAACCCTTCACCTCCCAATTACTCATCCACTTTCCCTGCTTTATTTCTCTACAGAATACTTAACTTCTGACAGTCTATATAACTTGTTTATATATTTGCTTACTTTCTCTCCTGTCTAGAATGTAAACCTTGTGAGGGAAAAAACTGTAGTCTGTTTTGATTATGCTTTATCTTCACAATATCTGAAATACCATAAGTTCTCAATAAATATTCATTAAGTACACCATAAAAGGAGTTTTTTCACACAGATAATCTTAGCTATCATTTGTATGTTTGTAGTGATTGGGCTTCTGCAGGGATTCTCTTTACATCGATTGGCTTATTAAATTAGTTTTCCATATCAACTCCCTAAAATGAATGCTTTGCCAGCTCTTAAGAAAACAACTTTCCCAAGTTCCACTTTAAACCAAGTTCCACATGCCTTTGTGGAGGCCATGGAGGAGTATGGCTCAGATTCCAATTCGAGTAAGAACCAGCTACAAGGAATATAGGTAGCTGATGACCTTCACCTTTAGGATCCACCACAACAGCATTCATGCAGAAGTGACATCTCTCCTGATTGCTCCCTGCCAGTGACCAAACACAATGGGAATACTAGTGACAGGACACTCATGCTCAATGCAGGACTTCTCTGGTGGACAGTCTTTTCTCTGGAGCTCTCACTGGCCTTCCCAAAATTTGTTCAAGACAGCACTATGGTCAGGCTGTTCCTACCAATCCACCTCTTTTCCCTTTCTCTTTTTACAGGTATCACATCTGCATCTGTAAGATTCCCTATGGGCTCCTGCTCCCTCCGCTTTTATCTTTCACAGGTATTGACTTAATAATTCTCTTACACTTCAAATTCTGTCTTAGTGATTGCTTCTCAGAGAACTTGGTCTGATACAGTCATTTAGATATTTCCATTTGGATACGCCCGCTAGTCAGCTTAAATCCAGTATGTTCGAAACAAACTCAAGAAGGTCTCATGAAAGTTGGCCCAAAACATTGTGGATTAAGTTGAAACCACTTTCAACAGAGACCTGTTATGGTGGGGAAAATGATACAAAAAGTACTGAAAACTATCTCCTGGGACTAAGCACAGCAGCATCCCCAGACCAGAACACCTATAGTCAGATTGAACCACTCTGGTGATTGATTAATTAGATATGAAGAACATCTTCTAGATTTTGTACAAAAGGCCCCAGACACTTGAAGTAGCCATTTTTTTTTTTTTTGGAGTATAATGACTTTAAATAATCTTTGACCCTAAAATTTACTAAAAGTAACAGTAGAAAATTAAGGTTGAAAAGACCCAGTTTGGGATAATTTTTACCCTGAAGTTTATTAAAATATAATAATAGCAAAATATTAGCTTTTTAGAGGCCCAGGCATTTCTTCTATATTTTGGTTCAAAACAGATTATACAAGTAGTAAAGTATTTAAGCTGGTGAAATTTTTGCTCTTTTTTTCTTCAGCCAGAGCTGTGAGATATGGTTGATCTGTGTACTAAGTGGTTGAAACAGCTTCAAGTTACTGTTTAAATGTTGCTAAAGTTTCAAGATAGACATTTTTACCTTTACTTTAAAAATACAGGAATTTCTGATGTTAGCTCATTCTATGTCACAACGGGACATCATTTCTAAATAAAGACATTGAAAGAGTAAAAATAAGATGTTGCTGTTTCACAGGAGCATGATAGCAATGGTATAGCTACATGTCTCCCTGATGATTAGGAGGGCTCTTTCCTTCAGATGTAAAATTTTCTTTCGGTTTTTGCTTTTTGGCTCCTGAAAGAATTATTTCATCTGGAGAGGATATACCAATTCTGCAAACACAAGGAACAAGAAAAAAACGGGCTTCAGAAAAGTCTATAATCTTAAATATAATGAACTTGGCTAATTTTGGAGATAGCCATATAACAATGTAGACTAGAAGTATGAGCAGCTGACTTGAAATAACTCTACATCAAATAGCCACATGTTAAGTATCTTCAAAACACTTGGGCACTATTTCAAAGGAAATACAATTTTTAAATGCACAAACTAGATTATGTTTTCAGCATCATTTATTCCTTGCATATATCATCCTTTTTTTTTTTTTTTTTTTTTTTTTTTGAGACCAGATTTCCCTCTGTCACTCAGGCTGGAGTACACTGGCGTGATCTTGACTCATTGCAACCTCCACCTCCCAGACTCACATGATCCTCCCACCTCAGCCTCCTGAGTACCTGGGACTACAGGTGTGTGTCACTACACCCAGCTAATTTTTTGTACTTTTTATAAAGATGGGGTTTCACCATGTTGCCCAGGCTGGTCTCAAACGCATGGACTCAAGTAATCCACCTGCCTCAGCCTCTCAAAGTTTTAGGATTACTAGAGTGAGCCACAGCTCCCAGCCACTATCCAATTTTTCTTACCTTCCCCAGTTACCTCCATTAGAATGACCAATACCAATCAAAGTGATCTGAAGAATTTTGTCATCTACGATTCATATCTTAATAATTTTATCTTAATAAAGAGTTTTCATAATGCTCCTCAAAATTTTGTGATGATTTTTTTGATGGTAGAGAAGAAAAATTAACTCAGGCTGAAGCAAAGTTATGCTGTATCATTTTAGGAACACTCTTTCTGACTCAATGAAAACAGACTTAAACAATTCACACTAAGTACAATAATAGGAAATATTTGGTCACAGCCAGTAAAGAACAAGACCAGTCCAAATGGTATAAAGGCTTAGTGCCTAAAGTAGCTACTGCTAAAGTTCACCATGGAAAAACTAAACCAACAGAATTGAAGTTGGGACTTCTTTCACTAATAACTCTACTTATAGTATTGGCAATTTTAATACTTGCAAATCCACTACCAAAAATGTTAGTGCAACAAATTTGGTGACAGAGTATAATCACTCAAATTCCTCTTTTTCCTTTCCTTTTTTTTTCCTTTGTGTGTGTGTGTGTGTGTGTGTGTGTGTTTGTGTGAGAGACAGGGTCTTGCTCTGTCACCCAGGCTGGAGTGTTAGATTGCAGTGGTATGATCATAGCTCACTGTAGCCTCAACCTCCTGGGCTCAAGCAATTCTCCCACCTCAGCCTTCCAAGTAACTGGGACTACAAGTATGTGTGTGCCACCACACCCAACTAATTTTTTTACTTGTATTTGTAGAGACAGGGACTCACTACCTTGCCCAGGCTTGTTTTGAACTCCTGCGCTCAAGCGATCATTCTGTACTTTTCAACTGCATAATGTTTACTCTTTAACCCCCTTTGAACAATGAAGTCTGATTAATATAAGGCAAACTCACAGAAATACAAAAATGTAAGCTATTTTTAGAACCAAGAATTGATTTAGGAAACCAAACAAATGTCACATCCTTCCTACATATTTGGATTTCTATAATGGACTCAAAGTGAATTGGACTTTTGAGTTTTGTGGGATGATAGAATATTCCAAATCTTGGAAAAGCATAAGAAGACTCATTCAGGCAAATTACTGCCATGTGTTATTTCTTGCAGCAAATTTATTAATATGTTACCTTGAGCTTTCTGTGGTCTGTCCTTAGCAGGACCAATCTGCAAAATAGATTTTGCTCTTAAAATCCAAAACCCATACACTGATCATTTCTCTATACGCTTTTCTGTAATGAGACAGGTGCATCCCTGATTATTTACACAGAGTGCCAGGAAAAGGGAATTGTAGACAGGGCCAGCATGCCTTCCCAGAAATTCTTCAAGAGTATCATCATTGGCTGACCCCAGGGATCTGGAAATGGGATGAGAGTGAGCAGAAGGAGAGCAATATAAACACAAGGTTAGAATCATTACTATAAAAAGAACTGAAAAGACGGCTGACTACAGGCACCTGGCATTTGTCTCTCTCACAAAACAAAAAGGCAATAAATAAACAACTAAAATTCAACTAAAGTGTCTGAGGGAGAGTGCTAGAGTAGAGCAAGGGAGTGGCAAGATCGCTGCAGAATACACAGGCCCAGGATGGCAGCACAAAGAGAGGAGTGAGGCACCCTGCCTCTGGCAACCCAGTTCTCCCAATAGAATTGGTTCAGAGCTGGGTAGGGCTTCCCTTTGTGGAGAAAAGGTAAGCAGAAGACCCTCTACCAACCCCACTACCACCGCAGACACCAGTAGTCCTTACTACAAGAGAATTCCACTGTCCTCATAAGTCCTGAGCCCAGGTTGGAGAGTTTCCTGGAATTCACACAGCTGTGTTGCTCCAAATTAGGAGTACAAATTGTGTACCCTCCACCACCCCCATGGCAAAATATGTTGCAACATGATAGACACTGCCAGAGTGCACCCTGCTCTGGGAGCCAGTAGCCACTGTGCCTCTCCACCCTTGGAGCTCCAAGGTCACTCCATGAAGCCTACATGGCTGGCTGCAATACCGTAATTCCAAATTCTTAGAGCCTGAACCCAGGAATGGCTGTGACTCTGGTCCTGAACAGTGGGGAAGCCAAATCTGGACTGGCTAAGCTGCTATGCACCCATGTTTCCAGCCAGAGAAATAGCCGCTGGAGCTGCCTAGGGTATCCAAACTTAAGTTAGCCAAGCAGCCTCATGTCTGCATCCCTAGCTGGAACCCCAGGACCTGCCCTTAGTGAACCTTCCAAGAACCCCAGCTAGAGAAAAAGCCTAGTAGTCCTGTTTCCAGAAGACCTTCCCCCAAGGTGCCAAGACATCATGTGCCCACACATAGCAGAGAAACAGCCTGGCGAAATCACCCCCGATTGACACACTCACAATGCATCTGGCCTCCAGCATGCACATGCACAACCCCAGTTTGAGAAACAGCTTGCCTAGCCCATTCCCAAAAAAGGCACATGACCACCACTACACACTTCTATAGCATAGGACACTGAGGCACTTTCAAACATTGCTAACATGATTACAGCAGAAGAAATGGTATAGAGACTACACTACTCTGTTCTACCAGGACCAAAGCCAACACACCCCACTCAATCAAGATCCTAGGACACATCAATAAAAATAAGTTTTTCCCTACAAAAATGACTTCATAAAATTGGATGAGGCAACTATTCTACCAGATGTGGAGATATTAATGTAGAAATACAATAAACATGAAAAAGAAAGGAAACATGACACCTCCAAAAGAAAACAATAATCTCTAGTAGCAGACTCCAAAGAAAATGAAATATAAAAAATGCCAAAAAAGGAATTCCAAATAATAATCTTAAGAAAACTTGGCGAGATACAAAAGAATATAGGCAAATAATTCGATAAAATCAGGAATGCAATAGATGATATGAATGAGGAATTCAACAGAGATAGCTATCAAGAAAAAAAATCAGACAGAAATCTTGGAGCTGAGGAATTTAATTTAATTAATGAAATAAAAAAATACAATTGAGAGATTCAATAACAGAACAGACCAAGCAGAAGAAAGAACACCTGAACTTGAAGACAGTTTATTTGAAATAACACAGGCAAACAAGAAAAAAAGGATGAAGAAAATATACAGAAATTATGGGACACTATTAAGAAAACAAATATTCATATTATGGGAGTTACAGAAGGAGAAGAGATGGGGAAGGTTGAAGAAATTGTATATAATAAAATCATAGCTGCAAACTTTCCGAGTCTTAGAAGAAATATGGATATCCAGATCCAGGAAGCTTAGTCTTCAAATAGATTCAACCCAAAAAAGTCCTCCTTGTGTCCCCACTATAGTCAAATTGTCAAAAGCTAAAAACAAACAGAGAATTCTAAAAACAGCAAGTTACATACAAGGAAATTACTATAAGACTAAAAACAGATTTGTTAACAGAAACCCTAAAGGCCAGGAGAAAATAGATGAAATATTCAAACTGGTAAAGGAAAGAAACCGTCAACACAGAGTATTGCACCCAACAAAACTATCCCTTGGAAATGAAGATGAAATAAAGTCTTTCCTAGAAAAGCAAAAATTAGAGAGAATACATCACCACTAGACAACCCTTACAAGAAATACTCAAGGGAGTTTTATATCTGGAAGGAAAAAGACAGTAACTACCATCATGAAAACATGTGAAGATATAAGACTCACTGGTAGAGCAGAAACATGAATAAGAAAAAGAAAGGCATCAAATTTTATCATAACAGAAAATGATCAAACTGCAAAATTAAACAATAAAAGAGGAAGATAGTAACAAAAGATAAAACAACCAGAAAGCAATTAACAAAATGACAGAAGTAAGTCCTCACCTATCAATAATAAACTACAATGTAAACAGATTAAATTCCTCAATTAAAAGATGTAGACCGATAAAGTATATTAAAAAAACTAATCCTAATTATATGCTGCCCACAAAAAAATTCATTTCACCTGTAAAGATACGCATAGACTGATAGTGAAGGGATGAAAAAAATTCCATGCAAATGCTACCCAAAAGCAAGCAGGATTAGCTATAGTTAAATAAATAAAACAGACGTTAAGTAAAAATCTGTACACAGAGAGAAAGAAAGACATTATATAATGATAAATGGATCAATTCAGCAAGGGAATATAATAATTGTAAATAAAAATGCATCCAACACTGGAGCATGCAGATATATAAATCAAATATTATTAGAGCTAAGGGGAAAGATATGCGGCAATACAATGATAGTTAAGTACCACAACACCACTCTCTCAGCATTAACAGATTATCTGGACATAAAATTAACAAAGAAGCATCTAATTTCAACTGCATCATAGAGCAAATGGACCCTACAGACATTTACAAAACATTTCACCAAACAGCTGCAGAGTACTCATTCTTTTTATTAGCTCATGGAACATTCTCTAGGATTGACCATATGTTAGGCCACAAAAACTCTCAAAAAAATTTTTTTACTCAAAATCATGTAATATATCTTCTCAGGCAACGATGGAGCAAAACTGGAAATCAATAGCAAGAGGAATGCAAAACGCTGTACAAATACATGGAAATTAAGCACCATGCTCCTGTACAACCAAGGACTCAATGAAAAATTAAGAAGAAAATTGTAAAATTTCTTGAAACAAATAAAAATAAATACAGAACATACTAAAACTTATGGGACACAGCAAAGCCAATATTAAGAGGTAAGTTTATAGCAATAAATATATAAAACAAAAACTTAGAAAGATTTCAAATAAACAATCCAATAACGCACCTCAAGGAACTAGAAAAGCAAGAGCAAACTAAAACAAAATTAGTAGATGGAAAGAAATAATAAAGGTTAGAGCAGAAAGAAATTAAATTAAAACTAAAAAAATACAAAAAAATTCCTGAAGTGAAAAGTTGTTTTTTTGAAAACATAACCAAATTCAACAAACTATTTGCTAGGCTAAGAAAAGAAAAGAGAAGATCCAAATAAATAGAATCAGAAATGAAAAAGGCGTCATCACAACTGATACCACAGAAATATAAAGGTGCCTTAGAGGCTGTTATGAACAACTATATGCCAACAGACTGGAAAGTCTAGAAAAAATGGATAAATGTCTGGATACATACAACCTACCAAGAGTAAACCAAGAATAATAGAAAATCTGAATAGGCCAATAACAAGTTACAAGATTGAGTCAGTAATAAAAAGTCTTCAATCAAAAAACAACAACAACAACAAAAAGCTCAAGACCAGAAAACTTCACTGCTGAATTCTACCAAACTTTTGAAGGAGAATTAATTCCAATTCTTTTCAAACTATTTCAGAAAATTTAAGGAGAAGAAATTGTTTCAAACCCATTTTATGAGACCAGCATTACACTCATACCAAAATCAAAGGACACCCAGAACCACGTGACCTTTAGGTATGACCAAGCACATTCTCAGCTCTGGTGGCTATCAGGACAGATGCCTTCTGCTTAAGGAATGGAGAGGGAAGAGACAAAGGGGACTCTGTCTTGCAACTTGGGTACCAGCTCAGCCACAGTGGGGTACAATACCAAGCAAGCCTGGTTTCCCCACTTCTGGGCCTTGTTTCCTAGATGGCATTTCTGGACCTACCTTGGGAAGCCCACTGTCCTGAAGGGACAGACTCAGGACTGGCAGCATTAACCACAAACTGACTGAGGAGCTCTTGGGCCTTGACTGAATATTGGCAGTAGCTAAGCAGCACTCGCCATGGGCTTGGGGTGAGGATGGCCATGGAGAGAGACTCCTCTGCCTGAGGAAAGTGGAGGGAAGAGTGGAAAGGACTTTGTCTTGCAGCCTAGGTGCCAGCTCAGATGCAGTAAAATAGAGCACCAGGTAGATTCCTAAGGTACCCAATCCCAGGCCCTGGCTCCTGGATGGAATATCTAGACACACCCAGGGCGAGGGGAAATCACTTCCCTGAAAAATACGAAACAAGTGTAACTGGATTTGCTGCCAGTTAATTTTAGAGCCATTAGGCCCTTAGTAAACATGCATGGTAGCCAGGCAGTGCTCACTGCAGGCCTTGGGAGAGACCCAGTGCTGCACTGGCTTTGGGACTGGCCCAGTGCAGTCCCAGTGGTTGTGGCCATAGGGGTGCTTGTGCCACCTCTCCCCTAGCTCCAGGCAGCTCAGCACAGGGGAAGACACTATTACTTTCAGGGAATGTAAGAGAAGAGAACAAGAGTCTCTGCCTAGAAATCCAGGAAATTCTCCCAGATCTTACCCAAGACCACCATGATGGTACCTCTACAAGTCTGCAAGAGCCACAGTGTTACTTGGCTTGAGGTGCCCCCTAAAGTGGATATGGCTACAATGACCAAAGACTTATATCAAAACACCCACATCCCTTGGAATACCAGGAAATACTTAAGAAACATGGGTACAAACAAGCACAGACTGCAAAGACTACAACAAATGCCTAACTCTTCAATGCCAAGCCACTGATGAACATCTACAAGCCTAAGAAACATTCAGGAAAACATGAGCTCACCAAACATACTAAATGAGGTACCATTGACCAATCCCAAAGAGTCAGAAATATGCGACCCTTTAGACAGATAATTCAAAATAGCTATTTTGAGGAAGCTCAATGCAATCCAAGATAACACAAAGGAGCAATTTAGAATCCTATCACAAACATTTAACAAAGAGATTAAAATAACTAAAAAGAATCAAGCAGAAATTATAGAATGGAAATATGCAATTGACATACTGAAGAATGCATCAGAGTTTCTTAATAGCAGAATTGATTAAGTAGAAAAAAAGAATTAGTGAGCTTGAAGACAGGCTATTTGAAAATACACAATTAGAGGAGAAAAAACAAAAATGAATGAAGCATGCCTGCAAGATCTAGAAAACAGCTCCAATAAAAGAAAATCTAAGATTTGTTCACCTTAAAAGAAGTTAGAGAGGAAGATCAGGGTAGACAGTTTACTCAAAGGGATAATAATAGACAACTTCCCAAACCTAGAGAAAGATATCAATATTCAAGTACAAGAAGGTTATAGAACATCAAGAATATTTAACCCAAAGAAGACTACATCCAGACGTTTAATAATCAAACTCTCAAACTTTAAGAACAAAGAAAGAATCCTAAAACTAGCAAGAGAAAAGAAACAACAACATAAAAAGAAGCTCCAATATGTCTGGCAGCAGACTTCTCAGTGGATACCCTAGAGGCCAGGAAAGAGTGGCATGACATATTTAAAGTGCTGAAAGGAAAAAACTTTTCTCCTAGAATAGTACATGCAGCAAAAATATCATTCAAACATGACAGAAAAATAAAGACCTTCCCAGACTAATAAAAGCTGAGTAATGTCATCCACACGAGACTTTCCCTACAAGAAATGCTAAAGGGAGTTCTTCAGTCTAAAAGAAAAAGATGTTGATGAGTAATAAAATATTATCTGAAGGTACAAAACTCACTGGTAATAGTAAGCAAAAAGAAAAACATAGAATATAACAGTGTAATTATGATATGTAAAGTACTCATACCATGAGTAAAAAGACTAAAAGATGAATGGATCAAAAATAATAGCTACAACTTTTCAAGAAAAAGAAAATAGAATAAAATAAATAAGACAACAAAAACTTTAAAAGTAGGTGGATAAAGCATAGAGATTTTAGTAGTTTCCTCTTTGCTTATCTGTTAGTTTGTTTATATAATTGTGTCAAGTTGCCATCAGTTGAAAATAATGTGTTATAAGCCATTATTTGCAAGTTTCATGGTAGCATTCAATCAAAAGACCTACAATAGAAAAAATAAAAGCAATAAATTAAAACATACCACCTGATACTTTGGGAGGCCGAGGCGGGCGGATCACAAGGTCAGGAGATCGAGACCATCCTGGCTAACACGGTGAAACCCCGTCTATACTGAAAATACAAAAAATTCGCCGAGCGTGGTGGCAGGCACCTGTAGTCCCAGCTACTCGGGAGGCTGAGGCAGGAGAATGGCATGAACCCGGGAGGCGGAGCTTGCAGTGAGCCAAGATCGCGCCACTGCACTCCAGCCTGGGGGAGAGAGCAAGACTCCTCTCAAAAAAAAAAAAAAGAAAACATACCACCTGAGAAAATCATCTTCACTACTAAAAAGACAGGAAACAAGGAAGAGAAAACCACAAAACAACCAGAAAACAAATAACAAAACAGAAGGAATAAGTACTTACTTATCAATAAAAACATTAAATGCAAAAGAACTACATTCTCCAATAAAAAGAGTGGTTGAATGGATTTAAAAAACACACACACACACACACAACCCCCCAATGATCTGTTACCTACAAGAAACACACTTCACCTATGAAGACAGAAGTAGTCTGAAAATAAAAGAATAAAAAAGTGTTTCATGCCAATGGAAACCAAAAAAGAGCATGAATACCTATACTTATATGAGAAAAAATAGATTTCAAGACAAAAACTATAAAAAGAGACAAAGAAGGTCATTATTTAATGATAAAGCAGTCAACTCAACATGAGGATATAACAACTGTAAATATATATGCACCCAACACTGGAGCACCCAGATATATAAGGAGAATATTATTAGAGCTAAAGAGAGATCTAGACCTAATACAATTATATCTGGAGACTTCAACAGCCTGCTTTTCACATTGTACAGATTATCCAGACAGAAAATCCACAAATAAATGATGGAGTTAATTGGTACTGTAGACCAAAGGGACCTAAGAGATATTTACAGAACATTTCATCCAATTAATGCAGAATTTACATCCTTCTCTATAGCACATGTATCATTCTCATGATATGGATATGGATATATGTACAGACTATATTTCAGGCAACAAAACAACTATTAAATTTTAAAAAAAGAAATTATATCAAGCAAATTCTCTGATCACAATGGAATAAAACTTGACATTCATAATAAAAGGAATCTTGGAAACCATGCAAACACATAAAAATTGCACATTGTGCATTTGAGTTACCAGTGGGTCAATGAAAAACAATAAGAAGGAAATTAAATACTTTCTTCAAACAAATGATAATAGAAACACAGCATATAAAAACCTATGGGATACAGAGAAAGCAGTACTAAAAGGGAAGTTTATAGCAATAAGCACTACATTAAAAAAGTAGAAAAACTTCAAATAAACAATCTATTGATATATCTTAAAGAATTAGAAAAGCAAAAGTAAATCAAACCCAAAATTAATAGAAGGAAATAAATAATAAAAATTAGAGCTGCAATAAATGAAATGAAAATTAGAAAACAATACAAAAAATCAATGAAATGAAAAGTTGGTTTTTTGAAATGAGTAACAAAGTTGACAAGTCTGTAGCCAGAGGAACTAAGAAAAAAAGAGAAAAGACCCAAAAAAACAAAATTAGAGATGAATAAAGAGACATTACAACTGATATTGCAGAAATTAAAAGAATCATTAGAGACTACTAAGAGCAAATTAGTTGGAAGCACTAGAAGAAATAGATAAATCTCTAGACACATACAACATATCAAGACTGAACCATGAAGAAATCTAAAATCTGAACAGACCAGTAACAAGTAATAAGATCAAAGCCATAATAAAAATTTTCCCAGCAAAGAAAAACTCAGGACCTGAAGGCTTCAGTGCTGAATTTTATCAAACATTTAAAGAAGAACTAATACTAATACTACTCGACCTATTCCAAAAAATCAAGGACAGGGAACACCTCCAAACTGATTCTGAGACCAGTATTATCCTGATACCAAAACTAGACAAAGACACATGAAAAAAGGAAACTACAGGCCAGTACTCATGATGAACATTGATGCGAAAATTGACAACAAAATACTAGCAAGCCAAATTCAACAATGCCTTAAAAAATCATTCATTATGACCAAGTGGGATTTATCCCTGGGATGAAAGGGTGGTTCAATATATGCAGATCAATCAGTGTGATCCATTATATAAACAGAATGAAGGAGAAAAAGCATATGATTATTTCAATTGATGCTGAAGAAGCATTTGATAAAATTCAACACCACTTAATAACAACACTCAAAAAACTGCATATATAAGGAACATACCTCAACACAATAAAAGCAGTAGTATCATATTGAATGGGGAAAAACTGAAAGCCTTTCTTCTAAGATCTTGAATAAGACAATGATGCCCAGTTTCACCAATTTTATTCAACATAGTACCAGAAGTCCTAGCTAGAGCAATCAGACAAGAGAAATAAATAAATGACATCCAAACTGGAAAGGAAGAAGTCAAATTATTTTTGTTTGTAGATGATATAATCTTGTATTTGGAAAAACCAAACAACTCCACCAGAAATGTGTTGGAGCTGATGAATTCAATAAAGTTGCAGGATACAAAATCAACATACAAAACTCACAAACACATCTACATGGCAATAGCAATCTGAGAAAGAAATCAAGAAAGTAATCCCATTTACAACAGCTACAAATAAATACCTAGGAATTAACTTAGCCAAAGATGGGTAAGATCTCTACAATGAAAATATAAAACATTGGTGAAAGAAATTGAAGATAACACCAAAAAAAAAAGGAAAGATAGTCCATGTTCATGGATTGAAAGAATTGATATTGTTAAAATGTCTATACTACCCAAAGCAATCTACAGGTTCAATGCAATCCCTTTCAAAATACCAACATTCTTCACAGAAATAGAATAAATAATCCTAAAATTTATATAGAACCACAAAAGACCCAGAATAGCCAAAACTATCTTAAGCAAAAAGAACACAACTGGATAAATCACATTACCTGACTTCAAATTATGCTACAGAGCTACAGTAACCAAAACAGCATGATACTGGCATAAAAAAATATAGACCAATGGAACAGAAGAGAGAACACAGAAACAAATCTACTCACTTACAGTGAACTCATTTTTGACAAAGTTGCTAAGAATATAAACTGGGGAAAAGATAGTATATTCAATACCTGGTGCTGGGAAAATTGAATATCCATATGCAGAAGAATAAAAGTAGACCCCGATCACTCACCATACACAAAAATCAAATCAAAATAAGTTAAAGACTTAAATCTAAGACCTCAAACTATGAACTACTCAAAGAAAACGCTGGAGAAACTCTCCAAAACATTGGACTGGGTGAAGATTTCTCGAGTAATACTTTACAAGTACAGGCAACCAAAACAAAAATGGGCAAATGGGATCACATCAAGTTAAAAAGCTTCTGTACAGTGAGAAAAACAATAAACAAAGTGAAGAAACAAGCCATAGAATGGCAGAAAATACTTGGACACTATCCAACTGACGAGAGATCAAAAACCAGAATATATAAGCTCAAACAACTCTATAGGAAAAAAAAATCTAATAATGCAATTTAAAAATGGGCAAAAGGTCAGAAGAGATATTTCTCAAAAAGAGACAAACAAATGGTGAACAGGTATCTATATGAAAGGTGCTCAACATCATTGATCATCAGAGAAATGCAAATCAAAACTACAATGGGTTATCATCTCATGCCAGTTAAAATGGCTTTTATCCAAAATCAGGCAATAACAAATGCTGGTGAGTATGTGGAGAAAAGAGAATCCTCATACGCTGTTGGTGGAGATGTAAATTGGTACAACCACTGTGGAGAACAGTATAGAAGTTCCTCAAAAAACTAAAAATAGGGCTACTATTTTATCCAGCAATCCCACTGCCAGATATATACCCAAAAGAAAGGAAATCAGTATACTGAAGAAATATCTGCTCCCCCATGTTTATTGCAGCACCATACACAATAGACAAATTTGGAAGCATCAGCAGATGAATGTATAAAGAAAGGAGATATATAGCTTTTGCAACAACGTGGATGGTATTGGAGGTCATTACGTAAAGTGAAATAAGCCAGGCACAGAAAGACAGACTTTGCATGTTTTTACTTATTTGTGGGAGCTAAAAAAAAAAATGGAAACAATTGAATCCATGGAGAGAGTAGAAGAATGATGATTACCAGAGGCTGGGAAGGGTAGTTGGGGGAAGAAGGAAGTGGGGATAGTTAATGGGTACAAAAATATAGTTAGATAGAATGAATAACATCTAGTATTTGTTAGCATAACAGGATACCTACAGTCAACAAAATAGGGTGACTACAGTCAACAATAATTTATTACACATTTTTAAATAACTAAAGGAGTATAATTGGAATGTTCATAAAAGAAATGATAAATTCCTGGGATAACAGATATCCCAGTTATCCTGTTATTATTATTATAACAGGATAATCCCAGTTATCCTGTTATTATTATTATGCACTGTATGCCCATATCAAAATATCTCATTTACCCCATAAATATATATACCAACTATGTACCCACATAAATTAAAAATAATTTAAAAACTTAAAAAAAGTTTCCGAAATAATAACTTGACACTAACAAACTTAAGTTTGTAACTCTTTTATTAGCTTCTAAATAGATCAAGAAACAACATCTTCATTCTAAAACCTTAAAAATAAACACAATGTTTTGTTTTCTATTTCCTATGAAAAGAGAAACATGGTTTGAATGTTTAGGCTCATTTGAATAAAAATACAACCATGACTTTTGAATTCTAAGACTCAGCATATTTAATTGGCTGAAGTCTAAGCAAATACTTCCTTTAAACTACTTACTTTAAACTCCTGCTTGAGGAAACAAGCAAGTTTGAATTATTCTGAGGTGCAGCCAGAAACAGAACATTTTCAACAGCATATTTTATTTGCATTTGGCAATTTGCTGTCTGCGCCATCCAGAATTCTCACTAACAGAAGAGTTAGTGCAACTGGTAGGTTTCCTGCTCTGGAGATTTAAGTGAAAATAAAACGTAGATCACAAGTGAAGTCAATATGATGGATTCTTTCAAACTAAGTCTAAACCCATCTATCTTTACTGAAAAATAATGGCCTATAGAGGAATGAAAAGACAAAGCTTACGTATATTTTCCAGGTGGAAAAATAGAACACTATCTGGAAAACCAAAATATATAAGACTAGTGGTAAAGATTGAGTCCATAAGGTATTAAGAAAATTTTACACAGATGAGTTTCCTAATACAGATAAACTTACAAGCATTCAGAATTAGAATCATTATTGTTTATATTTTGACAATCACAAGTTAATAGTTATGTAGACATATGCAGAAACAAAATGACCTCTGTTCTTTAGACTTTTTGTCATAAGTTAGCACAACACATCCTTCAGATACAGTCATTTTCCCTTGCCCAGTTTCTAACACACAACAATAGTTTGAGGATGGCAATGATAATATTTATTGACTGAGATTCTTTCAGCTACAAAGTGCAGAGACTGAACTCAAACTGACCTAAGTCTTCTTCCTCTTCTAGTATTCCTTTACATTGGCTTCATTTTTATGAACACTTTGTCTGCATGAAGGCAAAGATGGCTTCCAGACAATCCAGGCTTACTTATTTCAGGAGAGAGTGCCTCCTTTCCAGTAATTCTAGCAAAAATAGCAAGGGGGAGGAAAGATTCTGATCCTGAGCCCACCCATAAACCAATAACTCAATCTAGGGCTATGGATACTCTGGCAGAGTCTGATTCATGTGTCAATCCCTGGAGTAGTGGGATGGGATCAGCCCCATAAATTACACATGGTGGCAGTCTGTTCTTGAAAGTAAAAAAGGAATTTCATAAAAGAAAAAAGGCAGAATCATTGCTGGATTTACCAGTTAGTATCCTAAAAAGAAACAAATGGGACATTCAAACTAGGGTAATTCAAAAAAAAATTTTTTTAAAGGGACTAATTACAAAGGTATAACTAAGGTGTAGAGAAACCACAAAAGATGGTGTAGTATAGTAACTTAGAAGCGTTGACCAAAGGGATGAGGGAAGGGAGTAGTTACTATATCCAAGAAGGAAGGAATCCTGTAGAGAAACTACCTTGAGGGGAGCAAAGATCTTCAATGAGGAGTACAACTAACCTGAAGTGACCTCACAAGAAAAGAGCCAGAAATAAACCCTCCCTCTCTCCAATCTCCTTCCAGGATTCCCCATTGATAAACCTCAACCAGGAGCCAGAGGACAAGAGAGCCCATTAACGTAAGCCTTAAAAGTCAGGCCCCCAGGGCAGACAGAAGAGTAGGTAAGGGCAGAGAATAGACCTGGAGGGGCAAATGGGAAATACACAGCACATTAAGCAAGGAAATCAACAAAATTACACTATATACCACAATCTCTGAGTGCTCATGCATTCATTCAGCAAACATCTGTTGAATTCCTCTATATATAAGATACCTTTCTAAGGAGAAAAAAATTAAAAAATGAATGAGACATACTCCCTCTTCTCAAGTAGTTCACAATGAAGAAAACAAAGGTCCACTGTGGGGGGCAGTTGATCAGTTAATATTTTATATTCTTCCCTACAGATTTTGGCAAATAAGTGTTTTTCTATATAGAAAATTACCTAATACATAATGAAGTCCATAAATGATCACAGACACACAACTCCTTTTTTGCTGTTGCAGATCTTTAGAGCAATCAAATGGTCCCAGCTCTAACAAAAGGTGTATGTATACAGTACAGAAGGATCACAGAGAAAGGGACTATTTTTAATGGTGCATTAAGGGAAGGAGTTACTAGGAAGGACTGCAATAAAGGAAGTGACCCTTCAACTGAATCTTTACAGCTAGGTAAGCAATCAAGTAGGTAAATCAGGAGAGAAAAGGGGGAGTGATGTTCTAGACAGAGGGAACATTACAGGAAAAGGCATGAATTTGTATTATAATATAGTGTTTTAAAGTAACTGTATAAAATCCAGTATGACTATAAATTTTACAGGCCAATGAGGCTATGACTTGATGAATGAGAAGGCCAGAAAATGTCAGTATTTGTGCATTAGTGAGTGTGTGTGTGTCACTTTTTTATCCTTGTATCTATGCCTTACATATATCTTTTCTGTATGCCCACATATCCCAGGATGGTAAGTAATGGTACTTAATACAATTAGATTAAGTTAGTGTTTTTTCCTTCATCAATAAATGAATACTCTTAATTGGTTGTTTTTTTATATTCAAATTAATCTTATTTTTTAAAAAATACTATGTAGAAGTTTAAGAGGAACACAAATTGTGTATATTTCTACAATTATTTTAGAACTCATTTGTCCGTACTATTCTGGACATAGGAAAAAGCAAAGATTTCATGACAAAGACACCAAAAGCAATTGCAACAAAAGCAAAAATTGACAATGGGATCTAATTAAACTTAAGAACTTCTGCACAGCAAAAAAAAAAAAAAAAAAAAAAGCCTATCAGCAGAGTAAACAGACAAACTACAGAATGGGAGAAAATGTACTATGCATCTGACTAAGGTCTAATATCTAGCATCTATAAAGAACTTAAATTTACAAAGGAAAAACAAACTACCCCCATTAAAAAGTGGGCAAAGGACATGAACAGACACATCTCAAAAAAAGACATACATGTTGCCATAAGACATATGGAAAAAAGCTCAATATCACTGACCCTTAGAGAAGCACAAATCAAAATCACAATGAGATACCATCTCACACCAGCCAAAATGGCCATTATTAAAAAGTCAAAAAAAAAAAAAAAAAACCAGATGCTGGCAAGGCTGCAGAGAAAGGGGAGCCCTTATACACTGTTTTTGGGAGTTTAAATTAGTTCAGTCATTGTGGAAAGCAGTATGGTGATTCCTCAAAGAGCTAAAAGTTGAACTACCATTCAACCTAGCAACCCCATTACTGGGTATATACCCAGAGGAATATAAAACATTCTACCATAAAGACACATGCATGTGAATGTTCATTGCAGCACTCTTTACAATAGCAAATACATGGAATCAACCTAAATGCCCATCAATGACAGACTGGATAAAGAAAATGTAGTACATATATACCATGGAATATTATGCAGCCAAAAAAAAGAACAAGATCATGTCTTTTGCATGATCCCTGCAGGTACATGGATGGAACTGGGGGCCATCATCCTTAGCAAACTAACACAGGAACAGAAAATGAAATACTGCATGTTTTCACATATAAGTAGAAGTTAAATGATAAGAACTTATGAACACAAAGAAAGAAACAACAGACACTGGGGTCTACTTGAGAGGGGAGGATGGGAGGAGGGAGAGGAGCAGAAAAGGTAACTACTGGGTACTGAGCTTAATACCTGGGTAATGTAATATGTACAAAAAAAACCTCTGTGAAACGTGTTTGTCTATGTAATAAACCTTTACATGTACCCCCAAACCTAAAATAAATATTTAAAAATAACTCACCCAACTAGACAACAAATTCTTCTAAAATAAAAGCATCCCCATATAAGATTGAAATAATAACGTTAATGAGAAGTTACTTCCGAATAAAGTAAGTCATACCAGAAGATTAAAAATTCACAATAACATTAAGGTTATTTTTGGTTTGGGGTATTTTTTTTCTTTTACATCTAGGAAGAAGTTTTTAAAAACCACTTTTTTACAAAATCATTTATACTGCCACCATTTGTAATATAGGAAATTTTTAAATCATCAAATTATAGTATAAGTAAAATGAAATTCATCATAAAATATATATAATATTTTACAGAATTCGAGGTTAAGAAAACTAAATATTAACACATTGATGATAAAAATTTACCTTGCCCTAAAAAATATTTTAAAAATTTTTTAAATAAGGACACAGTTAAACATTTATGGGTGCTCATTTTCCTTCTCTCTCTTTCTCTCTTAGTTTAAGTAAAAAATAAATTGTTTTTAACTATTTGCAGAAACTTCAAAGGACATGAGGGAAAGGTACAGACTGCTCAAGACAAGTGGAGAAGAAATGGAATCTAATTACAGCAGCAGATAATAGTGGTGCCAAGAAACCAGTTACAAAAATGCTTTGATATGCTTGCTACTAAAACTTTGTGCAGAAGCGTAGTTTTAAATGTACAAAAATTACTCTAGGATGCAAAAGACATGGTATCTCATTTTAAGTCTGTCATCAATTTAGTTTCCTTGAATAAGTTATTCAACCTTGAACAAGTCTCTCAACCTTGCTAAGCCTAAAAATATCTTCACTTCTAACAGGAGGATGTTGAACCAACCCATATTTAGTTTCCCTCTGAAGCATTCTTTTTCTATTACTACCTATTATTCTCACCATCTGAACTAAATTCCTTTATCACTCCACCAAGAGCACAAGTTATCTCTGCATCTCAAGATCCTCACAGATCTTGGGACCCTTCCCCCAAATTAAAATTCTAGGCTGGCCAGGTGCAGTAGCTCACGCCTGTAATCCCAGCACTTTGGGAGACCAAGGGGGGCAAATTGCTTGAGTCCAGAAGTTTGACGCCAGCCTGGGTGACATGGTGAAACCTTGTCTCTAAATTGAAAAAAAAAAAGTAATTAGATACCACATTACCAGTGCAATCTAAAAGGAAAAGAATCAATACTTAAATTAGAGATAATTAGAGATAATAAGATAATAAGAAAATAAGGGTTTTTCCTTTTCCCTCAGACTATAATTTTAAAAGCTTGAAAAAAAATTTATAAAAATGTAAAAAGGATAGAATTGATACTACAAAGAGAGTAAAAAGCAACAGAGTTTTCTCTTCAAAAGTAGAAGAATATTTCAAAACCTGGAACGATTCTTACAGACGTAATAGTCAAAATAATAAAGCATGGGAGTTAGAAGATGAAAAATATTAATAAAAGATAAACAGATTTGAAAATGAGGAAAACTAAGGTAAACATTATTTAATTAAACATTTATTAAATAACATAGCTTCACTAACATAAAATTTGAACATTTAATTTCAGATAAATTTAAGACTATCAAGATAAAACAATGAAGAACAGACAGGGGACTGGAAATGTACATACAAGCAATTATTATTTTTAGATTCTCTTGGGGGTGTGCATTATTTGCTTGGTGACAGCATAAATAGCAGAAGTTACAAAAATAGCCATTTTGAAATATATCAATGATAATTACTTTAAAAATTTATGGAGCATTTCTATATCAAGATTTCTAAGTATACAAAATTTACCTCCTCTCCCTAAAAATGAAAGACTATTAACAAATATATATATATATACATTTGTTAGTATATATATATATACTTTAGTATATATATATACTTTAAGTTCTGGGATACACGTGCAGAACGTGCAGGTTTGTTACACAGGTATTCATGTGCCATGGTGGTTTGCTGCAGCCATCAAACTGTCATCTACATTAGGTATTTCTCCTAATACTATCCCTCCCCTAGCCCCCCACCCCCCAACAGGCCCCCGTGTGTGACGTTCCCCTCCCTGCGTCCATGTGTTCTCATTGTTCAACTCCTACTTATGAGTGAGAACATGCAGTGTTTGGTTTTCTGTTCCTGTGTTAGTTTGCTGAGAATGATGGTTTCCAGCTTCATCCATGTCCCTGCAAAGGACATGAACTCATCATTTTTATGGCTGCATAGTATTCCATGGTGTATATGTGCCACATTTTCTTTATCCAGTGTATCACTGATGGGCATTTGGATTGGTTCCAAGTCTGCTATTGTGAATAGTGCTGCAATAAACTTATGTGTGTGTATGTCTTTATAGTAGAATGATTTATAACCCTTTGGGTATATACCCAGTAATGGGATTGCTGGGTCAAATGGTATTTCTGGTTCTAGATCCTTGAGGAATCGCCACACTGTCTTCCACAATGGTTGAACTAATTTACACTCCCATCAACAGTGTAAAAGCACTTCTATTTCTCAACATCCTCTCCAGCATCTGTTGTTTCCTGGCTTTTTAATGATAGCCATTCTAACTGGCGTGAGACGGTATCTCATTGCAATTTTGATTTGCATTTCTCTAATGAGCAGTGATGATGAGCTTTATTTCATATGTTTGTTGGCTGCATAAATGTCTTCTTCTGATAAGTGTCTGTTCTTATCCTTTGCCCCACTTTTTGATGGGGTTGTTTGTTTTTTCTTGTACATTTGTTTAAGTTCTCTGTAGATTCTGGATATTAGACCTTTGTCAGATGGATAAATTACAAAAATTTTCTCCCATTCTGTAGGTTGCCTGTTCACTCTGATGATAGTTTCTTTTGCTGTGCAGAAGCTCTTTCATTTAATTAGATCCCATTTGTCAGTTTTGGCTTTTGTTGCAATTGCTTTTGGTGTTTTAGTCATGAAGTCTTTGCCCATGCCTGTATCCTGAATGGTATTGCCTAGGCTTTCTTCCAGGGTTTTCATGGTTTTAGGTCTTATGTTTAAGTCTTTAATCCATGTTGAGTCAATTTTTGTATAAGGTGTAAAGAAGGGGTCCAGTTTCAGCTTTCTGCATATGGCTAGCCAGTTTTCCCGACATCATTTATTAAATAGGGAATCCTTTCCCCATTGCTTGTTTTTGTCAGTTTTGTCAAAGATCAGATGGCTATAGATGCATGGTGTTATTTCTGAGGACTCTGTTCTGTTCCATTGGTCTATATGTCTGTTTTGGTACTAGTAACATGTTGTTTTGGTTACTGTAACCTTGTAGTATAGTTTGAAGTCAGGTAGCGTGATGCCTCCAACTTTGTTCTTTTTGCTTAGGATTGCCCTGGTTATACAGGCTCTTTTTTGATTCCATATGAAATTTAAAGTAGTTTTTTCTAATTCTGTGAAGAAAGTCAGTGGTAGCTTGATGGGAATAGCATTGAATCTATAAATTACTTTGGGCAGTATGGCCATTTTCACGATATTGATTCTTCCCATCCATGAGCATGGAATGTTTTTTCATTTGTTTGTGACAAATATTTTATTTTAAAACACTGGAAGTAACCAAATGAATGCTAGAAAAAACAATGAAGAATTCCTGGAAAATATATAACAAATGAGAATAAATTAATGGGCAAATCCAATGACTAAAAACCCATGACTACACACAACTGACAAGAGGGAACTTCCAATTGAGGTCGTTTTCCCAGCCAACCATAGAAATTGTGAGAAGGATACAGACATGGGCTGGGGAGCTGAAGACAGGAGAGGGCCATGGGGTCCTACCAGGTAATTATTGAAGAACAGAATATTTGAGGGTAATACTAGCATTTATCCCCAGGATAATATTCTAAATAAGTTCTGAAGATAAGTTCCGATGATACATTTTGAGTAGGCACTGGTGCCAGAAAACCAGGCAATATTTTTATAGCTCTTAATGTAAGCCAGAAGCCTGCATGAACCCCCGCCAAAAAAGCTACTTACCTATTTCACCAGGCCATATGCCATCTCCCCTCCCATCCACACATCAGAAGTTCAGCTCCTATAACGAAGACAGAATCCATTGTTTTACACACAAGATAGTTTTCAGGGATTCTTAGCCAGGCAAACAAGGTTAAAGAAATACGCAAGGAAGAACTGTAACTTTCATTTAATGCTAGTGGAAGTGCCAATGGGTATATCTGCTTTGGAAACCATTTGGTGTTAACTATATGTTCTTCCCCTCCTCCAGTCTATCCTCTACACTTCTTTAAGAATCATCTTACTATTAAAAACATACTTAAGTAGAAAATAAAAGAAAGCAAAATTGAACTTCCACATTCAGAAATGATAAATGAGTGAGTTCAGATCAACTCTCTTAGGTCAATTAGAAGAGCTTCAAAATATAAAATGCATTAAAACTATCTACATGAATGCATAAGAGAGCTAACATTGTAGTGAAGAATTATAGCCATGATATATGACAGACATACCCAGAAAAGTAAACCCGTTATTGGTGGTTGCTTGACCCCTGAGGGCATTTGCCAATTCCAGAAGAGATGGATGAGAAGGGAAGCAGTACTTTTGAAAACCTGGAGTTAGAAGCCAGAATCCACAATGGGATGGAGCCCCAATATGTTTGTTTCAGTGATCCAAAAAAAAAAAAAAAAGAAAGAAAGAAAGAAAAAGAAAATTAGAGTGAATCAGAAGTAACATAAACCTTGCACAGACTGCAGTCCAACTTTCATTTCTATGCATGGCCCCAAGAAAAACAATTACTAAATATCCAAATTGCTACTGTACCCACATGCTTTGGCAGAATGAACCAGTCATCTCTAAAGAAAAATAACATCATGATAGGACTTAAATTTTTTGCAAAGGGTTTTTTCAATATGATGTCTGACAAACAATAAAAAATGGCAAATGAAAATACCAAGACAACATAAACAAGAATGAATAGAATTGGCAGACCATAAAAACAAAGCCACCAAGGCTATAGATATGAGAATTACCAGGCATAGATTTTAAAATAACTATGCTTATCAAATAAATAAAAGATTCACTTTTAAGCAAAGAATGAGAAACTATAAAAATGACATAGTTATGAAGCAAAACTAAATAGCAATTTTAACACTGAGAAATACAATTAAAATTAAGAACATAGAGGATGCATTTTAAAACAAAACAGACACTGGTGAAATGAGAATTAGTTAACTGGAAGATATACTGGAATATCTTGAACATAATGAAGGAGAGAGGAAAAGCATGAAAAATATAGAAGAGAGGATAAGAGAGAAGGCATTGTAACAAGTTATAATATACATTATAATTAATTGTAGGACCATGAGCAGAGAACAAAGACAATGGAGTAGAATTAATATTTGAAAAGACAATGACCAAGAATTTTCTAAAAATTTTTCTAAAACTGTTGAAAAGACATCAATACACATGCTTTTGTCTCTTTGGGCTAGATAGATCATAAACAACAGAAATTTATTTCTCAGAGTTCCAGAGGCTAGGAAGTCCAAGTTTAAAGTTGCTGGCAGATCAAGTGTCTGGTGAGGGCCAAACATCAATCCAGTGTCATAGAAGGCTGTATTCTTCTTGTGTCCTCACATAGTGGAGGAACAATAAAGCTCTCTGAAGTTCCTTTTGTAAGAGCACCAATCCCATATTGAGGGCTGTACCTTATTACTTAGTTATTTCCCAAAGTCCCCACCTACTAATACCATCACAATGGAGATTTGGTTTCAACACATGAATTTGGGGGCAATACAGACATTCAGTCTACAGAAGAAATAGAGGCGACATGTAATTATGTTGGGGACTCTTGGGAAGCATACCTAGGAACATCTGGCAGAAAATACATAGAAAAATACCCACAATTGTTCAGGGTGTCAAGCATAATCTTGCAGGAGAAGGGTTTTCTAAGCAGAGCTCTAAAGGATAAGGATAATTTAGCAAGGTGAAAGGTGAGGAGAGATGAATAGGGAAAAGAGTATTTTGAGGCAAGGAGAACAATATGTTATCTTTTCCAAAGAAAGAGGATGCAATGACTTCCAGGAACTGAAGGCAACTCAGTATTGCTGAAATATAGAATATGGGGTGGGAAAGTGGTGAGTGATAAGAAAAGGTCAGTGACAGCATCATGATGGTGGGCCCTATAAACCATAAGTTATTTGATTATTTGATAATTATTTTTTCATATATTAAAAGTCTCTGTTGGTATTAATAAATAAATAGATTGGGACAAGATTAGAGTTAGGATGCTAGTTAGAAGGCTATTACAGTAACTCAGTCAAGAGACGGTGGTGGCACAAGATAGTAGAGCAGAAATGGAGAACATTAGGTGGATTTGGAAGTATAAATTTGAGGTTTATAACAAGTGGATTTGGGTGATAAAAGAGAACAAAGTCTTAAAGATGATCCCCCAACTTCTGGATTAGGCAACTGTGAGGAAAGTGGTATGAATCACTGAGATAGAGGTAAACTGAAGCTGCAGCAGGTTTTTGGGGAGATGATTTTATGTGGGACATCCTGTATGTGAGGTGCAAATAGCCCAGTGAAATGTAGATGTATATGGTATATGGGTCTGAGCACAAGAGCAAGATGTGGGTAGAGCTGTAGAGGAAGAATAGCTACATAGATAGCTACTGAAGTCATAGAAGGGAGCTTCGGACACGTGTCTGAGGAAATGTCAACATTCAGGAGAGATGCAGAGGCTGAGAATCCAGTAAAGCAGATGGAGCTGAAATGATTTGAGAAGTTTAGCTCTGAAGAAAAGGAAGAGATTCATTTATCATACTGTTAAATATACCAGGAGCTAAGATCATATTATTAATACCTGTGTTTTAATGTGGGTTCTGCCACTTACTAGTTTTACAAAGCTGGTCAAATCAGTCTCTCCAAGACTCATTTTTCCTCACCTATAAAATAGGGATGACAATATACCTACTGAATAGGGTGGTTTGAGAATTATATGAAACATACTATACTTTCAATTATTATGAATACACTTAGCAGAAAGCAGGATAGTTATAGGAAGTGTGAGAGGCAGTCAGCATTGGTTGGGTGGGAGCTCAGATCTAGACTCAGGTCCTTTGCTCACTTGCTGGGTAAGCTTGTAAGTTACCTGACTTCTTTCCCAAACTGGGTCACAGTAGGACCTATGTCACTGAACAGTTGTAAGGATTAAATAAATAATATTTAAAAGGGGGTTAGGACAGTGTGGTGTTTTCTGCATGTTTAATGCATGTAAAAGTCTTATTGTTTTACATATAATATGCATGCAATAAATATTAATAGTTATAATTATTATCATCATCATTATTGACCAAACAGTGTCAACATGGGCATGGGTTCATGTCAAAGAGACATTAAAATTGAACTACATGATGGGAGTAGGGCTTTAAGGACCACCATGGAGTATGTGAGCCGTCAGAAACTCTATCAGATAAAGGAATCTAATTGAGTGAAGTATTTATTATCAAAGATTCTTTTGATATAATTTTAGTCAAAAGAAAAATGATTCAATTAAAACCTTCTTTGGGCCAGGTGTTGGCGGCTTATGCCTTTATCCCAGCACTTTGGAAAGCTGAGGCAGGAAGATCCCTTGAAGCCAGGAGTTCAAGACCAGCCTGGGCTGGTGAGACCCCCATCTCCACAAAAACAATTTAAAAATTAGCCAGACGTGATGGCACACACATGTATTCCTAGTTACTCAGTAGGTAAGATGGGAGGATTACTTGAACCCGGGAATTTGAGGTTGCAATGAGCTGTGATTGAACCACTGTATGTACTCCAGCCAGCCTGGGTGACAGAGTGAGACCCTATCTCAAAAAAAAAAAAAAAAAAGAAAAGAAAAAAAACCACACAAACAACAACAAAAATCTTCTTAGAATCTCCATTTTAAGGGAAAAAGTCTTAAGCCTTTTGTGGTGTTAAAGCGGGCTAACTATCAAATCTAGAAGCCTAAGAGAGGCCAGAGGGGCTTGTAAGATTTATGCTGAGAACATATAGCACATATAGCAGCTGGCAGGAAAACAAAACAAAAACGAGAATCAGTTAAGAAAGTGAGAGATGAACCATGAAAAATTCAAGAGCTAAGAAAACTAGTGGGAGAAAGAGCAGGGAGGGTAGGAGTTTAGAGGAAACAAATTTGAGATATTTTAAACCTTACTATGTGCCAGATACAATTCTAAAAATTTATGTATATTAACTTTTTACTCACTATAACAAGGCCATGAGGAAGGTAAAAGTAAAGAAATCAATGCATAGAGAGTCTATATTACAACTCATTTAAGTACATAAAAAGAGAGTTGGGGAAAGCAGGATGCATGAAGTTATAAATGGTATTCTACTTTGGTGTTATTTTAGTGACTTTGTTAAATACTTAAATTGTCTTGTTCTAATTTTGTGTGAAATGAAGTTTCTTTGCTGCCGAAAGTGAGTCATACAATGGCTGTCACATATGCATTAGTGGTTCTCAAACCTTGTCATCTATTAGAATTACCTGGAAATTGACTTGGCAAAATCCAGAGGTATGTGCCCTATTCTACCTCAGTAAGCCTCATTTTTATGTCTGGATTAGCTCTCCAAGTGACTCTGAATCACATCAAAGTTTGAGAACCACTGGGTTACATAGTATTTGCTGTTGTCATTCACACCATTTGCCTGTTTGCCCCCAGATTGTCACAAGGAGTTCTGGTAAACCCTGCTGACCCTCTATTGTCCACAGGCTAAAGCTCAAGTTTCTTTAATGACACAGGATCTCTCACAGCCTATGAATCCAGTCTCATTCCCCACAGTTCCCAAACTTTTCACTGTTCCTCCATGTATGTCAGGGTTGTCCAGAGAAACAGAACCAATAAGATAAATAGAGATATATAGGAGGAAAGTTATTAAAGAAATTTGCTCATGCAACTATGGAAGCCAAGAAGTCCCACAATATGCTGTCTGCAAACTGGAGAACCAGGGAAGAAGATGGTATAATTTAGTCTGATTCCAAGTCCAAAGGCCTGAGAACCAGGAAAGCCAACGATATAACTCTCAGTCCAAGGCCACGAGAAACTGATGGGTCACTGTTGTCAAGTCCAAGAGTCTGAAGACCTGAGAACCTGGCGTTCTGATGTCCAAGAGTAGGAGAAAATGGATGTCTCATCTCCAGAAGAAAGAGAACAAATTTACTCTTCCTCCACTTTTTTGTTCTATCTGGGGCCTCAGTAGATTAGATGATACCCACCCACGTTGCTGAGGGTGACCTTTACTTCATCTACTGATTCAAACGCTAATCTCTTCTAGAAACACCTTCACAGACACACCCAGCAATAATATTTTACCACCTATCTGGGCATCCCTTAGTCCAGTTAAATTGACACAGAAAATTAACCACCACAAGACCCACCTGAAAAGACATTTTCCTTTGTCTTACATTTTTTTTGTCTTTTATTTTACTATGTTATATTTCTTTGCTATCACACCTCCTCTAGGAACCAAAAGAACAGATATTTTTCACATCTGTTATGGCACTTGGCATTTTGCATCAAGTATTTGTTTTCTATCTTACATGTATATTCCCCTACCCTCATTAATCATACTAAGAACTGCAAGCAAGAATTATACTTCATTTACATCTATAACCTTAGTGACTAGGCACAGATGGTGTTCAGCAATTGCTTATTGGATGAAAGAAACAAGTATTATAACATTTCTTCTATGCACCAATCCAATTCTTCTTTGCACACTGTGACTTAAAGATATTATCCAAAAACAAAGAAAAAATCAACTTCTCCAATGAGTGTTAGCTACATCCCTATTCTTTGACATATGGATCATTTTCAACATTTTTTTTAAAGTTATAAATTTTTTTAAATGTTGAAAATGATCCATGTCAAAGAACAGGGTTATGGCTAACACACACACACCATGGAATACTAAAGACTTATTAAAAATAAATATTTCAGGGGATTTGCAGAGCAGTGAAATTATTCTAATATGACATTATAATGCTGAATGCATGTCATTATACATTTGTCAAAACCTATACGGTGGCTCACACCTGTAATTCCAGCACTTTGGGAGGCCAAGGCGGGCAGATCATGAGGTCAGGAGATCAAGACCATCCTGGCCAACATGGGCCCTATCTCTACTAAAAATACAAAAATTAGCCAGGCTTGGCAGCACTTGCCTGTAGTCCCAGCTACTCGGGAGGCTGAAGCAGGAAAATTGCTTGAACCTGGGAGGTGGAGGCTGCAGCGAGCCAAGATCATGCCATTGCACTCCAGCCTGGGCGACAGAGTGAGACTTCATCTCAAAAAAAAAAAAAAAAAAAAAAAAAAACAACCTATAGAATTACAACATCAAGAGTGAACCAATGTAAACAATGGATTTTGGGTGATAATTTATTCTGGTGTGAGATGTTGATAGTGAAGGGGATTGTGCAAGCGTGGAGGCAGAGGTATGTAGGAACTCTCTGTGCTTTCTCCTCAATGTTGATGTGAACTTAAAACTCCTCTAAAAATAGTCTTTTTAAAAAATAAATAAATAAACATTTTAAATATGTATGTTGGAAGTATGTGTACAAATCACACTGATTTTATGGGATACAAATTGGTTCTTACACTGGAATTTATATACCATACAGTTACTTAGAAAATAAATTAATGTAAACTAAGGAAAATAAAGTTTAAATTTTACTTTTTACATTTTCATCAGAGTTGCTTAACCTCACCAAACGCAGGGAAAGAAAGGAGGAATATAGGACAGAGGAGGGGAGGAGGATGGAAAAGCAATTATGCCATATTTCTATATGTGAAAAATTCACATCAAAACCCTAAGAATCACTTTTTTAGGGAGCAGTTCTCAACCTTCATTCCATTGTTAATATGATGAAGGGCTGAAATATACTTTTTGAAGAATGTTCTGATTATTTTTGTCCATAAGGAGGGCTGTGTTTTGGGCCTAACTGGAAAAGTCACTCTTCTCAAGTAAAGAAATACAAACTTCAATATTCATTTCAATCTGGTGCTCACAGAAACCACCCATGTCCATTACATGAATAAAAGCCAAGAAAATAATTATAAGCTAGGTTGAGCCGGCTCTAAAATGCAATTGCAAAATTTACAATCTGCTCTGCAGGCCTCCAATCCTACTTAAGTAACAATTCTACGTTCACATAAGTTTTTCAGTATATTCAGAGACAATTAACAGAAATGTTACTAACATATGCTTGATAAAACATTTTAAAGATGCAAAGAGCAAAGAGTTGTCTGGATTTAACATTGAAAAAGTGACTCTTATCCAAGATCAAACTACAGACAAGATGAATATTAGAAACTAGGTGAGTGGATATGTTAGATCTTAATTTTTCTTAACATGCAATACTGGTATAAGTTATTTTTTATTTTTGGTTTACTTTTTCTCAAAACAATATAGATATTGTTAGTAGCATTTTTAATCAACCATGTGCCTCAAATATCTATATAATATATGGTAGAGAGAATCCATAGATCTGTTTATTCCTAGTTTATTTTCCTACTTGGACTGAATGGGAGAAACTATAATATTTCAAAGAGAAATAGTAACATACATGTGCACACCATTTAGAATGTACATTATAAGTGATTACATTTTCTTTCTTGCACCAATTTATAATCGCCAGTGTTTAAAATCATTTCTGTGCAGTATAGAACTGAGATAAAGCAACAAGGGGTTAGTATTTGAACTGACTTTTACTATAAGGATTTCTAAACTAGTCATTTGCTTCAAAACACAGACTGACGAACAGATTGACAAGCTTTCATCATGTCCCTCTACAAGATTCTGGCCAACTGTCTGGATGACACAGCTGTCCCACCTGGGGCAAGAGGACAAAGAAATGACCTCTCTACATGGACCTTCTTCACCCACAATGCTACAAGCAAGCTAAAATAATGAGAGAAAATGATGAAAAGTCAAGATTGAAACTTTGAGAAGATATATTAGCTTACACATAAAAGCCAAAACTGTTTAACCCAAAATTGATATTTCAGCGAAGAAATTTTAAAAAATAGAAATGTAAGATTAAAAATGCCTATTCTCAGGAAATCAATCACATTGTCTCTTATGCCACACATATAAAAATAAAGACACGATCATTCAGGTTATTTAATTGCAGATATGTACAAAATAATGCCTTCAAAGAATAATTATCTGAGCTTAGGAACAGATCCTGGAAACAGCATCTTCAACAACACCATCTGGGATACTACTACATAGTCCACACGTGGTTCTTTGCCTCCCCTCAAAACCTCTGTCACCTGCCCCAAAATTTTCTCTACTAGTCTTCCCACCATAGACAGCATGTTCTTGCAACATGTTAATACTGGGTTGATTACCTACAAGGTTCCAAGTGATGTGCAAAGTGCTAGTAATTCAAAATAAAGAGAGCATGGGCCTTCTCTGAAGGAGTTTCAAGAATGGTGGGAACATAGGAGTAGACAGTTCAGTCTGTACAAAATCAGACCCAAATGTTTAAAGCCCTGTGATAGAAGAGTGTGCATGGTTCTCTGCCACATAAATCACGTATAACTGACCCAGCACAGTGTCAGGAAAGATGTGTAGGCTAGGTACTGACAATTAGACCAGGACAAGAAAGGTGTTCCTGATAGATAGAGCGGAAAGCAAAAACAAAGACTGGCAGAGGAAGTTAGTGCCCATAGAGAGCTACCTGTGTGGCTACCAGGATGTGAAAACTTTCTATGAACTGCTCTTCCTCTGAGACCCAGTAGGGGCTTAAGGCCGCCTTGAGGACACTGCTTAGCAACAGGCGAGCATGGTAACTTAGATTTTAGTCCTCTCTGATAACATGCTAATACACATAGTCCATGAATTTGTCTGACATTTTTCAACAGGGCTCAGGAGAGGTCTTAGCACAAAAAGGTTCAGTGAAGTGAGCTGCGGGCCTGCCGCTCAGGAGGATGCCAGACATTGAGTCAGAGCATCGTGAGATGGATCTTCACTGCCAGGCTGGGATGGGGTGTGGTGGCAAAGGTCTAAACAGCCAGAGTCAGACAGCAGCTCACTAGGACCACTGCGAACCAGGGGAAGCAGGTCAGGTAAATGGTCTCCCTACATGAAAAATAAATGGTCCTGTGATGGAGCAAATCTGAACTCTGGGAGTGCAACAGTAATTTATCAGCTAAATAAATATAAAATTATAAAATAAAGACAAACAGGGGAGAGGCTCTTCCAGAGATTTTACCTCCTTTTTTTCTGATCTCATTCTGTCCCTTTTCTTCTATGTTCTTGATGAAAAGAAAAAGAAAAAAAAGAGAGAAACAAAAATCAGCCTAATTAGAAATAGTGAATTATAATACACAAATCATCTCAAACAAATAGAAGATTAAACATGTTTATGTCCAAGAAATGCACAGCAAAAGCCGGAGTTGAGGATTCAGTGCATAAGCCAGATATATTTAATGTGTCTCTTAGGACCACCTCTCCCTTTTTGCTACATTTTGCTCTTTTCCTTCTCTCTCCTTACTTCTGGCCCAAGCTAACATTTCCCATTTCTCTCTTCAATATGAAGAAAAGATAGGCAGGATTCAGAGAAAGGAGGACACAGATTAAGATGATGAGAAAGTATAGGATCTAAGAAGGCAGTCGAGGAGCAAGGACAACAGGAAAGGTTTGAAGAAGGAATAAAAGGAGGACAGTAAATAGGGAGCAGATGATAACTAGTATATCATGGTTTTATTTTTAAATATTTTAGAGATTTTTTAAAAAGGAAATGAGAAAGATGAGGGATTGAGTATAGGTAGGATCAACAAATCTCACCTTTTGTTATTTTATCTAAGCCTAAATTCAAAGAAATCACAGCCTCTTGTGGGATCAACACTCATATCCTGTAGTAAGACAGGAACAAGTATAAGCCTCCTCTACATATCAATCCTGAACAAAGCTTCACATTCCCTGATTCACTGAACTTGAGTTTGTAAAATTAGCAAGGCATAATCTGAATGTTTTTATTTCATAAAATATTTTAAGGTGGGGGGCCATTAACTATAGTTTCTACAGAAAATAAAACAATAGCAGCACTACCAGCCTTTCATCTGACCACTATTAAATTTATGTCACCTCTCAAGGCTGTAAGAGAGACCTCTTTCTCCTCCCTGGTTTATTGTACCAGACTTACACTGTACTAGTGCATGCACCTGAGCAGACACAGGAAGTCTAAGGTCTTTTTGCAGTTAATGTTTACTTTTTGCTTACTATATGCCAGGCACTCCTCTATGCATTACATATTATCTCATTTAATCCTCATCACTGACTCCATGAAGTAGGTATAATATTTATCCCTTTTAAACAAAAAGGATTCAAGAAGCTTGTCCAAGGGCACACAGCCAGTAATTGGAGGAGCCAGGATAGGACCCCCAGCAATCTATGGTCAGAGTCTTTTTCTAACTTGTAAGCTATATTGCCTCTGTCTCTGCCTAGCCTGTGAGAAGCAGTTTGTAAAAGTAATACAGCAGGAAGCATAATGGAAATTTAATCACAATTCTTTGACAATAAATTGAAGTTTATACAGCATGAAATGTTTTTCAGTTTTTTAAAAAAGAACATATTCTACTTTCTGACATATTTTAAAATAGTCCTGCCCAAAAGTAGACTAGACTCTGTAGGTACAATGTGGCAGATTTGGCCTGAGACAAACACCATTTAGCCTGCCTGTTTTTTCTGCAAATTTAAGTCTGTGGGCAAATTAGAATCTATACCTAAATGTTCAAGCTTTGAAAATCCTGGTTCATATTTTGTGATGTCTTCCCTGACTTCAGTTAAAAAAAATACAAAAAAGATAATTCCCACTCCTCCTTGTATAATTTCTTCTATTTTCATCTTTTCCTGGAAAGCTTTTTACATTTCATTCTTGTGAAACAGTCCAATTTAAATCCCAGTTTTTCATGATTCTTTGGAAGCAAGCAAATTTTCATGATCTTCAATGTTTGGCATAAGAGAAGAAAAGGCAGTGAAAATAACATTTTTTTTTATTTTTCTCAATCTGTTAAGTAAAAAGAACCTAAAAAAATCTTAACAACAAATTTAATATCTGAAGAGAAAGAATCTCTGCAGGTAGAGTGGTGAAGGTGGCAATACTTGACTTTTGGTGGCTCTCACTCACTGGCCTCTGCCTAGAATTTTTAGTCCCTTGACCTGATCCCACTTCCCTCCACTTCAAGGCCTTTCCTCAAGGGCTCCTCCCACTTAGCCCATTTTTCTTTTGTAATTATCTGCAGCTTTCTGCTTAAATGTAGTTTACAGAAGAAAGATTTTTCTGGGTGCCCTCACCCGCTCAGGACCACACCAAATAAAGCTAGTTCCCTTTCTTCATGTGTTCTTGTAAACTTGATACTGTATTTTAAATAATTAGTTAAAATGTCTTTCTCTCCACCCAGACTGTAAGTCTCATGAGCATAAATATCATTCCTGTCTTGATAAGCTCCTGACTGTGCTGTAGTGCCCAATACAGCACCTGGCCGTCGATTGATGCTCACTACAAAGTCCATCTGCATCTGCACCTGTTTGAGACATGACCCCATATTAGAAACATGTGAATACCTAAATAATAAATTTATCTGGGAAGTATAAAAAATAACAAATATTCAATTTGACTCCTACACTGGTAATGGGATGTGTTATCATATGACTACCAGTTTTTCAAAAAAGAGTATAATAAAAACCAGTTAAAAGTAACCATATTATTACTATTTAAGGCTGGGCAATACAGGGATTTTTATTTAATATTATTAAGTTTGCAAATAAAATGCATTAGTAAATTTATGTCATTAAAAATAGAGCTAAACTATTTTTAATGGCTGACTTTTCATCAGAAAATTGTATTTAAAAGTTTCAGTCACAAGTTTTACTCCCTTTGGTTGCTTGATCATCTCCTATCATTACTTCAATAGCCAGTTAGTATATATTTCCCAGCAGCACCTATGGCAAACTACTCTGAAGTTTGAGACATGAATCAACCAATTTAGAGTTAAATAACTTTTAAAATTATTTTCAAACTGACAAGTTGCAATCTTTCAGAATATAATCAACCAAGAGTAAGAAAAATGAGGAAAATGTTGAATGAATAAACAAAGCTAATTCAATAATAATGAATTATTAGAAAAGAAAAAATCAAGTATGTCTCATCTTGGGGAAAGGACGGTGATAACTAAAATCAATCTGTTTCATTATTTAATGCACTCCATTATAAGTTAGGCATGTGTTACATTTGCTTGTAAATAAAATAATTGATCTTTCTTGATTTTGAAATATACTCATTCATAAAATATCAACTAATTAACTAATTTATCAAGCCTATTATTAACTTCACACATCAATATATTCTTTCCTAATATTCTCTCAGTTAATCTCTCTTCAGTGAAATATTTAGAAGTACAAAACCTTTAATTTAAAATGTCATTCCACTATATTCTTTAAAAATCAAACTGCCTCAAATACATATACATCTATAGTTTATTAAATATCTGATTACTAAGCATCATCTGATGATCACTCTCATGAGCCTCTTTTCTGGCCATTCCTGTTCTTTTTTCTGCTTCCCAGCTATAATAACCTTTTCTGTTTCTTAAATAAGCCATATTCCTTTATACTTTGAGATCTTTGCCCTTTGCTGGAAAGGTCTTCCTCTGTTCTGTGCCTCTTTATTTCCTACTACTTTCTCAGTTTGAGGTTAGCTCAAGTGCCACTTTGTGAAGGAAGCCAGCTGTGGTTTTGCCCTCTCAAGGTGCTCCAGGATTCTCCTACAAAGTACACATAACCGTAACTTTTCAAATAATTGTCAATGGTTGCTTAACAGCTATCTCTAAGGAATCACTAGTTAAAATCACTAATGAAGAATCACCAAATTGCCTGTAATCCCAGCTACCTAGAAGGCTGACACTGGAGGAATGCTTGAGCCAGGAGTTTGAGGCTGCAGTGAGCTGCAATCATGCCACTGCACTCCAGCCTGGGAAACAAAGCACGACCCCCTTTCAAAATATATATATTTAATTAATAAATCACTAAATTAAGATGTTCTGCCTTCTCCTGGAGTTGCTTACTCTTACCCACACTTAATTTTATGGAAAGGAAACATGAGAAATGAAGCCTATATCAACAGTTTCCAATGGAAATGTTTCACTAAAATGTGTAATGCTCTACAAAATAAAATTTAACATTTCAAACTCTTTAGTTCTTTCATTATGCAGTTGATCTAGGACCAACAAGCAGGCCACTCCCAAATACCATGATTAGTTAAATATCCAGGCTAGCAGGCCTCTGCTGACCTCACTAATCCACTGCCCCAAGCTTTCCTTGTCCCTATCCTACAATGGCCAGAAAGAACATGTTCCCAGGCAGTCACCTGATTACCCTCCTGGAAAAGGGATAGTCCAATACTGTTTCAGAAGGCATTTTCTTCTATCCCACCAAAATCTTTTTATTTATATGAGAAGAGCATTCTACTGTTAATTTGGGTTAGTTTTGCCAGTGAAACAAAAAACTAGTTAACATTTCACCCTCATTTGAAGAACAAGGTACATGGTGATTGATATGGTTTGGATTTGTGTCCTAACCCAAATCTCATGTCAAACTGAATCCCCAATGTTGGAGGAGGGGCCTGGTGGGAGGTGGTTTGATGATGGGGGCAGATTTCCCCCTTGCTGTTCTCATGATAGTGAGTTCTCACAAGATCTGGTTGTTCAAAAGTGTGTGGCACCTCTCCCCACTCTCCCCACTCTTTCCTCCTCTTGCTCTTACCATGTAAGACATGCCCCCTTCCTCTTCACCTTCCACCATGATTGTAAGTTTCCTGTAGCCTCACTAGCCATGCTTCCTGTACAGTCTGCAGAATCCTGAGCCAATTAAACTTCTTTTTTTTAATAAATTACCTAGTTTGAGGTATTTCTTTACAGCAGAGTAAAAACAGACTGATAAAATGATTAAGATTTTATAAGAGGACAGGGAATAAGACTTTCCCCAAAATGGAGAAACAACATGTATTTTAGAACAACTATATTTACTTGAAGTCACTTTGTTGCTGAATGGGAATTATCTAGTGAAAGAAATTCTGAACAGAAGTCAAGCCTCAAATTCTAGTTCTGGTTAGGCCATTAGCTGTGAAACCTCAAGTAAGTTATTTAACCTACCTGTGCCTCTTCCTCTTTTCTCAAAAGTAAAAGGGATGAGCTAAATGACTATTTAGGCCCTTGTAGGTTTGTGGTTCTACTTTAATTCTTAAACTAAAATACAAACAATTTGCTTCCTTATTCCCTACTCATTTAGCAAAGAAGGAAGGCAGTGTCTTCAACACCACTTCTTCAGCAGCTTGTTATATCCACACTATTATATTTAGTTTGTTTGAGGTAGCTTAATTTAACAGCACAGCTTGTCAGAAGCACTTGCATATTTACATTGTAATGGCTCTTCAGAGCAATTATGATATCAACAGAACTATTATAATTGCAATGCCGCCATAACATCTTATAGGTATAGTAGCACTAGAGATCAAATTTTTATGGCACATACTCAAGCTACTGCACAAAGCAGCAGTTTTTCCAAACATAAACAGTTGAGTATTTTTTAAACATTTTGGATTTAAAAGACTAACAGCCACTGACATACACCAGACCATGTTTCCAGTGTGGAAAGAAGATATCTTACTTAATTTTTTTTAGCTGGGGGGGTGAAGCAAGATGGCTGAATAGAACCCTCCAACAGCTGTCCCCCAACAGGAACACCATATTGAACAAACATCCACACAACACCTTCATAAGAACCAAAAATCAGATGAGTTATCACATTGCCTGGTTTTAACATTATATCAAGGAAAGAGGCACTGAAGAGGTTAGGAAGGAAAGTCTTGCATTAATCTTGCATTAACTATACCACTTTTTCTACATCTCCCAGCAGCACCACACTGCATGAAAAGAGAATCTGTGTGTACAGGGGAAGTAGAGTGAACAGATTCTGGGACTTTGCACTGGAACTCAGCATAGCCCTGTCACAGCAGAACACAACACAGGGAAGAATTCTGTCAGTGCCCACAGAGGGAGCATTTAAACTAGCACCAGCTAAAAGGAATTCTCTGTCACAGCAGCAGGAATCCAAGTTCTGGCTAGCTACAACACCAACTAACTAAAGAGCTCTGAGGTCTTGAATATATTTGAAAGGTAGTGTGGCTACAAGGACTGCAATCTTGGGAAAGTCCAGTTGCTGCACTAGATTCACAGCCAGTGGAATTGGAATGCATGCAATCCAGCGAGACACCAGTTGTGTTAGCCAAGGAAGTGCTTGGATCACCTCTACCTCATCTCCAGGAAGTGCAGCTCAGGAGAGACTCCTTTCACTTGTAGAAAGGAGAGGGAAGAGTAAAGAGAACTTTGTCTTGCAACTTGGGTACCAGGTCAGCCACATTAAAGCACCAAGCAGATTCCTGAAGCCCCCAATTCCAAGCCCTAGCTCCTGGACAGCATTTCTAGACTTACCCTGGGCCAGAAGGGAACGTCCTGCATGGAAGGAAAGGATCCATTACTGGCAGGATTTACTACTGGCTTACTAAAGAGCTCTTAGGCTTTGAATAAAATCAGCAGTATCTAGGCAGTAGTCACCATGGGCCTTGGACAGGACCCAGAAATGTGCAGGCTTCAGGTGTGACCCACTGCAGTCCCAGCTATAGTGGCCATGAGGGTGCTTGGGTCACCTATCCCCCAACTTCAGGCACTCCAGCATGGAGAGAGAGACTCTTTCTCTTTGGGGGAATGCGAATGAAAAGAATGAAAGACTGCCAGGTAATGTGGGGAATTCTCCTCAATGGTATCGAAGCAACCCAAGGTGTAAGAGTCTGCAAGAGCCACAGTATTCCTGGCCTTGGAGCACTTCATACTGCAGATAGACCTGCAGTGACCAAAGACTTAGATCACAACACAAAATTCCCTTTGAATTTCTGGAAAGCATTCTTAAGAAGGATGAAGTCCAGACTTCAAAGATTAAATACCTAATTCTTTAATACCCAGACATTGACAATTATCCAAAAGCATAAAAAAATCCAGGAAAACATGACCTCACCAAATGAACTAAATAAGGCACCAACAACCAATCATGGAGAGACAGAGATATGTGACCTTTCAGACAGAGAATTCAAACTAGCCATTCTGAGAAAGCTCAATGAGCTTCAAGAAAACAAAGAGAAGGAATTTAGAATCCTATCAGAGGAATTTAACGGAGATTGAAATAACAAAAAAAATTCAAGCAGAAATTCTGGAGCTGGAAAACTCAATTGATACATTAAAAATGCATCAGGGTCTCTCATTAGCAGAAATGGTCAAGCAAAGGAAAGAATTAGTGATCTTGCAGGCAGTCTATTTGAAAATACACAGCCAGAGGAAACAAAAGAGAAAAGAATAAAAAAGAATTAAACACATTTCCAGGATTTAAAAAATAACTTCAAAAGGAAAATCCAATAGTTATTGGCCTGAAAGAGAAACTAGAGAGACAGATCAGGGTAGAAATGTATTCAAATAAATAATAACAGAAAATTCTCCCAACTTAAGAGAAAGATATCCAGCTACAAGAAGGTCATGGAACACCAAGCAATTTTAACCCAAAGAAGACTATTTCAAGGCATTTACTAATCAAACTCTCAAAAGTCATGGATAAGAAAGGATCCTGGCTGGAGCCAAGACGGCCGAATAGAAACAGCTCCGGTCTACAGCTCCCTGCATGAGCGACGCAGAAGACGGGTGATTTCTGCATTTCCATATGAGGTACCGGGTTCATCTCACTAGGGAGTGCCAGACAGTGGGCGCAGGACAGGGGGTGCAGCACACTGTGCGCGAGCTGAAGCAGGGTGAGGCATTGCCTCACTCGGGAAGCGCAAGGGGTCAGGAAGTTCCCTTTCCTAATCAAAGAAAGGGGTGGCAGACAGCACCTGGAAAATTAGGTCACTCCCAACCTAATACTGCGCTTTTCCGATGGGCTTAAAAAACGGCGCAGAAGGAGATTATATCCCACACATGGCTCTGAGGATCCTACACCCAAGGAGTCTCGCTGATTCCTAGCACAGCAGTCTGAGATCAAACTGCAAGGTGGCAGCGAGGCTGGGGGAGGGGCGCCTGCCATTGCCCAGGCTTGCTTAGGTAAACAAAGCAGCCCGGCAGCTCGAACTGGGTGGAGCCCACCACAGCTCAAGGAGGCCTGCCTGCCTCTGTAGGCTCCACCTCTGGGGGCAGGGCACAGACAAACAAAAAGACAGCAGTAAACTCTGCAGACTTTAATGTCCCTGTCTGACAGCTTTGAAGAGAGCAGTGGTTCTCCCAGCACGCAGCTGGAGATCTGACAATGGGCAGACTGCCTCCTCAAGTGGGTCCCTGACCCCTGACCCCCGAGCAGCCTAACTGGGAGGCACCCACCAGTAGGGGCAGACTGACACCTCACACGGCTGGCCGGGTACTCCTCTGAGATAAAACTTCCAGTGGAAGGATCAGACAGCAGCATTCGCGGTTCACGAAAATCCGCTGTTCTGCAGCCACCACTGCTGGTACCCAGGCAAACAGGGTCTGGAGTGGACCTCTAGCAAACTCCAACAGACCTGCAGCTGAGGGTCCTGTCTGTTAGAAGGAAAACTAACAAACAGAAAGGACATCCACACCAAAAACCCATCTGTACATCACCATCATCAGAGACCAAAAGTAGATAAAACCACAAAGATGGGGAAAAAACAGAGCGGAAAAACTGGAAACTCTAAAAAGCAGAGCGCCTCTCCTCCTCCAAAGGAAAGCAGCTCCTCATCAGCAACAGAACAAAGCTGGATGGAGAATGACTTTGACGAGTTGAGAGAAGAAGGCTTCAGACGATCAAATTACTCTGAGCTACAGGAGGAAACTCAAACCAAAGGCAAAGAATTTGAAAACTTTGAAAAAAATTTAGACGAATGTATAACTAGAATAACCAATACAGAGAAGTGCTTAAAGGAGATGATGGAGCTGAAAGCCAAGGCTCGAGAACTACGTGAAGAATGCAGAAGCCTCAGGAGCCGATGTGATCAACTGGAAGAAAGGGTATCAGTGATGGCAGGTGAAATGAATGAAATGAAGTGAGAAAGGAAGTTTAGAGAAAAAAGAATAAAAAGAAAAGAACAAAGCCTCCAAGAAATATGGGACTATGTGAAAAGACCAAATCTACATCTGATTGGTGTACCTGAAAGTGATGGGGAGAATGCAACCAAGTTGGAAAACACGCTGCAGGATATTATCCAGGAGAACTTCCCCAATCTAGCAAGGCAGGCCAACATTCAGATTCAGGAAATACACAGAATGCCACAAAGATACTCCTCGAGAAGAGCAACCCCAAGACACATAATTGTCAGATTCACCAAAGTTGAAATGAAGGAAAAAATGTTAAGGGCAGCCAGAGAGAAAGGTCGGGTTACCCACAAAGGGAAGCCCATCAGACTAACAGTGGATCTCTCGGCAGAAACTCTACAAGCAAGAAGAGAGTGGGGGCCAATATTCAACATTCTTAAAGAAAATAATTTTCAACCCAGAATTTCATATCCAGCCAAACTAAGCTTTGTAAGTGGAGGAGAAATAAAATACTTTACAGACAAGCAAATGCTGAGAGATTTTGTCATCACCAGGCCTGCCCTAAAAGAGGTCCTGAAGGAAGCACTAAACGTGGAAAGGAACAAGTGGTACCAGCCACTGAAAAATCATGCCAAATTGTAAAGACCATCGAGGCTAGGAAGAAACTGCATCACCTAACGAGCAAAATAACCAGCTAACATCATAATGACAGGATCAAATTCACACATAACAATATTAACTTTAAATGTAAATGGGTTCAATGCTCCAATTAAAAGACACAGACTGGCAAATTGGATAAAGAGTCAAGACCCATCAGTGTGCTGTATTCAGGAAACACATCTCATGTGCAGAGACACACATAGGCTCAAAATAAAAGGATGGAGGAAGATCTACCAAGCAAATGGAAAGCAAAAAAAGGTGGGGGTTGCAATCCTAGTCTCTGATAAAACAGACTTTAAACCAACAAAGATAAAAAGAGACAAAGAAGGCCATTACATAATGGTAAAGGGATCAATTCAACAAGAAGAGCTAACTATCCTAAATATATATGCACCCAATACAGGAGCACCCAGATTCACAAAGCAAGTCCTGAGTGACCTACAAAGAGACTTAGACTCCCACACAATAATAATGGGAGACTTTAACACCCCACTGTCAACATTAGACAGATCAACGAGACAGAAAATTAACAAGGATACTCAGGAATTGAACTCAGCTCTGCACCAAGCACACCTAATAGACATCTACAGAACTCTCCATCCTAAATCAAAAGAACATACATTTTTTTCAGCACCACACCATACCTATTCCAAAACTGACCACATACTTGGAAGTAAAGCTCTCCTCAGCAAATGTAAAAGAACAGAAATTATAACAAACTGTCTCTCAGACCACAGTGCAATCAAACTAGAACTTAGGATTCAGAAAATCACTCAAAACCGCTCAACTACATGGAAACTGAACAACCTGCTCCTGAATGACTACTGGGTACATAAAGAAATGAAGGCAGAAATGAAGATGTTCTTTGAAACCAATGAGAACAAAGACACAACATACCAGAATCTCTGGGACACATTTAAAGCAGTGTGTAGAGGGAAATTTATAGCACTAAATGCCCACAAGAGAAAGCAGGAAAGATCCAAAATTGACAGCCTAACATCACAATTAAAAGAACTAGAAAAGCAAGAGCAAACACGTTCAAAAGCTAGCAGAAGGCAAGAAATAACTAAAATCAGAGCAGAACTGAAGGAAATAGAGACACAAAAAACCCTTCAAAAAATTAATGAATCCAGGAGCTGGTTTTTTGAAAGGATCAACAAAATTCATAGACTGCTAGCAAGACTAATAAAGAAGAAAAGAGAAAAGAATCAAATAGACGCAATACAAAATGATAAAGGGGATATCACCACTGATCCCATAGAAATACAAACTACCATCAGAGAATACTACAAACACCTCTACGCAAATAAACTAGAAAATCTAGAAGAAACGGATAAATTCCTCGACACATACACCCTCCCAACACTAAACCAGGAAGAAGTTGAATCTCTGAATAGACCAATAACAGGATCTGAAATTGAGGCAATAATCAATAGCTTACCAACCAAAAAGAGTCCAGGACCAGATGGATTCACAGCCGAATTCTACCAGAGGTACAAGGAGGAACTGGTACCATTCCTTCTGAAACTATTCCAATCAATAGAAAAAGAGGGAATCCTCCCTAACTCATTTTATGAGGCCAGCATCATCCTGATACCAAAGCCAGGCAGAGACACAACGAAAAAAGAGAATTTTAGACCAATATCCTTGATGAACATTGATGCAAAAATCCTCAGTAAAATACTGGCAAACTGAATCCAGCAGAACATCAAAAAGCTTATCCAGCATGATCAACTCAGCTTCATCCCTGGGATGCAAGGCTGGTTCAACAAATGCAAATCAATAAATGTAATCCAGCATATAAACAGAACCAAAGACAAAAACCACATGATTATCTCAATAGATGCAGAAAAGGCCTTTGACAAAATTCAACAACCCTTCATGCTAAAAACTCTCAATAAATTAGGTATTCATGGGACGTATCTCAAAATAATAAGAGCTATCTATGACAAACCCATAGCCAATATCATACTGAATGGGCAAAAACTGGAAGCATTCCCTTTGAAAACTGGCACAAGACAGGGATGCCCTCTCTCACCACTCCTATTCAACATAGTGTTGGAAGTTCTGGCCAGGGCAATCAGGCAGGAGAAGGAAATAAAGGGTATTCAATTAGGAAAAGAGGAAGTCAAATTGTCCCTGTTTGCAGATGACATGATTGTATATCTAGAAAACCCCATTGTCTCAGCCCAAAATCTCCTTAAGCTGATAAGCAACTTCGGCAAAGTCTCAGGATACAAAATCAATGTGCAAAAATCACAAGCATTCTTATACAGCAATAACAGACAAACAGAGAGCCAAATCATGAGTGAACTCCCATTCACAATTGCTTCAAAGAGAATAAAATACTTAGGAATCCAACTTACAAGGGATGTGAAGGACCTCTTCAAGGAGAATTACAAACCACTGCTCAATGAAATAAGAGAGGATACAAAGAAATGGAAGAACATTCCATGCTCATGGGTAGGAAGAATCAATATTGTGAAAATGGCCATACTGCCCAAGGTAATTTATAGATTCAATGCCATCCCCATCAAGCTACCAATGCCTTTCTTCACAGAATTGGAAAAAGCTACTTTAAAGTTCATATGGAACCAAAAAAGAGCCCGCATCGCCAAGTCAATCCTAAGCCAAAAGAACAAAGCTGGAGGCATCACACTACCTGACTTCAAACTATACTACAAGGCTACAGTAACCAAAACAGCACGGTACTGGTACCAAAACAGAGATATAGATCAATGGAACAGAACAGAGCCCTCAGAAATAACGCTGCATATCTACAACTATCTGATCTTTGACAAACCTGAGAAAAATAAGCAATGGGGAAAGGATTCCCTATTTAATAAATGGTGCTGGGAAAACTGGCTAGCCATATGTAGAAAGCTGAAACTGGATCCCTTCCTTACACCTTATACAAAAATTAATTCAAGATGGATTAAAGACTTACATGTTAGACCTAAAACCATAAAAACCCTAGAAGAAAACCTAGGCATTACCATTCAGGACATAGGCATGGGCAAGGACTTCATGTCTAAAACACCAAAAGCAATGGCAACAAAAGCCAAAATTGAAAAATGGGATCTAATTAAACTAAAGAACTTCTGCACAGCAAAAGAAACTACCATCAAAGTGAACAGGCAACCTACAGAATGGGAGAACATTTTCGCAACCTACTCATCTGATAAAGGACTAATATCCAGAATCTACAATGAACTCAAACAAATTTACAAGAAAAAAACAAACAACCCCATCAAAAAGTGGGTGAAGGACATGAACAGACACTTCTCAAAAAGTGGTAAAAGACATTTATGCAGCCAACAGACACATGAAAAAATGCTCATCATCACTGGCCATCAGAGAAATGCAAATCAAAACCACAATGAGATACCATCTCACACCAGTTAGAATGGCAATCATTAAAAAGTCAGGAAACAACAGGTGCTGGAGAGGATGTGGAGAAATAGGAACACTTTTACACTGTTGGTGGGACTCTAAACTAGTTCAACCATTGTGGAAGTCAGTGTGGCGATTCTTCAGGGATCTAGAACTAGAAATACCATTTGACCCAGCCATCCCATTACTGGGTATATACCCAAAGGACTATAAATCATGCTGCTATAAAGACACATGCACACGTATGTTTACTGCGGCACTATTCACAATAGCAAAGACTTGGAACCAACCCAAATGTCCAACAACGATAGACTGGATTAAGAAAATGTGGCACATATACACCATGGAATACTATGCAGCCATAAAAAATGATGAGTTCATGTCCTTTGTAGAGACATGGATGAAATTGGAAATCATCATTCTCAGTAAACTATCGCAAGAACAAAAAACCAAACACCGCATATCCTCACTCATAGGTGGGAACTGAAGAATGAGAACACATGGACACAGGAAGGGGAACATCACACTCTGGGGACTGTTGTGGGGTGGGGGGAGGGACGAGGGATAGCTTTAGGCGATATGCCTAATGCTAAATGACGACTTAATGGGTGCAGCACACCAGCATGGCACATGTATACATATGTAACTAACCTGCACATTGTGCACATGTACCCTAAAACTTAAAGTATAATAATAATAATTAAAAAAATAAAAAAAGATGTAAAACATTCAAAATAAAAAAAAAAAAGAAAGGATCCTAAAGTAGCAAGAGAAAGAAACAAATAACATACAAATGAGCTTCAATATATCTGGCAGCAGACTTCTCAGCAGAAAACTTATGGTCCAGGAAAGAATGGCATGACATATTCAAAGTGCTAGAATATTCTATTTTTGTCTCCATAATTCCGATTACCAGTGAGCTTTGCACCTTCAGGTAATTTCTTATTGCTCATTAACATAATTTTCTTTCAGACTGATAAACTCTCTTTAGCATTTCTTATAGGACATGTCCTATAAGTTTGAGATATCAAAATATACCACCTGAGAAAATCATATTCACTAAAAGAAAGACAAAAAGGAGGAGAAGACCATAAAATAACCAGAAAACAAATAACAAAATGAGAGGAGTAATTCCTTACTTATCAATAACAACACTGAATGTAAATGGACTAAACTAACCAATCAAAGGACATAGAGTGGCTGGATAATTTTTTTAATAAAAGACCCAACAATCTATAGCCTACAAGAAACATAGTTTGCCTACCAAGACACACAGATTGAAATAAAGAAATAAAAAAAGATATTTCATGCCAACAGAAACCAAAAAAGAGCAGGGTTATCTATGTTTATGAGACAAAATAGATTTCACAAAGAAAACTGAGACAGAGAAGCTTATTATATAATGATAAAGCAGTCAGTTCAACAAAAGGTTGAATTTCTTTATAAATTAGGAAACACAATCATGACAAAAGGGAAAGCAGGCATCTTCTTCAAAGGCAGCAGGAGAGAGAGAGAGAGAGCACCCTCTGAAGCAACGGCCAGAGCAGTACCTTGGCCCGTTTCAGCCACAGCTGGGATGAAGGGCACCAAGCCCCAAGGCTGCACTAAGCATCAAGGGCCTAGGCCTGGATTATGAAACAGTTTTTTCCTCCTATACCTCCAGGTCAGTTTTTTCCTCCTATGCCTCCAGGTCTCTGATGGCCTGAAGACATTTTCCCCATTGTCTTGGTAATTAACATTCAATTTCTCATTACTTATGCAAATTTCTGCAGCTGGCTTAAATTTCTCCCCAGAATATAGGTTTTTCTTTTCTATCTCATCATCAGGCTGCAAATTTTCCAAACTTTTATGTTCTGTTTCCCTTTTAAACATAAGTTCCAATTTCAAACTCTTTCTCTGTGAATATGTACAACTGAATACTTTCAGAATAATCCAGGTCACGTCTTGAATACTTTGCTACTTAGAAATGTCTTCCTCCAGATACCCTAAATCATCTCACTCAAGTTGTTCAAAGTTCCACAGATTTCTAGGGCAGGGGCAAAATGCCACAAGTCACTCTACTAAAGCATAGCATAAGTGACTTTCACTCTGGTTTCCAAGAAATTCTTCATCTCCATCTGAGACCACTCAGCCTGGACTTCATTGTTCGTATCACTATCAGCATTTTGGTCAAAACCATTCAACAGGTCTTTAAGAAGCTCCAAACTTTCCCACATCTTCCTGTCTTCTTCTGAGCCATCCAAACTGTTCCAACCTCTGCCTGTTACCCAGTTCCAAAGTCACTTCCACATTTTCTTTTATTATTATTATTATTATTATTATTATACTTTAAGTTTTAGGGTACATGTGCACAACGTGCAGGTTTGTTACATATGTATACATGTGCCATGTTGGTGTGTTGCACCCATTAACTCATCATTTAGCATTAGGTATATCTCCTAATGCTATCCCTCCCCCCACCCCACAACAGTCCCCGGTGTGTGATGTTCCCCTGCCTGTGTCCATGTGTTCTCATTGTTCAATTCCCACCTATGAGTGAGAACATGCGGTGTTTGGTTTTTTGTCCTTGCGATAGTTTGCTGAGAATGATAGTTTCCAGCTTCATCCATGTCCCTACAAAGGACATGAACTCATCATTTTTTATGGCTGCATAGTATTCCATGGTGTATATGTGCCACATTTTCTTAACATTTTCAAGTATCTTCATAGCAGTGCCCACTACCTCAGTGCCAATTTACTGTATTAGTTCATTCTCACACTGCTATAAAGACACTATCCAGGACTGGGTAATTTATAAAGAAAGGATATTTAATTGACTTACAGTTTTGTCAATTCCTAGTGACAAATTTTCTTTATAAATTTGGAAACACAATCATGACAAAAGGGAAAGCAGGCATCTTCTTCAAAGGCAGCAGGAGAGAGAGTGTGAGCGAGTGAAGAAGGAACTGTCACACACTTATAAAACCAATCAGATCTTGTGAGAACTCACTCACTACCACAACAACAGCATAGGGGAAACTGCCCCCATGATCCAATCGCTTCCCACCAGGTCCCTCCCTTGACATGTGGGGATTACAGGTCTCTCCCCTTGACACATGGGGATTACAATTCAAGATGAGATTTGGATGGGGACACAGAGCCAAACCATATCAGGAATTATGGAAACTATACAAACACATGGAAATTAAACAATATGCTCTTGAATGACCAGTGGGTCGATGAAGAAATTAAGAAGAAAATTTAAAAATTTCTTGGAACAAATGAAAATAGAAATGCAGCATACCAAAACCTATAAGATACAGCAGAAGCGTAGTAAGAGGACAGTTTATATCAATAAACACCTACATTAAAAAGTAGGAAACATCAAATAAACAACCTAACAATGTATCTTGAAGAAATAAAAAAAAAAACAAAGCAAAGCAAACTCAAAATTAGTAGAAAAAAAGAAATTGTAACAAAGATGAGAGCAGAAATAAATGATATTAAAAAAATACAAAAGATCAATGAAACAAAAAGTTGATTTTAAAAAAGATAAACAAAATAAAACACTTTAGCCAGTCTTAGAAAAAAAGAAGACCCAAATAAATAAAATCAAAGATGAAAAAGGAGACACATACATATATGTTGCATATGTCTATGTATATGTACATAGACTAAGATTGAACCATAAAGAAATCCAATACCTGAACAGGCTAATAACAAGTAATGAGATTGAAGTCATAATACATGTTTTGCCAAACATTTATTGGAAAGACTAATACAAATTCTACTCAAACTATTCCAAAATACTGAAGAAGAGGTAATCATTCCAAACTTATTCACCGAGGCTAGTATTACCCTGATACCAAAACCAGACAAAGACACATTTAAAAAAAAAAGAAAACTATAGATCAGTATCCCTGATGAACATAGATGCAAATATTCTCAACAAAATACTAGTAAACCAAATTCATCAACACAGTAAAAGGACCAGTCATCATAACCAAGTGGGATTTATTCCAGGAATGCAAAAATGGTTCAACATAGACAAATCAACAAATGTGGTACTTCACATCAACAGTATGAAGGACAAAAACCATATGATTATCTTAACTAATGCTGAAAAAGCATTTGATAAAATCCAACAATCCTTCATGATAAAAACTGTCAAAAAAACCTGTTATAAAAGAAACATACCTCAACACAATAAAAGCCATATATGACAGACCCACATACTGAATGGGGAAAAACTAAAAGCCTTTTTTCTAAGATCTGAAACAAGACAAGGATGCCCTCTATCACCATTGTTATTCAGCATTGTACTGAAAGTCCTAGCTATAGCAATTGGAGAGGAGAAAGAAAAAAAAGACATCCAAATTGAAATAGAAGAAGTGAAATTATCCTTGTTTTCAGCTGACAGGATCTTTATCTAGAAAAACCTAAAGACCACCAAAAAACTATTAGAAGTGATAAACAAATCTGGTAAAGTTGGAGAATACAAAATCAACATACAAAAATCAGTAGCATTTCTATATGGCAACAGTGAACTATTAAAAAAAGAAATCCAAAAAGTAATGCCATTTGCATTAGCTACAAATAAAATCAAATTCTTAAGAATAAACTTAACCAAGGAAGTGAAAAATCTCTACAATGAAAACTATAAAACTTGAATAAAGAAATTAAAGAATACACAAAAATATGCAAAGATATTCCATGTTCATAGATTAGAAAAATTAATATTGTTAAAATATCCATACTTCCCAAAGCAATCTATAGATTCACTGCAATCTCTATCAAAATACCAATGAAATTCCTAACAGAAATAGATAAAATAAAACTAAAATTTATATGAAACCACAAAAAGCCCAGAATAGCCAGAGCCATTCTGAGCAAAAAGTATAAAATTGGATGAATCACAGTACCTGACTTCAAATTATACTACAGAGCCATAGTAGTCAAAACAGCATGGTACTGGCATTTTGTGATAGACAAATGGAACAGAATAGAGAGCCTAGAAATAAATCCACACATTTACAGTGTGCTCATTTTCAACAAAAGTGCCAAGAACATATATTGGGGTAAAACAGTGTCTTCTATCAATGGTCCTTGGAACACTGGCTATCCATATGAGAATAATGAAACTAGACACCTATGTCTTGCCATATACCAAAATCAAATTGAAATAGATTAAAGAGAAATATAAGCCCTGAAACTATGAAACTACTAGAATAAAACATTGGGAAATTTATCTAGGACATTTGACTGGGCAAAAAGTTCTTGAGTAAAACCTCAGAAGCACAGGCAACCAAAGCAAAAATGGACAAATGAGATCACATCAAGCTAAAAAGCTTCTGCACAGCAAAGGACAAATATCAGCAAAGTGAAGAGACAACACAGAATGAGAGAAAATATTTGCAAACTACTCATCTGACAAGGGATTAATAACCAGAATACATAAAGAGCTCAAACAACTCTATAGGAAAAAACTAATAATCTGATTTTAAAATGGGCTAAGATATAAATAGAAATTTCTTAAAAGAAGACATATAAATGGCAACCAGTTTTTTTTTAATTTTTAATTTCCATAGGTTTTTGGGGAACAGATGGTATTTGGTTAGATGAGTAAGTTCTTTAGCGGTGATTTGTGAGATTTTGGTGCACCCATCTCCTGAGCAATATACACTCAACCCTATTTGTAGTCTTTTATCCCTCATCCCCGTTTCACCCTTTTACCCCGAATCCCCAAAGTTCATTATGTCATTCTTATGCCTTTGCATCCACTTATATCATTATAATTATGATCATTATATCATTATATCACCCACTTGTATCATTCTTATACCTTAGCTCCCAGTTATGAGTGAGAACATATGATGTTTGGTTCTCCATTCCTGAGTTACTTCACTTCGAATAATAGTCTCCAACCCCATCCAGGTTGCTGCAAATGCCATTAATTCATTCCATCTTGTGGCTGAGTAGTATGCCATCATATATACATATACCACAGTTTATTCACTCACAACCAGGTATATTTTTTTAAATGCTCAACATCATTGATCATCAATGATCAATGATCAGTCTTCAGAAATGCAGATCAGAACTAAAATAAGAGATTATTTTATCCCAGTTAAAATCACTTTCATCCAAAAGACAGCCAATAATGAATGCTGAAAAGGATGTGAAGAAAGGGGAACCCTTGTACACTGTTGGTGGAAATGGAAAAGTACAGCTACTATGGAGAACAATAAAGAGGTTCCTCAAAAAAACTGTGAACAGTATTAACATTTCCAGCAAGCTCACTGCTAAGTACATACTAAAAAGAAAATTAAAAAGAAAGGAGGCCAGCCATGGTGGTGCATGCCTGAAATCCCACCACTTTGGGAGGCCGAGACAGGCAGATCACCTGAGGTCAGGAGTTCGAGACCAGCCTGACAAACATAGTGAAACCTCACCTCTACTAAAATATAAAAACATTAGCCGGGCATGGTGGCAGGTGCCTGTAATCCCAGCTACTTGGGAGGCTGAGGCAGGAGAATCGCTTGAACCCAGGAGACAGAGGTTGCAGTGAGCCGAGATGTGCCACTGCACTCCAACCTGGGTGACAGACAAGACTGTCAAAAAAAAAAAAAGAGAGAGAGAAGAAAGAAAGAGAGAGAGGGAGAAAGAAAGAAAGAGAGAAAAAAGGAAACAAGTATGTCAAAGCGATATCTGCACCCCCATGTTTTTTGTAGCACTATTCACAATAGCCAAGATTTGGAATCAAGCTATGTGTACATCAACAGATGAATGGGTAAAGAAACTGTAGTACGTATACACTATGGAATACTATTCAGCCATTAAATAAAATACAGTCCTGTCATTTGCAACAACATGGTAGAACTGGAGAACATTATGTTAAGTAAAATAAATGAGGCAAAGAAAGACAAATTTCTCATGTTCTCACTCATATGTGAAAGATAAAAATTAAAACAATTGATCTCACGCAGATAGAGACTAGAATGATGCTTACCAGTGGCTAGGAAGAGTAGAGGGAGGCAGGAGAAAAAAAAGTGGGGATGGTTAATGGGTCCAAAAATATAGTTAAATAGAATGAATAAGATTTAGTGTTTGATAGCATAACAAGGTGACTATAGTGAACAATAATTATTGTACGTTTTTTAATAACTAAAAGAGTTGAATTGGAATGTCCCTAATACAAAGAAATGGTAAATGCTTGAGATGATATATACCCCAATTACCATGATGTGATTATTATACATGATATGCCTTTATCAGAATACATGTACCCCATGCGTATATACACCTATTACGTACTCATAGTAATTAAAAATTTAAAAGTTATTTTAAAATAAATTTGTTTATGAAACAATCATAATACATATATCATAGCCTACTTGGCTGTTCCACAACTGCAAAATGGTTTAGCCTAGGCATACTGCTTTGGGCCAAGGTTATGAAGGTCTAAACCAAAAGAAAATTATTATATTCAATTCATTAATATTAAGTGACTGGAACAATAAACTAATTTATGTTTTAGATTTGACAATATATTTTTCTCAGATTTTCAGATATCCTAGAAATCTAACTCAAATACTCTTTCGTAAGTTTCATGCTACAGAAAACAAAGTATGTGGGGAGGTGATGGTATGGGAGAAAAAGGATGTGTGTGTCCCTTACTAAAGGAAGATTCTATCTCTATGACATGTCTTTTTTTGGCCCAAGTCAATGGAGTGAGCAAGGGAAGAACTGAGGAACTCTGACAAGTCAGAGTTACTGGGAAAAAGAATATGGAGATATAGAAGGGAGAAATCAAGAGCTGAAGAAATTTTTAGGGCATTCAGAGAGAGGGAGCTCAGAGATTTAAGGGACGGAGTTCATTCGTGTGAGAAGTGGTGGGAGTGGGAGATTTAGCTGAGATTTATTATTTCAATCCCACTTGGCATGCTTCAAGAGACTCAAGTGAATATTTTATTGCTTTTCAGAATATTTGGCAATTGATCTGGTTTTGTTCTTGACGGCTAACATCTCAAGCGTGGGCCTTAAAACTGCTTAAATTTATCTGTATTATATTTATATTTTACAAAGTAATAAAACCAGTTACTAAGAGACTAAGAGTTCTGCAATACAACAAGTTTCTGGAGGGATGGTATTATTCATCTCACCACATATTTCCAGTTCTTAGCCAGACAAGGTGTTCAATAAACATTTGTAGAATAGAAGATGGATGAGTGGAAGGTTTCCTTATACACACAGCAGATAAAGCAATTGAACAGAAAATGTAAGCAAAACAAAAAGTTCACATAATATTTTTCTCCATTATTTCAAAATTTAGGTGAAAGTTACTCTAGGTCTGAATTATTGCAGATAATTTTCTCAATTCTTTATTTCACTTTTTATGACTTAAATAAATGTTTTATTTCATTAATTTCTCTGTGTGCTAAATTTGTATTAGATAATAGAAATCACTCACAAATAACAACCTTGTTTGTCAAGTGGGACCAAATTAGTCTGCTTCTTCAGTAAATTATGAATACAAAGAATGGGTTTAATTCAAGTCACACAGTGGGTCTGTGGCAAAATAAGGATCCAAAGGACGAACTTCGATTACATCTAAACCTGGTTTGCCCCTGAGGCACAATTTTCTGCAAAAGGCAGCAGATGTTTTGTATCTTTATCACAATTTCAGAAATCACTACATGACGTGGAATTAGTATTAAGCAGTCACTTAAAAGAAAAATATCCTTGATGGCAACAATACAACACTGGTAGATTTGAAAGTCATAATTTGGAGGGGGTCAAAATGGCCAAGTGGAAGCAGTGGTGTGTGGCTCTCACAGAGAGAAACAGAAGAGGCGAGTGAATACAGCACCTTCAACTGAGATATCCAGGTATTCACATTGGGACTGACCAGGAAAACAGCTCAACCCATGGAGAATGAAGAAAAACAGGGGGAGGTGACAGCCCACCAGGGAGTGATACAGAGCCAAAGGACCCCCACTCCCAGTGAATGGAAGCTGTGAGAGAATGTGCAAGCCTGGGAAGCCACAATTCTCCCATGGATCTTCGCAACCCTCAGATCAGGAGATACCCTCATGAGTCCATGCCACCAGGGCCTTGGGTCTAACACACAGAGCTGTGTGGAGTCTCAGCAAATCAGCTGCTCATGTATGCACAGAGAGCCAGGGGCTTTACATACTCCAGCCCCAGGATCCCTGGCAAAGTGGGAGGTCCATATATGCCCCTAGGAAAGAGACTGAATCCAGGAGGCCAAGCAGCATCAGTCTGCAGGCCCCACTTCTACCACAACTCACATGATAAGACCCACTGGCTTGGAATTCCAGCCAGCCACCGGCAACAGGGTGAGGCCTGCCTGAGATGGGACAGAGTGCCTGGGGGTAGAGGCAGGCCGCCATCTCTGCTGTTTTGCCAACTCAGCCATTCCAGCCTGTGGGCTTTGGAGAGTCCAAATGGTCCAGATGAGAAAGGGTCCCCCCAGCACAGCACAGCTGCTTTGCTAGAACGTGGCTAAACTGCTTCTTTGAGTGGATCCCTGATCCATTCCTTCTCACTGAGTGGGGCCTCCCAGCCACGGCCTTCAGCTACCCCACCTGCCCATATTCTACAGATGGAGCTCTGATCTCTCTGTGAATGGAGTGTCCAGGGAGAGGGGTAGGCCACAACCTTGGTTGTTTGGACCACTCAGCTGTTCTAGCCTGTGGGCTTTGGAGAGTCCAAGCCAACCAGGGCAGAAGTGGTCACCCAGCACAGCACAGCTGCTTTGTCAAGGCATGGCCAGACTTCTTCTTTAAATGGGACCCCAATCCACTCTTCCTTATGGGGTGGGTCCTCCCAGCTGGGATAACCTCCAGCTATCCCCACCTGTATTCTACAGACACAGTTCTGATTTCTCCCTGGTACCAAGCGCCTGAGGGGAGAAGCTAGTGGCCATCTTTGGCAGCTCTGCCGTTTCAGCCTGCAGGCTTTGGAAGTCCAAGCCAACCCGGGGCAGAGGTGGTTCATCAGCTGTTTGTCAAGGTGTGGCCAGACTGCTTCTATAAATGCTACCCAGATCCATTCCTCCTGAGTCCTCCCAGCTAAGGCCCCCAGCCACCCCAACCCATGTTCTACAGCTAACAGAGATCTAATTTCTCCTTGGGACAGAGTGCCTGGGAGTGCAGGGCAGGCCACCTCCTTTGCTGTTTCAGCATCTCAGCCAGTCCATCATGTGGCCTTGGAGAGCCCAAACTGATCAGAAGCTGAAGGGATCCTCAACACTGCACAGCTGCTCTACCAAAATGCAGCCAGACTGCTCCTTTAAGCAGGTCCTAATCCTGTTCCTCCTGACTGGATGAGACCTTCCAACTGGGATCTCCAGCCACCTCCTACAGGCATGTTCAGGCCAGCAATAGGTCAATACCCCTATGGGACAGAGCTTCCAGCAGAAGGGGCAGGCTGCCAACTTTGCTGTTTCACATCCTTCACTAATGATACCTCCAGGTAATGGAAAAACTGAGGTGACTAGGGTCTGGAGGGGACTCTCAGAAAACCATAGCAGCCCCACAGAAGAGTATTAAAACAAAAACAAACAAACAACAACGACAAACACAAAAACCTCACCCAAAGGTCAGCAACCTCAAAGATCGAAGGTAGATAAGCCAAAAATATGAGAAAGGATCAGGCAAAATGCTGAAAACTTGAAAAGCCAGAGTGGTCCCTTTCCTCTAAATGACCACAACACCTCTCCAGCAAGGGTTCAGAAATGGGTTGAGGCTGAGATGGCTAAAAAGGCAGAAGTAGGCATCAGAATGTGGATAAGGAAAAACTTTGCTGAGCTAAAGGACCATATTGTAACCCAATGCAAAGAAGCTAAGAAACATGACAAAACAATGCAGGAGCTAACAATCAAAATAGCCAGTAGAGAGAGGAACATAATCTACCTGATAGAGCTGAGAAACACACTACAAGAACTTCACAATGTAATCACAAATATTAATAGCAGAATAGACCAAGCAGAGGAAAGAATATCAGAGCTTGAAGACCATATTTCTGAAATAAGACAGGAAGACAAGAATGGAGAGAAAAGAATGAAAAGGAATAAACAAAGCCTACAAGAAATATGGAATTATGTAAAACAAATTGAATCTACAATTGATTAGGGTACATGAAAGAGATGGGGAAAATGGAACAAATTTGGAAAACATATTTTCAGTACATCATCCAGGAGAACCTCCTCAACCTAGCTAGACAGGCTAACATTCAAATTTAGGAAATACAGAGAACCCCAGTAAGATACTCCATGAGATCATCCCCAACACACATAATCATCAGATTCTCTAAGGTCAAAATAGAAGAAAAAATATTAGGGACAGTCTGAGAGAAAAGCCAGGACACCTAAAAAGGGAAGCCCATCAGACTCACTGTGGCCCTTTCAGTGAAAACCCTACAAGCCAGAAGAGATTGAGGGCAAATAATAAACATTCTTAAAGAAAAGAATTTCCAGCCCAGAATTTTATATCTGGCCAAACTAAGCCTCATAAATGAAGGAGAAATAAGATCCCTTTCAGACAAGCAAATGCAGAGGGAAGTTGTTACCATCAGTCCTGCCTTATAAGAGCTCCTGAAGGAAGCACTAACTATGGAAAGGAAAAACCTTTACCAGCCACTACAAAAACACATTGAGGTACACAGACATGTGATGCTATGAAGCAACCACATAAGCCAGTCTGCAAAATAATCAATTAGCATCACGATGACAGGATCAAATCCACACATAACAATATTAACCTTAAATGTAAATGAGCTAAATGTCCCAATTAAAAGACACAGAACTGAAAGCTGAATAAAGAACCAACACCCAATGATATGCTGTCTTCTAGAGACCCATCTCACATGATAGGACACACTTAGGCTCAAAATAAAGGGATGGAAGAATATTTCCAGAGCAAAAGGAAAACAGCAAAAAGCAGGGGTTGCAGTCCTAGTTTTTGACAAACAGACTTTAAACCAACAAAGATCAAAAAAGACAAAGAAAGGTATTATGTAATAGTAAAGGGTTCAATTCAACAAAAAAAAAAGGTAACTATCCTAAATATATATGCACCCAATACGGGAGCAAGCAGATTCATAAAGCAAGTTCTTAGAAACCTTCCAAGAGAAATAGACTACCACAAAATAATAGTGGAAGACTTTAACACCCCACTGACAATAAACAAAGAAATTTAGGACCCGAACTCAGCTCTGGATCAAGTGGACTTGATAGATGATATGGTTTGGCTTTGTGTCTCCACCCAAATCTCATCTTGAATTATAATCCCCAGGTGTTGAGGAAAGAACCTGGTGGGAGTTTGTTGGATCATGGGAGTGGTTTCTCCCACGCTGTTCTCATGATAGTGAGTTTTCGTGAGATCTGATAGTTTTATAAGTGTTTGGTGAGTTTCTTCTTTGCTCGCTCTTCTCTCTCCTGTTGCCATGTGAAGAATGTCCTTCCTTCCACTTCGCTTTCTTCCATGATTGTAAGTTTCCTGAGGCCTCCCCAGCCACACAGAACTGTGAGTCAATTAAATCTCCTTTGTTTATAAATTACTCAGTCTCAGGTAGCATGTTTACAGCAGTTTGAGAATGGACTAATAAAATATATATCTACAGAACTCTCCACCCAAAAAAACAGAATATACATTCTTCTCATTGCCACATGGCACCAACTCTAAAATTAATCACATAATCAGAAGTAAAACACTCCTCAGCAAATGCAAAAGAACTGAAATCATAACAGTCTCTCAGACCTCAGTGCAATCAAATTAGAAATCAAGATTAAGAAAGTCGCTCAAAACCATACAACTACATGGAAATTGAACAACCTGCTCTTGAATGACTTTGGGGTAAAAAATGAAATTAGGAAGAAATCAGTAAGTTCTTTGAAACTAATGAGAACAAAGATATAACATACCAGAATCTCTGGGATGCAGCTAAGGCAGTGCTAAGAGAGGAATTTATAGCACTAAATGCCTACATCGAAAAGCTAGAAAGATCTCAAGTTAGCAACCTAACATCACAACTAAAGGAACTAGAGAACCAAGAGTAAACAAATCCCAAAGCTAGCTGGAGACAAGAAATAACCAATATCAGAACTGAAATGAAGGAGACAGAGACATAAAAAGCCCTTCAAAAAATCAACAAATCCAGGAGCTGATTTTTTTGGAAAAAAATAATAAAATAGACTGCTAGCTAGACTAATAAAGAAGAAAAGAGAGAAGATTCAAATAAACACAATTGGAAGTGACAAGGGGGATATCAGCACTGACCCCCAGAAATACAAATAAACATCAGAGAGTATTATGAACACTTCTATTCACTTAAATAAAAAATCTAGAAGAAATGGATAAATTACTGGACACACACACCCTCCCAAGACTGAACCAGGTAGAAATTGAATGCCATCCCTGAATAAACCAATAACAAGTTCTGAAATCGAGGGAGTATCAATAGCTTACCAACCAAAAAAAGTCCAGGACCAGATGGATTCAGAGTTGAATTCTACCAGATGTACAATGATGAGCTGGTACCATTTCTACTGAAACTGTTCCAAAAAATTAAAAAGGAGGGACTCCTCCCTAACTCACTGTACGAGGACAGCATCACCCTGATAACAAAACCTTGTAGAGTATCTTTATTCCACCTTCTACCACATCCCCCACCTAATCAACACACACAAACTTTTAGCCAAAATGCAAAACTTTACTTTCAATGTCCTCCCTTGGTGAACCTTGTATTCACCTGTTCTTTTTCCTACTTCTCTAGAGATTAGTGCCTTTCTTATTACCTGAATGCCTCTCTCTAGGTCCTATCCTCTCCCCATTTTGATGGCAATATGAGAGTAAACAAACACATGTATTAAGACATTCATTCTAGTTAACATCATTGGCTAAGAGTAGCTTGATATAGTTAGGATTATCAGAGGTATTTTGTATTTTAACCTAAAGTAGTAATGTATTACAGGGATCAACACGTTGGCAGCTGGGATGCATTTGGACACCTTCATGTCACATTATCCTTCATTTACTTACGTCTACGGTATTTCTATATATGTCCTATCTATCTCTCTGCTACCAACAAAGGATTATAGGAAGTTATTTGTTCATTTAAAACAGTCAATATATCTCAAGTGTAATTACATAACTTACCACAACCTCATAATTCAGACTGAAAAAACAATAAGAATTACTAAAATTTATTTTTAAAAATATGTTAAGTACTTGAAAGCTTATTAATATCCAGTAAAAATATAAATGGTACCACATCCAGATCTTTTAATAAAAAGTTGAAACTGATTTCTAATTCTAAAAATTATTGATATATAACTTATGCTTAAAAGTTTGGAAAAAATTAGTTATTTCACTGTGTTCATTAATAATTTCTCTAAGAAACACACTTTAGATTCAAGGACACACATGGGCTGAAAGTGGAAGGAGGGAAAAAGATATTCCATGCAAATGGTAATGAAAAGGAAGCAAGAGTGGCTGTATTTATATCAGACAAAGTAGACTTTAAGTCAAAAACTGTCTGTAGAGACAAAGAAGATATAATGATAATTATATAATGATTACATACTGATAAAAGGGTCAATTCAATAGGAAGACATGGTGATTATAAATATATGTGCAGCCAACATCAGAGCACTTAAGTATATAAAACAAATATTAACAAATCTGAAAGGAGAAATTGACAGCAATACAATGATAGTTGGCTACTCCAGTACCCCACTTTCAATAATAGACAGAACATCCAGACAACATCAATTTAAAAAACAGCAGACTTAACACTGTAGACTAAATATATCTAACAGACATATACAGAACTTTTCACAAAAAGCAAAACAGTAAACATTCTTCTCCAGCACACATGGAAAATTCTCCAGGATATATCACATGCTAGAACACAACACAAACCTTAATCAATTTTTTATTTCAACTTTTATTTTAAATACAGGGGTTACATGTGCAGAATTGTTATGTCAGACTATTGCATAATGCTGAGGTTTGGCGGACAAATCCCAACATTCTGGTGGTGAGCAAAATGCCCAATAGGTAGTTTTTAAACCCACCCTCTAGTAGTGCATAGTGTCTATTTTTCTCATATTTATGTCCATGTGTGCTGAATGCTTCACTCCTACTTACAAGTAAGAACATGTAGCATTTGGTTTTCTGTTTCTGCATTAATTTGTTTATGATTCATGGCCCCCAGCTCTATCTACGTTGCTGAAAAGGACATGACTTCATTCTTTGTTATGGCTACATAGTAGTCCATAGTATATATCTACCACATTTCCTTTATCCAATCTACCATTGATAGGAGCCTGGGTTGATTTCATGTCCTCACTATTGTGAATAGTGTAGAAATAAGCATATGAGTGCATGTGTCTTTTTAGTACAATAATTTATTTTCTTTTAGATATATACCCAGTAACGGGATTGTTGGGTCAAATGGTGACTCTGTTTTAAGTTCTTTGAGGAATCTTCAGACTGCTTTCCACAGTGAAATAACTAATTCATATTCCCATTAACCGTGTGTAAGTGTTCCCCTTTCTCCACAACCTCTCTAGGATCTGTTATTTTTCTGACTTTTTAATAGTAGCCTTCCTGACTAGTGTGAGATGGCATCTCATTGTGGTTTTGATTTGCATTTCTCTAATGATTACTGATGCTGAGCATTTTTTCATATGTTTGTTGGCCACATGTATGTCTTCTTTTGAGAAGCGTCTCTTTATATCCTTTGCTCACTTTTTAATGGGGTTATTTGTTTTTCGCTTCTTGATTTGTTTAAGTTCCTTATAGATTCTGGATACTAGGCCTTTGTCAGATTCACAGTTTGCAAATATCTTCTCTCATTCTGTAGATCATCTGTTTCTTTTGCTGTGCAGAAGCAATGTTTAATTAGGTTCTACTTGTCTACTTTTGGCTTTGTTGCAATTGCTTTTGGGGACTTAGTCAAAAATTCCTTGCCAAGGCTAACATCAAGAAGAGTATTTCCTAAATTTTCTTCTAGGATTTTTATAGCTTGAGGTCTTACACTTACAACATTAATCCATTTGAGTTAATTTTTGTATATGTTGAAATGTAGGGGTACAGCTTCAAAATTCTAAATATGGCTAGCCAGTTATCCCAGTACCATTTGTTGAATAGGGATTCCTTTTCCCCTTGCTTGGTTTTATCAACTGTGTTAAAGATCAGATTGTTGTAGGTGTGTGGCTTTATTTCTGAGTTTTCTATTCTGTTCCATTGGTATGTGTCTGTTTTTGTACCTGCACCAAGCTGTTTTGGTTTCTGTAGCTTTATGGTATGGTTTAAAATCAGGTAGTGTGATGCCTCCAGCTTTGTTCCTTTTGCTTAGGATTGCTTTGGCTGTTCTGGCTATTTTTTGGTTCTATATGAATTTTACAATAGCTTTTTTTTTAATTCTGTGAAGAATGACATTGGTAGATTGGCAAGAATAACACTGAATCTGTAAATTGCTTTGGGGAGTATGACAATTTTTACAATATAAATTCTTCCAATCAATGAGCATGGGATGTTTTTTCATTTATTTTCATCATCTCTGATTTCTTTCAACAGTGTTTTGTAGTTGTCCTTGTACAGCTCTTTCACCTTCTAGGTTAGTTGTATTCCTAGGAATTTGATTTTCTTAGTAACAGTTGTGAGTGGGATTGGGTTCTTGATTCACTCTCAGCTTAGATGTTTGTAGCGTATAGACATGCTACTGAATTTTGTACATTGATTTTGTATCCCAAAACGCTATTGAAATCATGTATTTAAATGATTAAATAATCATTTAGGAGCCATTAAATCTTCTTGGAGCCTCTTGACTGAATCTATGCGGTTTTCTAGGTATAGAATTCTATCATCTGTGAATATAGATCTTTTAACTTCCTCTATTCCTATTTGGATGCCTTTCATTTATTTTTCTTGCCTGATCGCTCTGGCTAAAATTTTCAGTGCTGTGTTGAATACAAATGGTGAAAGTGGGCATTCTTGTCTTGTTCCAGTTCTCAAGGAAAATAGTTCAAGCTTTTGCCCATTCAGTATGACGCTGGTTGGCTCTGGATTTGTCATAGATAGCTCTTATTATTTTGAGGTATGTTCCTTTGATGTCTAGTCTGTTGAGGGTTTTTATCATGGAAGAATGTTGGATTTTATCAAAGGCTTTTTCTACATCTGCTGATATGATCATATGATTTTTGCTCTTTATGTGGTGATGTTGACCCAGCCTTGCATTCCAGGAATAAAGCCTGCTTGATCATGGTGTATTAACTTTTTGATGTGCTGCTGGATTTGATTTGCTAAGGATTTTTGCATTTATGTTCATGAGGAAAACGGGTCTGAAGTTTTCTTTCTTCATTGTGTCTTTGCCAGACTTTGGTATCAAGCTGATGCTGGCTTCATAGAATGAGTTATGAGGGAACTGCTCACTTTTAATTTTTTGAACAGTTTCAGCAGGATGGGTATCAGTTCTTTGTAGGTGTGGTAGAATTTAACTATGAATCCATCCATCTGGCCCAGGGCTTTTTTTGGTTGGTACGTTCTTTGTTGCTAATTGAATTTCAAAAATAGATAATGGTCTATTCGGATTTCAATCCCTTCCTGATTCCATTTTGGGAGACTGTGCACTTCCAGGAATTTATCCATTTCTTCTAGATTTTCTATTATTGATACGTGTGCATAAACTTGTTCACAGTAGTCTCTGAGGATCTTCCGTATTTCTGTGGGATCAGTTGTAATATCATCTTTGTCATTTCTCATTGTGCTTATTTGGATTTACTCTTTCTTTTTCTTTGTTAATCTAAATAGGGTTCTATCAATTTGAATTATTTTTTCAAAGAACCAACTCTTGGTTTCACTGATCTTTTGTATGGATTTTTGCATCTCAATTTCATTAAGGTCTTCTCTAATTTTAGTTATTTCTTTTCTTCTGCTAGCTTTGGAGTTGGTTTGTTCTTTTTTTTCCATAGTTCCTTTAGGTGAAAAGTTAGATTGTTAATTTCACATGTTTCTAATGTCTTTATGAAGGCATTTAGGGCTATAAATGTTTCTCTTAACACTGCTTTGGCTCCATCTCAGAGATTCTGGTTCTCTGTATTTCTTGGATTTGCATGTTGAACTCTCTTACAAGATTATGAAAATTTTCATGGACTATATTCTCAAATATATTTTCCAAGTTGCTTATTATCTCTCCTTCTGCCTCAGGAATGCCAATGAGTTGTAGATTTGGTCTCTTTACATAATTTCAAATTTCTGGAGGTTTTATTCATTTTTCTTAATTTTTGTCTGAGTTGATTCAAAGAACCGGTCTTTGAGCTCTGAGATTCTTTCCTCAGCTTGGTCTATTCTGCTGATACTTCTGATTGTATTCTGAAATTTTTCCACTCAGGAAGTTCAATTGGGTATTTTTTTTTTTTTTTTGAGACGGAGTTTCACTCTTGTCACCCGGGCTGGAGTGCAATAACGCGATCTCGGCTCACTGCAACCTCCGACTCCCGGGTTCAAGTGATGCTCCTGCCTCAGCCTCCTGAGTAGCTGGGATTACAGGCACCTGTCACAAAGCCGGCTAATTTTTTGTATTTTTGGTAGAGATGGGGTTTCACCATGTTGGCCAGGCTGGGCCTCGAATTCCTGACCTCAGGTGATCCACCCGCCTTGGCCTCCCAAAGTGTTGGGATTACAGGCGTGAGCCACTGCACCCTGCCATTGCTAAAGTTCTTATGCTGATTATTTCTCATTTGGAGGGCTGGTATTCTTTTAATTGTGGTGTAAATTGCGTATAGTCTGTTGGCTTCATTTGTGGACGTTTTCAGGGAATTAAGACTCTGTACAGGGTCTTTGTGGTAGAATTTATGTTCTTGGTTTTGTAGGAAGGAGAATTAGTAAAGTGATTTTTTTGTGTGTGTTGTAGTTTGGGCGGCAATCCAGTAGATGGTGCTTGAGAGCAATGGACAATAGGCTCCTATTCAGCCATTTGGCTCCTCTGGTGTTTGTAGCTGTGTCATGCGGTTTGAAGGGGAGACAGATGACACCCTCGCCAGGTCTACTCTGGGACTTAAGGCGGCCACCTCCAATCACTGGCACTATGCCCGTCATGTTGCTACTGTTGTTCTTATGTCTTTGGGGTCGCTGGTCTCCCTTGGGCAGAGGTCTGGTAGGGAAATACACCACACCCTTACCATACCAACTCTGTGGAGGGAGGCATGGCTAGGTCCCATATCAGTTTGCAAACCTGTGTGACTCAGCCATCTCAGATTTCTGAAAGTGTAGTCTCCTCCCCCATTCAACTGCCAAGTGCAGATCCCAGGTTGGCACTCCTGAACCACAGGCTGCAGTTCTGAGGCTACAGGACCCACTTGGGCTCCTTCCTCCAGATGCACTGGGTTGAGTTTCAGGTGCAGTGTGGGATCTGAAGGGCTCCCATGCTGCGGGAATGCACTCAGGTGGTGCAAAGCACCAAGGCTGGGCAGGAGGCTGCGCTGTGTACATGCTTCTACCCCACAGCGAGGCAGGAGCCCTGGGAAGGGCTGGCGGGCCGTCATCGGGCCTGCAGGACAGATGTGCTCCAATCCTGCAGGGAAGCAGGCTCTGCTTTGTCCCCAGCAGTTAGCTGGAGCCATAGCCTCTCTGAGGGAGGCTGGTAGCCCTGGCGTTGGGCACGTATGTCCAGGCTTTACCAGAGCTGACCCATGTTCCAATATTCCTGGCTCTGTGCCTACTACAGCTTCATCTCTGTCTAATCTCCAGGGAGATGCCCCTGCCAGCTCACAAGTCAGTGTGGGTGTGGTGTCCCTTGCAGCTAGAACCCCAGAGGTCAATGATGGGAATGAGCAGACCCTCAGTCCCTTCACTCACCCCTTCTCCCAGGTTTCATTCAGGACAGGGGACGGGCCATAGCATTCAGGCACTCCACCTGGGATTCCCAACTTCCTCCCTCTTCAGCCTTAACAGCTGCATATTTTTTTCCATCCACATTCAGTGTTATCTCTCCAAAGATCTGTTCAAATTATGTTGGTGTAGTTGAAATTGTGTTCTCTCTCTATAGGAGCAGCACTTCCTGGCTGCATCTAGTTGGCCATTTTGGAAACAGTCAATCAAATCACTCTTAAACTAGAAACATTTCCCAGATTCTGAGGTGTCCTGACTTCATAGTATGAATCTCCCTGTACCATTTCCCAGCTTCCAGGTGTCCTATCATTCTCCCTATGGATCTTCCAGTACCTGCAGGTCACAGGGCAACAGAGGCTGCAGGAGAGTTACCTAAGGCCTCCTGGATCAGAGGACATGGAATAGTCTTAAAAATCTAAGATAATAAAATTATACCAAGTATCTTTTCCAATCACAATGGAATGAAACTAGAAATTGTAACAGCAAGAAAATTGACAAATATATGAAAATTAAGTAAGACATTCAAACAACCATTGGGTCAATTAGAAAATCAACTGGGGAATTTTTAAAATATCTGTAATCAAACCAAAACAAAAACGCAACTTTCCAAAATTTTGGGGATGCAGCAAAGGCAGTTATTAGAGAAAGATTTATACCAATAAATGCTTACATCTAAAAAGAAAAACATCTCAAAGAAACAAACTAATTGTATACCTCAAGGAACTAAAAAGCAAACAAAACATTAAACTCAAAGTAAGCAAAAGGAAGGAAATAATTATAATCAGAGAAAAAACAAATAGAGAAAACAAAGACTACAGAAAAAATTCAAAAGTGAGTTTTTTTAAAAAAAAGTATATATATATATACACACTAAATCAACAAACCATTAGGTAGACTAAAAGAAAGAAAAAAGAGAGAAGACTCAAATAAGTAAAATCAGAAATGAGAGAGGAGACATTACAACAGATGCCTCAGAAATAAAAAGGATCATAAGGGACTATTATGAACAATTATAGTCCAACAAATTGGGTAACCTATAGGAAATAGATAAATTCCTAGAAGCATACAACTCATCTAGACTAAATCAAGGAGAAACAGAAAGCCTGAACAGACCAATAACAAATAGAGATGAAGTAGTAATCAAAAGCCTTTCAACAAAGAAAAGCCCAGGGCCAGATGGCTTCACAGCTGAATTCTACCAAAATTCAAGGAAGAATTCATACCAATACTTCTTAATCTCTTCAAAAAATAGAAGTAGAGGGTATATTTCCAAATTCATTTTATGAAGGCAGCATCACCCTAAAACCAAAGCCAGGCAAAGATACCACAAGAAAAAAACCTTCAGGCCAATATCTCTAATGAACATTGACGCAAAAATCCTCAATAAAATACTAGCCAACTAAATTCAACAACACATCAAAAAGATTATATACATGATCAAATGAGACTTATCCATGGGATGCAAGGTTGGTTTAACATATGCAAATCAATCAATGTGATATACCACTTTAACAAAAAGAAAGACAAAAACCACACGATCATCTGAATAGATGCATAAAAAGCATTTGACAAAGTTCAACAAACCTTTATGATAGAAACCCTCAACAAAATAGGTATAGAAGAAAAGTGCTTCAACCTAATAAAGGTCATTAATAAGAAGCTTACATGTAATATCATAATGAATGGGAAAAACTGAAAGCTTTTACTCTAAGACCCAGTACAAGGCAAGAATGTCCCTCTTGCCACTTCTATTCAATATAGTACTGGAAGAACTAGCAAGAACAATTAGACAAGAAAAAGAAATAATATAAATCCAAATCAGAAAGGAGTAAGCTTATCCCTATTTGCAGGTGATATGATCCTATACATAGAAAAGCCCAAAGATGCCACCCACAGCAAAACTTTTGGAATAAATGAATTCAGTAGAGTAGCAGGACACAAAATTAACACCAAAAAAATTTTTACATTTCTTTACACCAGTATTATTCTACCCGAGAAAGCAATCAAGAAAACAATCCTAATTACAATAGCATCAAAAAGATTAAAGAATTTAGGAAATAAGTTTAAGCAAGGAAGTGAAAGATCTGTGTAATGAAAACTATAATACACTAATAAAAGAAATTGAAGAAGAAACAAATAAATGGAAAGCTATCTCATGTGTATAGATTGGAAGAATTAATTTTGTCAAAATGCTCATATTACCTGAAGCAATCTATAGATTCAATGCAATCCCTATACCCCATCAAAATTTCAATAACCTTTTCACAGAAATAGAAAAAAATCCTAAAACTTGTATGGAACCATAAAAGACCCCAAGTATCCAGAACAATCTTAAGAAAAACAAATTTGGAGGTATCGCACTTCCTAATTTCAAATCATATTACAAATCTATAGTAATCAAAACATTATGGTGCTGGCTTAAAAACAAATACATAGATCAATAGAATAGGATAGAGTTCAGAAATGAACCCAAGCATATACAGTCAACTAATTTTTGACAAGGCCACCAAGAAGACACAATGGGGAAAGGACAGCCTCTTCAGTAAATGGTACTGGAGAAACTGGATTTCCACATGCAAAAGAATGAAACTGGACCTTATCTTATGCTATACACAAAAATCAACTCAAAAACAGATTAAAGACCTAAACATAAGACCTGAAGCCCTAAAACTCCCAGAAGAAAGCATAATGGAAAAAGCTCCTTGATATTGGCCTTGGCAATGATTTTTTGGAAATCACACCAAAATTCCAGGCAATCATAACAAAAATAAACAAGTGAGATTATATCAAACTGAAAAGCAAAGGAAACAACAGAATGAAAAGGCAGCTTTCAGATTGTGAGAAAATATTTGCAAACCATATATCTAATAAGGGGTGAATATTCAAATTATATAAAGAATTCACACAACAGCAAAAAACAATTAATTCTATTTAAAAATGGGCTAAGGACCCAAATAGACATATCTCCAAGGAAGACACACAAATAGCCCACAGGTTTATAAAAAGTGCTCAACATCACTAATCATCAGGGAAATGTAAATAAAAACCACAGCGATGTATTACCTCACACCTGTTAGAATGGGTATCACTAAAAAGACAAGATAAGTGTCAGCAAGGGTGTGGAGAAAGTGGAACCCTTGTGTACTATTGGTGAGAATGTAAATTATTATGACCATTGTAGAAAACAGTATGGACTGTCTGCAAAAAACTAAAAATAGAACTATCATATGACCCTACAATCCCTCTGCTGGGTGTATACCCAAGAAAATGAAATCAGCATGCCATAGAGATATCTGCACTCCCATCTTTCTTGCAGTGTTACTCAAAGTAGCTAAGATATGGAAACAAGCTAAGTGTCCACCAATGAAATAGAAAAACTGATAAAGAAGTTGAGATATATGAACTGTTATTCAGCTTTTAAAAAGAAGATACTGCCATATGTAACAACATGGATGAGCCTAGAGGACATTATGCTAAGTGAAATAAGCCACATACAGAAAGAAAACTACTGCATGATCTCACTTATGTGTAGAAATTTTAAAAAGCTGGACACATAAAAACAGAGTAGAATGGTGGTTATTATGGTATAGAAAAGGAGGAAATAGGGATAAACAGGTCAAAGATACAAATTTTCAATTATGTAGGACAAATAAGTCTAGGGATTTAAGGGACAGCATGAGGACTATAGTTAATAATATTCTATTATATACTGAAAATTTGCTAAGAGAGTAGATTTTAGATGCTCTTACCACACACATAAAAGGTAACTATAGAAGGTGATAGATTGATTCGTTTGCTCAACAATAGCATTATTTCACTATGTATATCAAAACTACATGTGTACATCTTAAAATATATAATAAAAAATTCCCTACATCTTTATTTATATTATTAATTTGTTTATTCCAACTTTCACAGATAATCAAAAAATAAATTTCAGTTTGGTTTATGTCTGAATATTCCAAATTTTTTAAGCTTACAATAATCTTGTTAGTTATTAATGTGCATCTTTTTCACAGAGCAAAGTTTATATCAAAAGTGCTTATACCTTGAAACCAAATGAAATGTTTTACTGAAACTGCCTAACTTGACTCTTATCTTAACAGGAGATTAAACATTGAGTTTTCACATTCAGACTGAACTACAGCTACCTAGACTATCTATCCAGAAAAGAAATCCCCATGATAATCCAGTTTCTAAGGGGGTGTCATAGAGTCTGAGCAAGAAGGTCAGACATCAAATAACCTTGCTAAGGTTTCTTTAATTTTTTCCTTGGCTCTCCTTACACCTGCCAGATTGAGGGGAGGAAAATAGTCCTATGGTTACAAGATGATTGCCAAATTATTTGAGCTGCTCTGATAATTATGTAGCTTGACATGTCTTTTAAGTTTTTATCTTGTAGAATTAATGTTTATGTTGTATTCTTCTGAAGCCACCATCCTCTTAACTGGGGTTGGGAATGAGAGTTTTCTTGCCGGAAAAGTAAATACAAATATCTAACTAATTGACCTAGATAACTGTTTCTGAAACTTTATCCCAGTCAACTTCTAAGAGAATGAATTATGTTAGATAGCCAAATCAAATCTTCTAGCCAATTTCTCTTCATTTTAAAATCCTCTGTTCCCCACTATCTCACATTTAAGCCTATTGCTTTATCCCACAACTATGAAGGAAAATTTTATTCAACTCACAAATAAGCTCTCCACTTAAAAAAAAAAAAAAAAAAAAAACCAGAAGGAAGGCAATGCAGTGAGAAGGGAAGCTTTTGGATCCTCTGGTCAGATCCAGCCTTAATACAAGATTTTAGGATTATAGCTCATAGGCGCAACATCTCTACTAGGTGAAAACTAGGATCCTATTTTAGGAATAGGTGTTATCTGTGTTATTTTGTACAAATTCCTTAAGTGCACATAAATATTTAATCTTGTCATCTTTCTATCATTTGAACTGGCATAGTAATACCAGCCAATTTTTTATCTATCATCTCATGGAGCTATGTATAAATATTCAGAGAGACAGAGAGCCCTAATGCCATTTCAAAAAGCTCTAAGAATATTCCATTCCATAGCAGTGTTCAGAAGTAATAAAGTCATATTGAGGTACTAAATGAGACTCAAAATGCCAGATGAGTTGCATAATACCTCTTGCTACTAACCTTTGCTAGCCTAGTGAATATCCTTAAAAAGAAGATAAGTGAAAAAGTAATGTCCTTCAAACCTAGGAAATACAGCAGTAGACAGATTTAATGCAAGGAAATAATATCAAAAGCAAAACTTCTATTTGAAGCAATAAATTAAATTATTATCATTAAATTGAATAGCTAGAAATTAGCTAAAATTTCAAAATAAGGTTCTCATTTTTAAAAATGAAGTGATTAGAATATATCATTGAGAAGATTTTATCCAGTTTTTAGATTCAATGATGATGTCAGGTGTCCCACAAGACAGTATAATATGAGTAAAAGGTAAAATTTTAAATTCTACATTTATATATGGCCCTAAAAATGGTTACAGAGTACTTTTAAAATATCACAACTATGCGGTGGCTCATGCCTGTAATCCCAGCACTTTGGGAGGCTGAGGCAGGCGCATCACGAGGTCAACAGATCGAGATCATCCTGGCCAACATGGTGAAACGCTGTCTCTACTAAAAATATAAAAATTAGCTGGGTGTGGTGGCGTGCGCCTGTAGTCTCAGCTACTCGGGAGGCTGAGGCAGGAGAATTGCTTGAACCAGGGAGGTGGAGGTTGCAGTGAGCCAAGATCATGCCACTGCACTCCAGCCTTGTGACAAGAGTGAGACTCCATCTCAAAAAATAAATAAATAAATAAATAAATAAATAAATAAATAAATCACAACTATGAAGTCTCCAAAGCCAGTCATATTTCTATCAGCATGGCAGTCATTTATATGATTGTCCTGATGCACGACCCAGTTCAATTAACATGTCACTCAACCCTTAGTTCATTTCCACTATAAAAATATAAGTTGATAATATATGCACATGGTGTCTCTGGGACATTTAGTAAAACATAAAATCCTACATTCAAAAACAGCATAGAATATGCTCTATGCTTCAGTGTTTGTGCATGTAAAGAAATAATGATCTGGCCTAGTTTTTAATTTAAAATTAGCGGAGTACCTAGTGATTTAGAATGCACTTCTCCTTGTGCCTTTCACTAAGTAATTCTTTAGCTGATACCTACTTTGGGTAAATTATCCTTTATATTTATACCAGTACTTCAGAATAAATGTTTTAATCTTCAAAGAACTTTATAAAGTGAACAAAATACCTATATCAACATCCTCAAAAAGAAAGGCTTCTGTGCATAATGATTTTCATGCATCTTGCCTATCATTTTGAAGTCATAATAGCAATATTTATAGATTCAAAGCCATTCTCTTTCAAGAATTAAATGGAGACTTCAATTCCAATTGAAAACTGCTGAGGAATTTAACTTTGTTTCATTAATATTCCCTCTTAACAGAAATTCTCATTCATAGCAGAGGGCCAAGCTAAGGTCACCAATTATGACGGCAGAGTAACAGAGACTATTAATGACAGGCAATATTGTAGCTGCCTTAATGCCTGGTGACAGCAATTCATGTCTAGTTGTTAAAGAGATATAAAAGCACACAGTCTGAGGCAAGCAGCTTTCTAAAAGCATCTGCTTGAGCATTCTATTTCATAATGTAAAGACTTCATGATAAGATATGCAAAGGCCTGATGAATGGAGAAAATTTATCCTGGCTAATAAATAAACAAATAAATAAAACCCTCAAATTGCTAGGCAGTTCATTGGGATATTTTGGTTTTGAAGTGAAGAGAATATGTGGTATAAAATCAAGGTGAAATGATTAAGAGACTAAGAAGAATAGAGGTTGAGTGGAATCATTGGTATCTGAATCCAAAGAGACAGTCTTAAAAGCTTTTCCAGAAGGAGTCAAATGCATATTCAACTTAATACCATTCACCATCATTAGTACGGGGGAGTCTTTTTAATACAAAAGAGACACTGCCACATTTCTCACTTAGCAAAAAGTGAAGCAGATTCATGTCATCTTTTTGTACTTTAGTTTCCTCATCTACAAATGAAAACACTTCTCACCGTCCCAAAGTAAAAGTTAATTAAAGTAATAAACAAATATATGATACAGTAGCATCTCAATTTTCCCAAGTATTCTAAAACATTTTTACAAATCATGAACTCAGAAATATTTCCCAAAGTGTCCAAGCATAGGAAGCAACAAAAACAAATAGAAGTAAGTAAAAATGAAATAATTTAAGTAAGATGCCTGACAATTTCACTAATCAAGAAAAAAAAATCACTCCATAGCACGTTGTGATGATTTCATTTATTTAAAGTTAAGTCAAAGAGCAAAGGAACAATGTGTAGAAGGGGGAGAAACGGGATGAGGAGAAGAGAAAGGAGAAGGTAATAAGGAAGAGAAGGAGAGAATAAAGAAAAAGAAAATACAATGTATAAGTCTTAGGATAAATAAATGTAAAAAACTCCAATGAAGTTGAAGTCTAGATTATTGTCCAGCCTTAGACTGTGTCCTTAGGCTTTGTCCCCCAACACATAGGTAGGTGTGTGCTCTAGAACACGGTGTTGTGACTCAGCAAGAGAATGAGGACAGTCTAGTACAGTGAGTTTCAAATTCTTTTGATCATGAAGCATAGTTTTTTTGTTTTTTAATCTAGAATAAAACAAGAGTTTAACAAAGCAATAAAAAGCCTTACCAAATGTGATGGTCTCTAATATAATGTATTAACTTGAATAATGTGAAATTACTGGTTATTTGGTCAAATATGGTAAAATATTGGCAATTTCACATGATTCAAGTAGCTAATACTTCAGATTACTATGTTTTTCCCTTTTTAAATGCTTCTTTTCCTCTCTCCTGCATAGCAATTAGATATGCATGTCGATCTGAAGACTCTCTCCATGTTCTGTGCCTCCTTGGGCATTTTTCTTCACAGATCTTTCTCCTTGTTGCTCCTCTGCTATCTGCCCATTCCATCTCCATCCGCTTTCCTGGCTCCTCAGCCTCCGTATCTCTCCTGGATGTCAGTATTTCCTGTATTTCCTGAGACATCTGTCCAGAGCTCCCTTCTGTGACTTCAATTGCTACATATGTACTTACTCTTCCTATATTCACAACTCTACCCACATCTAGCTCTTGGGCTCAGACCCCTTTGCCATATACATCTACATTTCACTGGGCTATTTGCACTTCACATACAGAATGTCCCACATGAAATCATCTCCTCAAAAACCTGCTGCAGCTTCAGGTTACCTCGGTCTCAGTGACTCAGACCACTTTCCTTGCAGTTGCCTAGCCCAGAAACTGAGGGTGCCATCTTTCCTACCTTGTTGTCTTTCATCACCCTAATGTAGCTACGATAAATTTAAAATGACCTTCCAAATTCATCTAATGTTTTCCATTTCCACTGTTTTATCTTTATTTAAACCACCACCATCTCTTGACTGAATTGGTATGCTAATTGGTATGCTAACTCTAATCTTGCCCCAATCCAATCTATTTACTAATCAATACCAATAGTGACTTTTAATACAAAAACATGATTATCAAATAATCAAATAACTTATGCTTTATAAGGCCCATCAGGCTGTCACTGACCTTTCCTTGTCTCACCACTTTGCTACTCCACAATCTATATTTCAGCAATTCTGAGTTGTCTTCAACTCTCTGAAGTTGCTGCATTCTCCTTTGGGATTGTATACATACTGTTCTCTCTGCCTCAAAACACTCTTCTCCCTGTTCATATCCACCTTTCACCTTGCTAAACTATCTTCATCCTTTAGGCCTCGGCTTAAAAAACCTTTCTGGGCCAGGCGCAGTGGCTCACGCCTGTAATCCCAGCACTCTGGGAGGCCGAGGCAGGCCGATCACAAGGTCAGGAGATCGAGACCATCCTGGCTAAGACGGTGAAACCCCATCTCTACTAAAAATACAAAAAATTAGCTGGGCATGGTGGTGGGCGCCTGTAGTTCCAGCTACTTGGGAGGCTGAGGCAGGAGAATGGAGTGAACCCGGGAGGCGGAGCTTGCAGTGAGCCGAGATCGCGCCACTGCACTCTAGCCTGGGCAAGAGAGGGAGACTCTGTCTCAAAAAAAAAAAAAAAAAACCAAAAGAAAAAAAAACCTTTCTGCTAGAAAGCTATGCTTGACACCCTGGGCAATAGTGGGTAGTTTTCCCAAGAATTGTCTGCAAGATTTTCCTAAGTACTATTCCCAAGATTCCCCTAACATAATTATGCACGACATTTTAATTCTTTTTTTCCTATCTCCCATATTGAAGCACTATTCTAGCATGTCAAGAATCATCTCTTGCAATCTCAATACCTGGAACAGTGTCTGGAATAGTGTAAGTGCTTAACAAATATGTGTTGTGAAAATGAAAGAGATTAATCTTTACAGGACATATTACCAAAATGGAAAGATTAGAACCAGAGGGCCAAATAACCAACAGAGATCTTAAACTTTACTTTTAAAGCCACATAGATGAATTTATCCAATTCTAAATATTTTATTAAAACTCTGAGCCTTTAAATTATATTTTGCTGTTGTTGATTTATAATTACAAACATAACACACTAATTATAAAAATAAACTATTATAAAAATCTATCATGTAGAATATTTAAGTCTCCTATAATTTTCCACACATACCCCACAGATAATCACTATTTACAGATTGATGAATATTCTTTCGGTATTTTCTTTTCTGTGTAACAGGTTTGGTTGAAAAGTCTCAGTTCAGTGACAAGGGTGAAGTTGGCTTTATGTTTTTTGACAAGCTCTTCAATCCCATTCACATCAGGAAGACTGCATTCATCAGCCCAGTGAGTTTCCACATGATATTTGTCTGAGTTGTTTCACTTAAGATAATGGTCTTCAGTTTCATCCATGTCTCTGCAAAAGACATGATTTCATTTTTATGTCTAAATAGTATTTCATTGTATATATCTACCACATTTTCTTTATACATTCATCCATTGATGGACACTTCGGTTGATTCCCTTTCTTTGTCATAGTGAATAGTGCTGCAATAACAAGAAAGGCCAGGTATCAAAAAGATATAATGATTTCTTTTCCTTTGGGTTGAAACCAAGCACTGGAATTGCCAGATCAAATGGTAGTCCTATTTTCAGTTCATTGAGTAATCAATACACTATTTTCCATAGAGGTTATACTAATTTACATTCCCATCAACAGTGTATAAGTGATCCCTTTTCTACACATCCTTGCCAAAATGTTATTTTTTATCTTTTTAATAAAAGCCACCCTGACTGGTATAAGATGATATCTTATAATGGTTTTAATTTATAGTTCTTTGATGATTAGTGATGTTGAGCATTGTTTATATACTTGACCATTTGTATGTCTTCTTTTGAAAAACGTCTGTTCACGTCCTTTGTGCACTTTTTAAATTTTTGAATTTTGTGGGTACATGTTGGTGTGCTGCACCCATTAACTCGTCATTTAACATTAGGCATATCTGCTAATGCTATCCCTCCCCCCTCTCCCCACCCCACCACAGGCCCCGGTGTGTGATGTTCCCCTTCCTGTGTCCATGTGTTCTCATTGTTCAATTCCCACCTATGAGTGAGAACATGCAGTGTTTGTTTTTTTGTCCTTGCGATAGTTTGCTGAGAATGATGGTTTCCAACATGGCACATGTATACATATGTAACAAACCTGCACGTTGTGCACATGTACCCTAAAACTTAAAGTATAACAAAAAAAATTTTGTGGGTACATAGTAGGTGTATATATTTATGGGATACATGAGATATTTTGATACAGGCATACAATGTGTAATAATCACATCAGGGTACAATGGATCTTCATCATCTCAAGCATTTATCCTTTGTGTTAGAAACAACCCAAATATACTCTTTTAATTATTTTAAAATGTACAGTTAAATTATTTTTTACTATAGTCACCCTGTTACGCTATCAAATACTAGGTCTTATTCACTCTTTCTAACTTTTTTTGAACCCCTTAAACATCCCAAATTCCTCCTTCCCCCCACTACCCTTCCCAGCCTCTGGTAGCTGTCCTCCCATTCTCTATCTCCATGAGTTCAATTGTTTTAATTTTTAGCTCCCACAAATAAGTGAGAACATGCAATGTTTGTATTTCTGTGCCTGGCTTATTTCACTTTACATAATGATCTCCAGTTACTTCTATGCTGTTGCCAATGACAGAATCTCATTCTATTTTGTGGCTGAAAAATATTACATTGTTTGTAAGTACCACATTTTCTTTATTCATTCATCTGTTTATAGACACTTAGGTTGCTTCCAAATCTTAGCTATTGTGAATAATGCTGCAATAAACATGGTAATGCAGCTATCTTTTCGATATACTGATTTCCTTTCTTTTGGGTATATACCTAGGAGTGGGATTGCTGGACTGTATGGTAGCTCTATTTTTAGTTTATTTTTTAGGAACCTCCAAACTGTTCTCCATAGTGGCTGTACTAATTTACATTCCTACCAACAGTGTATGAGGGCTGCCTTTGCTCCACATCCTCTCCAGCATTTTTTATTGTCTGTCTTTGAATATAAGCCATTTTAACTGGGGTAAGAGGATATCTCATTGTAGTTTTGATTTACATTTCTCTGATGCTCAATGATTTTGTACAGCTTTTTATATACCTGTTTGCCATTTGCATGTCTTCTTTTGAGAAATGTCTATTCATATCCTCTGTCCATTTTTTAATTGAATTATTAGATTTTTTCCTATAGAGTTGGTTTGTGCTTCTTATATATTCTGGTTATTAATCTCTTGTCAGATGGGTAGTTCTCAAATATTTTCTCCAATTCTTCAGGTTGTCTCTTTACTTTGTTAATTATTTATGTTGCTGTGCAGAAGCTTTTTAGCTTGATGTGACTCCATTTGTCAATTTTTGCTTTGGTTGCTTGTGTTTGTGGGGTATTACTCAAGAAATCTTTGCCCCATCCAATTTCCTGGAGAGTTTCCTCAATGTTTTTACTTAGACATTTCATAGCTTGAGGTCTTAGATTTAGGTCTTTAACACATTTTGATTTGATTTTTGTATATGGTGAGCAATAGCAGTCTAGTTTTATTCTTCTCATATGGATATCCAGCTTCTCCAGCACCATTTATTTAAGAGACTGTCCTTTCCCCAATGTGTATTCTTGGCCTTTTTATCAAAAATGAGTTCACTGTAGGTCTATGAATTTATCTCTGAGTTCTCTATTTTGTTCAACTGATCTATGTGTCTGTTTTTATGCCAGTATAGTGCCATTTTGGTTACTATAGCTCTGTAGTATAATTTAAAGTCAGGTAATGTAATTCTTCTAGTTTTATTCCTTTTGCTCAAGATTACCTTTGGCTATTCTGGAGCTTTTGTGGTTCTGCATACATTTTAGGATTAATTTTTCTATTTTTGTGAAGAATGTCATTGCTATTTTCATATGCATTGCATTAAATTTGTAGATTGCTTTAGATGGTATGGACATTTTAACAATATTGATTTCTCCAATCCATGAACATGGAATATCTTTCCATTTTATTTTGTGCCCTCTTCAATTTCTTGCATCGATGTTTTATAGTTTTCATTATAGAGATCTTTCACTTCTTTGGGTAAGTTTATTCTTGGGTATTTTATTTTATTTTATTTTATGCTATTGTAAATGGGATTACTTTCTTGATTTTTTTTCAGATTGTTCACTGTTGGAGTATGGACATGTTATTGTTTCTCGTATGTTGATTTTGTATCCTGCAACTACTGATTTTTTTATCAGTTCTAGTAGATTTTTTGGTGGAGTCTTTAGATTTTTCCAAATGTAAGACCATACCACCTGAAAGCAAGGATAATTTGACTTTTTTCATTCCTATTTGGATGCCCTTTATTTCCTTCTCTTGTCTGATTGCTCTAGCTAGAACTTCCAGTACTATGTCAAATAACAGCGGTGAAAGTGGGCATCCTTGTTGTGGTCCTAATCTTAGAGGAAAGGCTTTCAGTTTTTCTTCATTCAATATAATACTAGCTCTGGGTCTGTCATATATGGCTTTTATTGTGTTGAGGTATGTTCCTTCTACATCCAGTTTTTTTAAGGATTTTTTTTTTATCATGAAGGGATATTGAATTTCATCAAATGCTTTCTCAGCAGCAAATAAAATGATCATATGGTTTTTGTCCTTCATTCTGTTGATATAATGTATTACATTAATTTATCTGTGAATGTTGAACCATCCTTGCATCCCTGGGACAAATCTGATGTGGCCATGATGAATAATCTTTTTAATGTGCTGTTGAATTCAGTTTACTAGTATTTGGTTGAGAATTTTACATCAATATTCATAAGGAATATTGGCCTATAGTTTTGTTTTTCTGATGTGTCTTTGTCTGGTTTTGGTATCAGGGTAATACTGGCCTTGTAGAACGAGTTTGGACGTATTCCCTCCTCCTTTATTTTTCAGAATATTAATTCTTTTTATAAAAGAAATGATTGAAACTTGAAGCTACTAAAAGAAATTAAGAGTTCTCAAATTAGCAAAAATAAAGGATAATTTTAAAAGATACTTTTTTCTTATTCTCAATCACTTTAATGGATAATAGTATTTTTGCTTTAGACAATATATTCTGAACTTAGAACATGTAAAATAAAATACATGACAACTATAGTACAAAGAATGAGAGAAACAAATGGGAAGTATACAGTTCTAAGATTTTTATACTCCTCATGAAATTGTATATTAGTCTATGATAAACTTAAAATGTGATAAATTAACAATGTATATTTTAAACTCTAGGGCATCCAACTAAAAATTAAGAATAGAGGTATAACTAGTAAGTCAATAATGGAGATAAAATGGAAGCATAAACAGTACTCAAATAATCCATGAGTAGATAGCGAAGGAGGGTAAAGAAAAGGAACAGTTGGAACAAATAGAAAACAACTAGCGAGCTCTTAGACATCATACCAAAACCACAATTCATAGAAAAAAAAGTAAAAATTTTTATCTGCAAAAGACACAATTAAGGTAATGAAAAGACAAGCAAAAGACTAGAGAATATATTTGCAAATCATATCCAACAAAGGATATATATATATATGTATGTATATTTCAGAACATATATTAAAAATTCTCACAGCTCAACTGTAAGAAAACAAATAATCCAGTCTTTAAAATGGGCAAAAAAAAAACTTGAACAGGCATGTCATGGAAAAGGACACAGAGATGGCAAATAAACACATGAAAAAATGTTCAACATCATTAGCCATTTGGAAAATGAAAATTAAACCATGCTAAGATATCATTACTTATGTATTAGAATGGCTAAAATAAAAATTACTGACAATACCAAGTGCCGAGATGGATCCAAAGCAATTGGAATTCTCATACATAGCTTTTGGGGACGTTACATGGTATAGCCACTCTTGAAACAGTTTTACGGTTTCTAATAAATAAACATTTATCATGTGCCCAACAATACTTATCTTGAGTATTTACCTTAGAGAAATGAAAACTTATGTTCACACAAAAACCTGTACCACTGGAATGCTTATAGCAATTCTATTTATAACCACAAAAATCTGGGAGCAAACCAAAAGCCCATCACAGGTGACTGGATTAAACAAAGAAACAAACAAAACACCTGTGATGTATCCATACAATGGAATACTATTCTGCAATTTAAAAAAATACTGATTCACAGAATAACTTGACTGAATCGCAAAGGCATAAGCCTAAGTGGAAGAAACCAAAGATTTCTCAAAAGGTTACATACTGCATGCTTCCATTTACTTAATATTCTCAGGAAGACAGATAGTGATCATAAATAAATCAGTGATTAGCCAGAGATTAGGGGTAGAAGGAAGATGTGACTACAAATGCATTACTCAGGAAAATTTTTTGTAGTGATGAAACTGTTCTGTATCATGAAAACATTGGTAGTTTTTATTTTCAATTTTTATTTTTTATTTCAGCAGTTTTAAAAATTGCTTTTAAAAATACTGGCTCACCAGGCATAGTGGCTCACGCCTGTAATCCCAGCACTTCAGGAGGCCAAGGCAGGTGGATCACCTGAGGTCAGCAGTTCAAGACCAGCCTGTCCAACATGGTGAAATCCTGTCTCTACTAAAAATACAAAAATTAGCCGGATGTGGTGGCGCATGCCTGTAATCCCAGCTACTCGGGAGGCTGAGGCAGGAGAATTGCTTGAACCTGGGAGGCAGAGTTGCAGTGAGCCATGATCGTGCCATTGCACTCCAGCCTAGGAAACAAGAGCGAAACTCCATCTCAAAATAAATAAATAAATAAATAAATACAATAAAAATACTGGCCCTAGAGCAGTGGTGTGATCTTCAGAGCAGCAACATCAGTGTTTCTAGGATGTGTTATATTTTCAGGTCCCATCCAGACATCCTGAATCAGAAACTCTAATTCTGACTCTAGACCCCCACATAGGAATATGTTTTAACAAACTCTCCAGGTGATTCTGATGCACACCAAAATGTAAGAGGCTCTTTCTAAAGAAGCGTTTCTCTACCTTGGTACTATTAACATTTTGGATCAGATAGCTGTTTGTTTTGGGGAGCTATCTTGTGCACTGCAGAAGGGTTAACAGCATCCCCAGCTCTACCTACTAGATGACAGTAGAAATCCATCACCTGTCATGACAATCAAAAATATCTCCACATATTGTCAAATGTCCCCTGGAAAGCACAATTTCTCCTGGTTAAGAACCATGGCCGTAAAGTAAAACCCTATTTACAAAAGTGAGCATTTTCTTTCTACCTTGATGCACATCCATTTTCTTCATTAACTTCCCACTTCCACATTTCTTCTCCTTTGGGCCGAAATACATATGAGACATTAGTTTTTCTATACCATAGTAAATTTCAGTTTCATGAGCAAATAATAAGTTCTGTTAGGAGTGGATGTTAATTAAATGGAAGCTATAATCAGAGTTTATCTCCCAGTTATTTATAGTAGGTGTTCTGTCAGTGAAAAATTTAAGAGTTAGATCCATGATAGCAGAGGATGACTTTTAAAAGCCTGTAAATATAACTCTTAGGTTTGGGGATTTTTCCTGTGCTTTCTGGGAGAAAAGCATAGTGCATAAACTCTCTGTATCCCAAAATATTGCTGGTTACTCTCACTTTGCAGGATACAATTATTCACTAAGATAAATTCAGGTATATATTTCCAAAGCCTGCTCTACTTAAGAGCTGGATTTAAATTGACACCACTCTGGCTAACCAATCTTCTGAGGACAAGCTTTCAGCTGCCTCTTAATCTTGCCTTCTCATTCAGCCTACATTTTGCTATTTTATTGGCACAAAGATCATAAGATACTTTGTCAAGTGCCCTAATAATATAAAGGTACAGTACACCTATTGTTAGGCATTCTTTATCAATCTCATAAGCATATTAATAGTGAAAAGAGAATAATACAGTGACTTACCTGTATTAAGTACTTATTAAGAATAATATACCTGTATTAAGTACTTATTAAGAATAATAAGTACAGTGACTTACCCTGTACTTATGTCTATTGATCCTCTAATTCCTAACAAAAAATCCTGAGCATAAGAACCATGTTATCAACTGTTTTTAGTCCCCAAATCTCCTAACATTGTGACTTGCATATATAACTGGGACTTACGATACTTGTAGAAAGAATTGTCTAAACTCAATGCTTTCAATTCCTTGCCTCTTATTCACTTTACAGTGAAAAGTTTTCCCCCTTACGCCATTTGAACTACTTTTATCAGGGTCTCTAATAACTTCTGCGTTCATTCATTTATTTAAAAATGTACTGCGCACCTACCAAGTACGCAATATTCTAAGAACTATTCTAAGAACTGGGAATACAGCAGTGAACAAAGGAAAGCCACTGACTTCATGGAACATACATTCTTAGAGGCGAGACAGACTTTAAGTGTAAGTAAATAATTTTGTGCAATGGTAAGTACTATGAGAAAAAATATAAAACAAAAACAGTGTGGGGCATGGACATAGGGAGGGGAATATCACACACTGGGGCCTGTCAGGGGGTGGGCGTCTAGGGGAGGGATAGCATTAGGAGAAATACCTAATGTAGGTGATGACGGGTTGATGGGTACGGCAAACCACCATGGCACGTGTATACCTATGTAACAAAACTGCACGCCCTGCACATGCACCCCAGAACTTAAAAGTATTAAAAAAACAGTGTGGGGATAGAAAGTAAATGGAAGACACTAACTTAGATTAAATGATCACAGAAATTCTCTTTGAGGAGGAAAAACTAGACCTGAGCCCAAAATGATGAGAAGGAGTTGTCCACCTGATGATCTGGAGGAAGAACATCTCAGGCAGGGAAAACAGCTAGGAAAAAAAAACAAATGTTATTAATAGAAGAAATGTAAATGTAGTGAACCACACAGGAAACTGTAAGAGGAGAGCACAGAAAGGCATGCAAGGACATATATGATCTTATGGGCCATAGTAAGAAGGGCGGGTTTTATCCTATTTGTAACGCACAGTCATTAGATGGTTTTAAGTAGGGTGACCATATATCTTATTGTCTAAAACATGATTATTTTAAGAGTGAAAAGAACACTATTGATAATTACACCAGGATAAAAGTGATAAACTGGGACTGTAGAGAGCAAACAGAACATATGATTGTCCTAGTGTTAGACCAAGAAAGTTACATGATCTGATTTTTCCTTTTAGAAGTCCAACCTGGTTACTTTGAGAGAAATAGAGAATAGTGATACAAGAGCAAAAATGATAAAACAGGAAGATATGGTCTAGGCATATGAGAACATAAGCTTAGCTTGTACAAATTTATAAAATAGAAATAATTTGTAAATGATAAAATTCAGGGAATATTTTGAAGAAGAGCCAACATACCTTACTGATGAATTGGAAATAACTCTAAAATTTTTGGCTTAATCAAAGAGATGAATGGTGGAGATTTTAATTGAAATGGGAAAGCCCAATGAAGACAAGTTTTTATGCAGATTTGGAAAGCCAGTAAGTTAAGTGCTCTGTTTTGGACATGATAATTTTGAGATAACGGTTGGAAATCTAGGTTTAAATGTTAAAGAAAATTGATTCTGGAGTTTAGCAAAAAAGTTAGGGTTAAAGATACATATTTAGTATTATAGGTGATATTTAAGGACAAACGCCCAGGATTTATCCCTTAAGCACTCCAAATTTAGAGATGAGAAAGAGGAGAAGATACCAGCAAAAGATAAAAAGAGTAAAAACCAATGAGATAGGAGAAAAACCTGGATAACATGGTATTAAGAAAGCAAAGAGAAATGTTTTAAGAAAGTACATTGAACATTGTTGCGAGTTTCACTTTAAATAAAGACAGAATTCTTCAATCTATATGCCGAAGTGTAAGTCATTTGACCATAATAATAGCCAGTTCAATAGAATAATGGGAATGAAGGACCAATTGTGCAATTAATTCTAATAAAATATGCTATAAAAAGAATCAGTGATAAATGGAAGTAGCTGAGAAGAACAAGCATTTCAGGGATATTCTTTCTTCTTGTTGGTGGCTGATATTATGGCATGTTTGAATGATTAGGATTCTGACAGAAACTCATAATGCATAAGAGAGGGCCCTGAACAGCAAAAGGAGATGAGATCCACAGCCTAAGTGGAAACAATGATGGATTTTTCCCTGTATTCTTACTCAGTATATCAGCAGCCATTGACAACTGACTATGCCTTCCTCTTGATAAACACCCTTCTCTTAGCTTCCATGCCTCCACCTTTCCTGATTTGCCTGTTCCTTTCCAGCTGTACCTTTTTAGTGTCCTCATTCCCCAACTTCTAAAAACTGGATACATCCTGAGCTCTCTTGTCTAATTTCTCACACTCATGGGTGTCCTCATTGAGTGCCATTTCCTTAAACACATCTTATATGCTCCCAAATATATGTTCCATTTGTACTCCAAATATACATCTTTAGTCTTGAACTTTCTCCTGAGTTTCAGACTCCTATATACAACTGCCCACTTGATATCTCTACCTAAATGTTTAATGGGCTACTCTAACTTAAACATTATCCAACTCTTGAGTCCTCTCTTGCCTCCTGTACCCAACAAACCTGATTCTACCTGTCTTCCTCCATCATGGGAAATGGCATCATTGTTCAACTAGTTCCTCAGGCCAAAAGACTAAGAGCTACCCTTGATTTCTTTATCTCCTATCAATCATCTGAACTTCTTTGTTCTATCTCCAATATATATGTTTAAGTCATCACTTTTTTCTCTACACTGCCATTACCTTAGTCTAAACCACCATCACTTCTCACATAAGTCTTTATAATGACCTTCTATCTAGTTTTCCTGCCTCCATTCTTCCCCAGACCTACCTTGGAATTTATTCTATACAAAATGTTATATAAATCATGTCATATCACTCTCCTACTGGAAACATTCATGGCTTCCCACACCTCTTGGAATAAAATTCAAATTCCCTTTGTCATTGCATGGTTTGCTCCTTCTCATTCTCTTAGATCAGCTCAAATTTATCTCCTTAGAAAGTGATTTCCTGGGTCAGGTGTGGTGGCTCACACCTCTAATCCCAGCACTTTGGGAGACCAAGGTGGGCAGATCGCTTGAACCCGAGAGGCAGAGGCTGCAGTGAGCCAAGATGCACCATTGCACTTCAGCCTGGACAACAGAGCAAGACTCCACCTCAAAAAAAAAAAAAAAAAAAAAGGTTCAGGACCAACCTGGCCAACATGGTGAAAACCTGTCTCTACTAAAAATACAAAAATTACCCAGGCATGGTGGTGCTCACCTGTAGTCCCAGCTACTCGGGAGGCTGAGGCAGGAGAATCGCTTGAACCCAGGAGGCAAATGTTGCAGTGAGCCGAGATTGCGCCACTGCACTCCAGCCTGGGCAACAGAGCAAGACTCTGTCTCAAAAAAAAAAAAAAAAAAAAAAAAGTCATTATCTAAACACCCTATCTTATCCTCTCACCAAGTGAATGTATTCTCTACCCAGCTTATTTTCTTCATAATATGTACCATAATATGTGATTATCTTCCTGACTCATTATTTTATCTGTTTATTGTGTTTACCCACTTGTCTCTTCCCTTCTCTCCCAACAGCATCCAAAACAATGCCTGGGACAGTCTGATATTCAGTAACCATGTGCTGAGAATAAATGAACAAAAAACTGAACAAATTTGTAAAATAAATTGTTCTTGGAAAACTCATGACTGTTCATCACTTCCTTCTAACTGTTCAAACTAATTATTTTAATATCTATTTTATCATGATAACCATCCATGTCAAGCTCACCTATCATAGATTACAAAATCCAGTGTTCACCTTTTAGAAAGCCAGGAAAACATTTATTCATAATTTGTTTCCCATTTTATTTCTCACAAAATGAAGAACAACAGAGAATTGGTAATTGGGGTGAGTCATGATCTTAAAATCCTTTCAGATCTCTAGGATGTACTTCCTCGGGGCCTACAGACCCGAACTTACTGAAAGAAAGTGTATGCTCCCTATTTCCTCACCTTCCTGAGATTTCAGTTTCTGCATGACACACTATGATCTGCCCTTTCCAATTTTAAGATTTCTCCTCTTCATGTAAAACGAAAGTTCAATTAGAATTGAATCACTCTATTCTAACTCATCTATGAGTATTACATAATGTTCGGCAGAAGGGGTGGGAGGAGGGGGGAGGGATAGCATTAGGAGATATACCTAATGTAAATGACGAGTTAATGGGTGCAGCACACCAACATGGCACATATATACATACGTAACAAACCTGCACGTTGTGCACATGTACCCTAAAACTTAAAGTATAATTAAAAAAAAGAAGTGTTGTCTTGCCCCATGCTCTTCAAAATAGAACTTAGAAGTTTAATATTTCTTTAGCAATTCTGTGAACTTTAGTTTATTCTGAGCTCTAGCTACTCTAAAAAAAAAACAACTTTTATGTTTCCTCTTTATTCATAAGCCTTTTCTTCCATGTGCACACGTGTATGTATTAGATTTGTATCAAAGATTATCTAGTACAGTTATAATAACTTCCATAGGTCTTCTCTTTTTCCCTTTCTTTATATTTTTTCAGGAATTTAAAGCAAAAATATATTTTTTGAACCTTTTATCCCTCATAGCAACGATTTGCTTTTAGAATCCTAAATCACAAGATTGTACTTATTTTTCCTACCAGTTTTTAAATTTTCCCTATACTCCAAGAAGCAAGTATATTAATCTAGCATTCCCTTGCTTTTTTCCATAACATTAAAGCCTAATCTAAGAAAATTCAGTATCTTACTGCTAACACATCTATCTCCAAAAATAATACTATTAGAACAAAGCATATATTACAAAGAGACCCATGTTGCTTTGCTGCTCAAATAAATCAGACAGCAGACACCTTGTGTTATTGGGGAATAGTTGTTACTGAAGTGTAGAAAAATAAAACAGAACATAAAAGAAAAAATCATTTTCTTCTTTCAGTCTTGCCAGAAAGCTGGTGAATTCTTGTCAGTATTTAATGCCCATGACCTGTGATGTAAATGCAATTGGGAGAAGTATCCTCTCAAGAAAGTAATTGTGACACTGGTGCTCCACATCCAAAGGGAGAAAATCCTCCTGCCATCTTTCCTCTTCTCTGGAGGAATAAAATCTAAACATTTGTATCTTATTTAAATTTTGTAGAAATTCACAATGGTGACGATAGGATTCAGGATTTACACCAAGGCTTTATTTTATCCTTTGATGTCTACTTCATATATGGACAACTTAATTTGTAAGTTATAAGTTTCTTGGCACACTAGTGGCTTCCACTCTCTGTTACAAATAGAGTACCTTCCACTTTCCTCCAAGCAAATTTCATGTCTTGCATTTCCCACAGTCTAAGTCACGTGTTTTTCTCTGTGTCATAGCCTTAGAAAGACTCCTATATCAAAAAGGCAGGTGTTATTACTTCCTGGTCTAGAAATCCTTGAGCTTACTAATTCTCATTCAAAGCAGAATGTTATCCCTGGTTCCCACATTTGTACCACTAGATAATCATCTCAAATTTCTATGTTTTTAAATCTTATGACCCCATAAGACTGTCTGTGTCTGACATCTGATATATTTTTGTCCCCAAAGTTTTTCATTAGTTCAGTTTTTAACTTATCAACATTTTTTAACCTGTACTAGTTCATTAGAAATAGAAACTCCTTTTTTTCATCTTGAAAGAGCTATTTACTTTTTTCCAAATATTATCCCAAATAGGTGTTTTACAGATAAGTGTCAACAAGAAGTCAAACATTCTATAAAAGAAAGTCATTTTTACAGACATTAAGAAAAATTTTAACAGACGAAAAAGCTCACATCTATCTAGATGTGTCTATGTTCCATGGGAAATTTTCAGCATCCAAAGTTCAAAGAAAAAATGACTATGGCTTTTCTTACCACACAAAATATTGACAATTTTCTCTTATAGCCTACTCTTTATTGTTAATTGGGATGCCAAAGGACGACATATTGACCTTTAGAAGTTTGGCTCCACTGGACAAGGTTGGGGGTATGGGAGTCAAGCATCAGAATGAATTCAATTTTAAAAGAAAAACTGGCTTTGATCCCAAATGAACCCAAAGTTCAGCCAGCAGCACATTAGAGATAAATACAAGTTGTACTTTCACATTTACAAGGTTGTGCCACTCAACACTATTAAGACCTAATCATCCAAATTAAAGCTACACACACTCCCATCACTAGTTCTGTCCTCAATGTATCCCATTTTTATGAAAGTTCCATGTTATAGCTCAGTTCATAATGGGGAATGAGAACTTCCGGTTCTTAGAAGGAGGCATCCTAAATCCTCTGGTCTAATCCTTTCTTTGCCCTGCCCTCCCACTTTCCACCGTGAGATAAGCCAATCTTATCAGATAGGTACCGTTTCTGTCACTGTCTCATGGAAATTAGTTCTAAATGAAACTAGAGAAAGACCATTCATTCCATGAGCAGCATTTGGCTTTAAGCCAAAGGGATAATAACCCCCTTCCCCAAAAAGAATCACAACCAATTCCATACTAACCCTTCTACTCCTGGAAAGATCTCTCATCTAAAAGTTCCCAACAATGACCAGCACAAGGTACTGATATTATGTGACTCAAGGAGAAGGAAGGGGAGATATATGTAGTTTTATTAAAACCCTCATGCACAATTAAAGTTGATTAAAAGCCTGGAGAACGCTAAAAGTAGTAATGAGTACAGGAGGCTGCAGAGCAGAGAGTACAGGTATGTTCTTTCTTATAGTCAGTCAATGCTGGGAAGTAATAGGCAGATGTGACTTCACTTGAGCATTGGAGAAGCAAAAGAGTTGCCTTGTTGTCCTAGGTTGGTGCAGAGTGTGGCTCAGATTTCACATACTAAAATGGATGTTGCCAATCTGGTTAAAGTCTTTGGCCCTACAGTAGTGGCCCATGCTGTGCCCAGTCCAGACCCAGTGACAATGTTACAGGACATCAAGTGTCAACTCAAGGTGATCAAGCGCCTGCTTTCCCTGCCCCTGGTGTACTGGAGTCAGTTCATGATGGTGGAGCAAGAAAACATTGACCCCAAACACCTTTTCAACACCACAGACATCAGATATTAAAGTGAGTTTACTGGGACCTGTGACCATTCCTGAACATCAGCTTCTCAAGAGTCCTTCATCTAGTCCCCTGTCACAGAGATTCCATTCCACCCTCACAAAGAACACTCCCAGATTTGGGAACAGAAACTCCTCTTTCTACCATCTTGTTTCCTGTAATAATGGAATGGATCTCCAGCCTCACACCTTTTTCTACAGTTCTATTCCTTTTAAGCAAGTTTCAACAATTTCACATGATCCTTAAGTTATACCTGTTCCCTCTCTATCCCAAGAAGTAATAATAATAATATTCATTTCTCGTTGATACTGATTTAATATCCTTTTCATTATTTCTAGCTCTCAAATTTGCTCTTTTTAACTCCATATTCTGCCTTATGGAGTCCTCCACAACAGTGAGAGATATGAAATCATAAAGTGTAAGGTATGCTATGAGCTACAATGTATTGTTCAAATACATTCTACCCTCCTTCAACTTCCTAAGCAGGATGACTCCACACAGTAAATAGCCTTCCATTAGTATAATTTGTAACCCAATGCTTTACTTGTCTATACTGGTCTTGCCCGACTCACTTTTAATATGCTTCATAATTAATGTGCATTCTCATAGAGTTGAAAATTTTATAATTTCATGGCAATGTTTCCCCCAAGAGACTTAAAAATATGTGCTTCCCTACCTGCAGTTACTGCAGTCACCCTGAAACTCATCAAATAATGTCCAAGGTTGGTGCTGAAATTTCCAGCTTAGCCATCTCAAGCCTGTCCAAATTTTCTATAATGACTAGCAAAGTCTTTCTGGTCATCAAAAGAAGACTCCCTAAATGCTCTTGTATTGACTCCCTATCTGCAACTTTCAAAAGATATTCCTTTATTTTTTCATGATCCTTGTAAACTCTGGGTCTAAGGGTGATATATTTTCTTTACCCTATGAACCTATGTACATGGACATATATCTTAATCCTTCTCCCCAAAAGAATTCCTCTCTTCCTTCAGCTAAGGGACATGTCATCCTTCCTTTTCTTTCCATATTTCTTTGTTTCTCTTATGACTGCCAGATTTATAATTATTTTTTAGCTTATTCTACTCTTCCCACGTTTCTAAGCAAATCTGAGTCTTGCAGTCACTGTGTCCCATATGTGTTTCAGATAACCTTTTTAACTTTTAATTTATAAAAATTCCATGGAGTTACTCCTCTCTACCTCAATCTAAGAAATTGACCTAGACTCTGTATAATTAAGGCTAGTATTCTTTATATGTTCCTTGATACATTACACTAAAGTTTTTGTCCCTGAAATGCCCAACTATTAAGTCCATTGGAGCAACACAAAGCTAACAACTCCTTTTAAAGAAAAATAGAAACAAACATATTAGTTTTAATAATTTTATAATAATATTTGACATTAACATTTGAATTTTGTCTGAAGATATACTCAAACAAAAATGTTTCAGCAATACGGCAATTTCTTTTTTTCAGATGGGATTGAAAGTTCGTTCATTCATCTAGCAAATCTTTATTTGCATTCCTCCTAAGGTGTACTAAGCACAGCATTAAGTGATTGTAATATAACAATGCACGAGGCACTGGCGCAGCCCTTGGGACACAGAGAAATAAATAGGCAGAAGCAATTTGCTGTGGTAAATGTTATTAAAGATAAAGTGCAGGATGCCAAAGAAGCACAGAGGAAGCACATCTCATTTGAATGAAGGTGATGGTGTTGCAGGCAAAATAAGCATTGAGCAGGAAAGTGTCTTAAAGGAGCAGAATCTCTAGAATAAGGGCTAAGACGATAAGCAGGTATCAGAAACATGAGATAACAAAAGGAAGGCAGGCAGGCAAAATGTTCCACAGCCACATAAAACACATGCAGTCCTAGAAAGAAAGGAGGAGGGAGGAGAGCAAGAGAGCTCAGGAGAACAGAACATCCTATCTGACTGGAGGACTGAGTGAACTGCAGAACAGTGATTAGATCCAGATAATGAAGGAATTTTTATTTTATCCTGAGAACATACGAGAGTCATGAACATATTTTTAGAGGGACAGTGACACAATTACACGAAGATTCCTCTCATTGCAAGAGAAATGATAGAAATCAAATTGAATTGCAGGTAGGCTGGAGGCAAGGAGGCCCATTAGGAAACTGTGGCAGGCACCCAGGTAAGCAATGAAAGCAGCCTGGACTAATTGCACAGCCACATTAATAGAGACAAGTGGATGGATTCTGTTGTGAGGTAGGTATGTCAATGGGAATTTGTGATGGGCTACAGGTGGGGAGAGAGAAGACTGTCAGTCACTAATGGCACCTTAGTTCCTAACTGAAACAACCTGGTGAAGACAGGTGGCATTCACTAAGAATATAAATACCAAAGAGAAACAGATAAGTCACAGAAGATCACTATTAGTTTCTAAAGAGGTAAAGAGGGACATTATTTTTCACTCAGTACCTATTTCTATAAACGTGATAATTATATTGGCAAGGTTGTTGTAAGAACGAAAATGAGAATACATTTAGGAAAACCACATGACACAGTGCCTTAATGGCATACAAAAACTTCTTGTTAATGTCTTAGAATCATTACTTTGATATCTGTAAAAAATATACTTTGGCCAAATGTTTGTTTTGTAATGCTTAGCATTGTTTAAGATTTCAGGACTATTTCAAACACTTCTAAACAATTTGAATTTAAGTATCTACAAAAGAAAGTATTTTCCCACCTATAAACTTTTTTAAAATACAAAATTTCTTATCAACGATCTTTAAAATAAAAGTATGGAGTTATCTACTTTGTTCCAGGAGATGCGTGGGGATATTATAAATCAGAGGTGAACAAAAGAATCCCACTGTGAAGGATGTTAAATAAAAGACAAACAGATAAAAAATAAATGTGATTATAGGCATATGCACTGGTTGGTGCAGAAGTGCAGAAAAGGACCACCTATTCCTATCTGGGAAGGGTGTGGGTGGTCAGCTGGGACCTACCAGGGAAGATGGCATTTACCTGAGCTGAGTCAAGAAGGACAAGTAGAGGTTTGCTGGAAGAGGAAGAGGGGAAATGGTATACCAGTCAAACAAAAGATCATTGCAAAAGTGAAACAAAATGAAAAAACTTTTACTTTGGTGGAGATGAAAAATGGTGAGAGAAATAGAAAAAATAATAAATAAAAAATGGCACTTACAATGTTTCCATCCTACAAGATCAAAATAATTCTTGTCGTAAAATGCGCAAACGGTCTGACGTGCCTGACGTCCAGGCATTCTTTTACACATCGGTCCCTCCCTAGTCTCTGTGCCCAATGCAACTTGTCCCAAATCTTCCTTCTTTCCCTCCCGCCTGTCCCCTCAGTCCCAACCCCAAGCGTCGCTGAGTCTAATCTTCCTTTTCTACAGACCCATCTGACCTCTCCCCTCCTCCCCAGGCTGCTCCTCGCCAGGCCGAGCTAGGTCCCAATTCTTCCTCAGCCTCTGCTCCTCCACCCTATAATCTTTTTATCACCTCCCCTCCTCACACCTGGTCCCGCTTACAGTTTCGTTCCGTGACCAGCCCTCCCCCACCTGCCCAGCAATTTCCTCTTAAAAAGGTGGCTGGAGCTAAAGGCATAGTCAAGGTTAATGCTCCTTTTTCTTTATCTGACCTCTCCCAAATCAGTTAGCATTTAGGCTCTTTTTCATCAAATATGAAAAACCCAGCCCAGTTCATGGCTCGTTTGGCAGCAACCCTGAGATGCTTTACAGCCCTAGACCCTAAAAGATCAAAAGGCCGTCTTATTCTCAATATACATTTTATTACCCAATCTGCCCCCGACATTAAATAAAACTCCAAAAATTAAATTCCGGCCCTCAAACCCCACAACAGGACTTAATTAACCTCGCCTTCAAGATGTACAATAATAGAGTAGAGGCAGCCAAGTAGCAACATATTTCTGAGTTGCAATTCCTTGCCTCCACTGTGAGACAAACCCCAGCCACATCTCCAGCACACGAACTTCCAAACGCCTAAACCGCAGTGGCCAGGCATTCCTCCAGGCCTGCCTTCCCCAGAAGCTTGCTACAAGTGCCAGAAATCTGGCCACCAGGCCAAGGAATGCCCGCAACCCAGGATTCCTCCCAAGCCTCGTCCCATCTGGGCGGGACCCCACTGGAAATCAGACTGTCCAACTCACCTGGCAGCCACTCCCAGAGCCCCTGGAACTCTGGCCCAAGGCTCTCTGACTGACTCCTTCCCAGATCTTCTCGGCTTAGCGGCTGAAGACTGACACTGCCCAATCGCCTCAGAAGCCCCTAGACCATCACGGACGCCGAGCTTTAGGTAACTCTCACAGTGGAGGGCAAGTCCATCCCCTTCTTAATCAATACGGAGGCTACCCACTCCACATTACCTTCTTTTCAAGGGCCTGTTTCCCTTGCCTCCGTAACTGTTGTGGGTATTGACAGCCAGGCTTCTAAACCTCTTAAAACTCTCCAACTCTGGTGCCAACTTAGACAATACTCTTTTAAGCACTCCTTTTTAGTTATCCCCACCTGCCCAGTTCCCTTATTAGGCTGAGACACTTTAACTAAATTATCTGCTTCCCTGACTATTCCTGGACTACAGCCACATCTCATTGCCACCCTTCTTCCCAATCCAAAGCCTCCTTTATGTCCTCCTCTTGCATCCCCCCACCTTAACCCACAAGTATAGGATACCTCTACTCCCTCCTTGGTGACCGATCATGCACCCCTTACCATCTCATTAAAACCTAATCACCCTTACCCCACTCAATGCCAATATCCCATCCCACAGCACGCTTTAAAAGGATTAAAGCCTGTTATCACTCGCCTGCTACAGCATGGCCTTTTAAAGCCTATAAACTCTCCTTACAATTCCCCCATTTTACCTGTCCTAGAACCAAACAAGCCTTACAGGTTAGTTCAGGATCTGTGCCTTATCAACCAAACTGTTTTGCCTATGCACCCCGTGGTGCCAAACCCATATACTCTCATATCCTCAATACCTCCCTCCACAATCCATTATTCTGTTCTAGAACTCAAACATGCTTTCTTTACTATTCCTTTGCACCCTTCATCCCAGCCTCTCTTTGCTTTCACTTGGACTGACCCTGACACCCATCAGGCTCAGCAAATTACCTAGGCTGTACTGCTGCAAAGCTTCACAGACAGCCCCCATTACTTCAGTCAAGCCCAAATTTCTTCCTCATCTGTTACCTATCTCAGCATAATTCTCGTAAAAACACATGTGCTCTCCCTGCTGATTGTGTCCGAATAATCTCCCAAACCTCAATCCCTTCCACAAAACAACAACTTCTTTCCTTCCTAGGCATGGTTACTGCGGTCAGAATTCTTACACAAGAGCCAGGACCGCACCCTGCAGCGTTTCTGTCCAAACAACTTGACCTTACTGTTTTAGCCTAGCCCTCATGTCTGCATGCAGTGGCTGCCACTGCTTTAATACTTTTAGAGGCCCTAAAAATCACAAACTATGCTCAACTCACTCTCTACAGTTCTTATAACTTCCAATATCTATTTTCTTCCTCATACCTGACGCATATACTTTCTGCTTCCCGGCTCCTTCAGCTATATTCACTCTTCGTTGAGTCTTCCACAATTACCATTGTTCCTGGCATGGACTTCAATCTGGCCTCCCACATTATTCTGGATACCACACCTGACCCTCATGACTGTATCTCTCTGATCCACCTGACATTCACCCCATTTCCCCATATTTCCTTATTTCCTGTTCCTCACCCTGAACACATTTAGTTTATTGATGGCAGTTCCACCAGGCCTAATCACCACTCACCAGCAAAGGCAGGCTATGCTATATTATCTTCCACATCTATCATTGAGGCCACTGCTCTGCCCACCTCCACTACCTCTCAGCAAGCCGAACTAGTTGCCTTAACTGAAGCCCTCACTCTTGCAAAAACACTACGTGTCAATATTTATACTGACTGTAAATATGTCTTTCATATTTTGCACCAACATGCTGTTACATAGGCTGAAAGAGGTTTCCTCACTATGCAAAGGTCCTCCATTATTAATGCCTCTTTAATAAAAACTCTGCTCAAGGCCACTTTACTTCCAAAGGAAGCTGGAGTCATTCACTACAAAGGCCATCAAAAGGCGTCAGATCCCATTGCTCTAAGCAACGCTTATGCTGATAAGGTGGCTAGACAAGCAGCTAGCTTTCCAAATTCTGTCCCTCACAGCCAGTTTTTCTCCTTCACATCGGTCACTCTCACCTACTCCCCCGCTGAAACTGCCACCTATCAATCTCTTCCCATACAAGTGAAATAGTTCTTAGACCAAGGAAAATATCTCCTTCCAGCCTCACAGGCCCATTCTATTCTGTCGTCATTTCATAACCTCTTCCATGTAGGTTACAAGCCACTAGCCCGTCTCGTAGAACCGCTCATTTCCTTTCCATCCTAGAAATATATCCTCAAAGAAATCACTTATCAGTGTTCCATGTGCTATTCTACTACCCCTCCCTTTCCTGCACATCAGGCTCAGGGATTTGCCCCTGCCCCGGACTGGCAAATTGACTTTACTCACATGCCCCAAGTCAGAAAACTAATACCTCTTGGTCTGGGTAAACACTTTCACTGGATAGGTAGAGGCCTTTCCTACAGGGTCTGAGAAGGCCACCACGGTCATTTCTTCCCTTCTGTCAGACATAATTCCTCAGTTTGGCCTTCCCACCTCTATACAGTCTGATAGTAGACTGGCCTTTATTAGTCAAATCAGCCAAGCATTTTTTCAGGCTCTTGGTATTCAGTGAAACCTTTATATCCCTTAAAGTCCTCAGTCTTCAGGAAAGGTAGAACAGACAAATGGTCTTTTAAAAACACACCTCACCAAGCTCAGCCACCAACTTAAAAAGGACTGGACAATACTTTTACCACTTCCCCTTCCCAGAAGTCAGACCTGTTCTCGGAATACTACAGGGTACAGCCTATTTGAGCTCCTGTATGGACGCTCCTTTTTATTAGGCCCCAGTTTCATTCCAGACACCAGACCAAATTGGACCGTGCCCCAAAAAACTTGTCATCCCTACTATCTTGTCTAGTCATACTCCTATTCACTGTTCTCAACTACTCATACTTGCCCTGCTCTTGTTTACACTGCCAGTTTACACTGTTTCTCCAAGCCATCACAGCTGATATCTCCTGGTGCTATCCCCAAACTGCCACTCTTAACTCTTAAAGTAAATAAATAATCTTTGCTGGCAGGACTATGCTGAATCTCCTTAGGCACTCTCTAATTAAATGTCCTAGGTCCTCCCCAATTCTTAGACCTTTAATACCTGTTATTCTCCTTCTCTTATTCCGTTTTTCAATTCATACAAAACCGTATCCAGGCCATCACCAATAATTCTAAATGACAAATGTTTACCACAAAATCTTCCTTCAGCTTATTCTCTCCCACTCTAGGTTCCCATGCCACCCCTATCCCGCTCGAAGCAGCCCTGAGAAACATCGCCCATTATCTCTCCATATCACCCCCAAAAATTTTTGCCGTCCCAACACCTTACCACTATTTCATTTTATTTTTCTTATTAACATAAGAAGACAGGAATGTCAGGCCTCTGAGCCCAAGCTAAGTCATCATATCCCCTGTGACCTGCATGTACACATCCAGATGGCCAGTTCTTGCCTTAGCTGATGACATTCCACCACAAAAGAAGTGAAAATGGCCTGTTCCTGCCTTAACTGATGACATTATCTTGTGAAATTCCTTCTCCTGGCTCATCCTGGCTCAAAAGCTCCCCTGCTGAGCACCTTGTGACCCCCATTCCTGCCCCCCATAGAACAACCCCCCTTTTTCCTTTACCTACCCAAATCCTATAAAACAGCTGCACCCCATCTCCCTTTGCTGACTCTCTTTTCGGACTTAGCCCACCTGTACCCAGGTGATTAAAAAGCTTTATTGTTCACACACACACACACACTCACACGCACGCACACACACACACACACACAGTGTTATTAAGAATTGCAAGTACAAATAATGAAACTTTAAAAATCCACTTGTGGCAAATTAAATGGGTAAAAATAAATCGAGCTTGATATACATAAAACATAAGGAAAAAAGTAGAGAAAGTCAAAATGTACCAGATAAAAAAAAATATGAGAAAATAAAAATTGCTTTTGAAAAAAACAACACACTGGTCAAGTAGAAACAGAAGACTAAGGAAATACCTAAGCAATAATATGTAAATAGATTGAAGAACCAGGTATATCCATAGACATATAGAAAAGAAAATAGAAATATATATATGCTTACACACTTACATATATACATTCACTTACAGTCTTATTTTTGTATCAGCTTATATTCTGTCCTAGAGTTTATTCAAATCTCAGCAGAGAGTTAAGAAAGGATTTTTATTTGCAATTCCATTTATCATATTCCTTATTTTATTTGGATTAGTATAGGCCACACTGAATTTTCAAGTGAATATCAAATCTCTGTAATTTTTAAAAGAATGTACTCTCTATTTGTAAATACAATGTTGTAGGATAAATATACTAATGCTGGTCCTTCAGAAAGAAATTTAAAATATACCAAAATCTAAAAATGCACTTACTTGAAAATCAAATGAATCCACTAAGTGTATTTACTCTCCCACCAACCCACTCCCATTTGTCTCACATAAAGCCCTTTTTTATCATATAAAATAGCATGGTTGCATTACATATATTCTACTATATCCCATAAAATGGTGCATGTGAAATTATTTTAAAAGAACACCTCTGAGCTGCTGTATTCAAGAAAGCCAAGAAATAACAGTATTTACATTTCTTTCCAGCCTAGAATGTATTTATTATAGGAAGCAATTCCTTTTCCCTCCAAAAGTAAAATTAACGTTTATATATCACTTAGTATGTACCAAGATTGTCCTAGGTACATTATATCTAACAACTCACAAAATACAAATAACCCTGAACAATAGCTATTAAAAGAATTTAAAATACTTCCATGAACTATATAGCACTACAGAAAACGCAGCACATGAAAATATAGTAAGAGCACTGCATAACACATTGTATGCAGTAAAATATTTTGGAATAAATGAATGAATCCATTAGAAAATATTTGAAGACTTCCTACAGGCCACACACTGTTCTATTAAACAAGACATACAAATGTTGCTACATTTATAATGCTAGTGAGGGGTGAGGGGAAATACATAATACTTAAAAGTAAGTAAATTATTTGGTATATTAGAAGATAATTTTGGTATGAAAAATAAACAGGAGAAGATAAAGATCAGGAGTGGGGAGGTGGAACAAGATGGTGAAATAGAAGGGTCTGCCAATCATCCCTCCTGCAAGGACACCAATTTAACAACTATCTACACACACACATACACACAAAGCACCTTCATAAGAGTCAAAAACCAGGGAACACTCACAGTACCTGATTTTAACTTCATATTGCCGAAACAGACACTGAAAAGGTAGAAAAACAGTCCTGAATCACTGACACCACCCTTTTCTCATCCCCTGACAGAAGTGCCAGAGTGGTCCAGAGAGGTTTCTGTGCACTGAGGCAGGGAAAGCACAGCAATTTGAGGCATTGAACTCAGTGCTGACCTGTTAAAACAGAAATGAAAAGTGAACCAAACTCAGCTTATGCTCACCGGTGGAGGGAGCCCTACCTGGGGGGGAAACTGTTAATCCCAGTGGACAGTACTTCAGTTCTCACAAGCCTCACCACGATGGGCTAATGTGTTCTGGCACTCTAAATAAACTTGAAAGGCAGTCTAGGCTGCAACACCTAGGCGAGTCCTAGTGATAAACTGGGCCAAGAGCCAGAGGACAGGAGGACACGTGACATACTGAGACATCAGCCAGAGAGGCTAAGGGAATGTTGGCATCACCCCTCCCCTAATTCCAGGCTGAACAGCTCATGTCTCCAAAAGAGATCCATTCCTTCTGCTTGAGGAGAGGAGTGGGAATAGTGGGGAGGACTTTGTCTTGCATCCTGAATACCAGCTCAGCCACAGCAGAATAGGGTACCAGTCAGAGTCATGAGGCCTCCTCTCCATGCCCAAACTGCTAGATAACACTCCTAGACACACCCTGGGCCAGAAAGAAACCTGCTACCTTAAACGGAAGGACTGAGTCTTGGCACCATTCATTGCCTGCTAACTGAAGAGCCCTTGGGCCCTGAATAACCAGCAGCAATACCCAGGTATTATGTTGAGGGACTTGAGTGAGATTCTGAGATTTACTGGCTTCAGGTGAGACTCAACACATTCCCAGCTGTGGTGGCTATGGGAAAAGACCCCTTCTGCTTAATAAAATTGGAGGGAAAAATAAAGGGGACTTTTTCTTGAACCTTAGGTTCCAGCTTGGCCATAGGGCGGTAGAGCACCAAGTGGATTCTTGTGTTCTCCAATTATAAGACTTTGCCCTTGGAAGACATTGCTGGACCTGCCCTGGGCCAGAGGAGTACCCGCTGCCCTGAACGGTGCGTCCCAAGCCAGGCAACATTCACCCAAAGCAGACTAAAGAGCTCTTGGGCCTTAAAGGAACATCAGTGGTAGTCTGGCAGTATTCCCTATGGGCCTGTGGAAGTGGTGGCCACAGGCTGAGGTTCCTCAGTCTTTGGAAAGGGGAGGGAAGAGTGGGAAGGACTGCACCTGGTGGTTTGACTGCCAGCTCAGCCACAGTAGAGCAGAACACCAGATAGACTTCTAAGGTTTTTTACGGTACTCCTTGTCTCCCGGAGAGTACCTCTGGACTCACCCAGGGCCTGGGTGAACGTGTGACCCTGAAGGAAAGGACACAAGCCTGGCTGGCTTTGTCACCTGCTGATTGTAAAATCTCATACCCTTGAGCAAACATAGGCAGCAGCCAGGGAGTTGGTTTGAGCAATCCTTGGGCAAGACCCAATGCTGTGCTGGCTTCAGGTCTAACCTAGCACAGTCACCATGGTGGTGGTCAAAAGGTTGCTTGTGACACTACACCCCCAGCTTCAGGTAGCTCAGAGCAAAGAAAGAAACTCCATTTGTTTGGGAGAAAGTAAGGGAAGAGAACAAGAGTCTCTGCCTGTTAATTCTGAGAATTCACCCAGATCTTGTCCAAGACCATCAAGGTGGTACCTCTATGCATCTGCAAGAACCACAGGTTTACCAGGTTTGGGGTGACCCTTAAAGTAGATACAGCTTAGATTACAACACACAAGTCCTTCTGAATATCTGGGAAAGTCTTCCCAAGAAGGACAGGCACAAACAAGCCCAGACAGTGATGACTACAATAAATACTTAACTCTTCAATTTCCAGACACAGACAAACATCTACAAGCATTAAGACAACCCAGGAAAACATGACCTCACCAAAGAAGGCAATAGGGACTAATTTTGGCAACACAGAGATATGTGACTTTTCAGACAGAGAATTCCAAATAGCTGTTTTGAGGAAACTCAAAGAAATTCAGAATAACATGGAGAAGGAATGCCTCCAGCTTTGTTCTCTTTGCTTAGGATTATCTTGGCTATTTGGGCTCTTTTTGGTTTCATATAAATTTTAAAATCGTTTTTTTTTCTAGTAGTGTGAAGAATGTCATAGGTAGTTTGCTAAAAACAGAATTGAATCTATAAATTCCTTTGGGCAGTATGGCCATTTTAACAATATTGATTCTTCCTATCCTTGAGCATGTAATGTTTTTCTATTTGTTTGTGTCATCTCTGATTTCTTTGAGTAGTGTTCTATAGTTCTCATGGTAAAGATCTTTCACCTCCCTGATTAGCTGTATTCCTAGGTATTTTATTCTTTTTGTGGAAACTATAAATAGGATCGCATTCTTGATTTGGCTCTCGGATTCACTGTTGTTGGTGTATAGAAATGCTAGTGATTTTTCTAGGTTGACTTTGTAAGGGATTTTCACTTTTACCACTGTTATTCAACATAGTAGTGGAAGTCCTAGCTAGAGCAATCAGACAAAGAAATAATAAAGTGCATCCAAATTGGAAAGAAAGAAATCAAATTATCCTTATTTGCAGATGATATGATCTTATATTTGGAAAAACCTGAAGACTCCACCAGAAAACTGACATGAGTATCAGTTTATGAGAATTAAAAAACAAATTCAGGAAAGTTGCAGGATACAAAATGAACATATAAAAATCAGTAGCATTTCTATATGGCAACAGCAAACAATCTGAAAAAGAAATCCTAAAAGTAATCTCATTTAAAATGCCACAAATAAAATTAAATACTTAGGAATTAACCAAAGAAGTGAATGATATCTATAGGGAAAACTAAAAAACACTGATAAAAGAAATGGAAGAGGATATCAAAAAATGAAAATATATTCCATGTTCATGGATTGGGAGAATCGATATTGTTAAAATCTCCATACTACCCAATGCAATCTACAGATTTAATTCAATCCCTGTCAAAATACCAAGGACGTTCTTCACAGAAATAGGGGAAAAAAATCCTAAAATTTATATGGAATCACAAAAGACCCAGAATAGCCAAAGCTATCCAGAGCAAAAGAATAAAACTGGGGGAATCACATTACCTAACTTCAAATTATACTACAGAGCTATATTAAATAAAAGACCTTGGTTCTGGCATAAAAACAGACACAAAGACCAATGGAACAGAATAGAGAGCTCAGAAACAGATCCATATACCTATAGTAAATTCATTTTCTTTTTCTTTTAAGTTCTGGGGTACATATGCAGGATGTGCAGGTTTGTTACATAGGTAAACGTGTGCCATGGAGGTTTGCTGCACCTATCAACCAACCACCTAGGTAATACGCCCAACATGCATTAGCTATTTTTCCTAATGCCTTCCCTCCTCCCACCCCAGCCCCAACAGGCCCTGGTGTGTGTAGTTTCCCTCCCTGTGCCCATGTGATCAGCTCCCACTTATAAGTGAGAACATGTGGTGTTTGGGGTTTTTTTTTTCTTGCATCAGTTTGTTGAGGATAATGGCTTCCAGCTCCATCCATGTCCCTGCAAAAGACATGATCTTGTTAATTTTTATGGCGGCATAGTATTCCACAGTGTGGTGTATATATACCACATTTTCTTTATCCAGTCTATCACTGATAGGCATTCGGGTTGATCCCATGTCTTTGCTATTGTAAATAGTGCTGCAATGAATATCCGAGTGCATGTATCTTTGTGATGGAATGATTTATATTCCTTTGGGTATATACCTAGTAGTGGGATTGCTGGGTCAAATGGTATTTCTGGTTCTAGATCACTGAGGAATCACCACACCGCCTTCCACAATGGTTGAACTAATTTACATTCCCACCAACAGTGTAAAAGCATTCCTATTTCTCCGCAACCTCACCAACATCTGTTGTTTAGTAAATTCATTTTCAACAAACGTGCCAAGAACATACACTGGAGAAAAGGTTGTCTCTCAATAAATGGTGCTGGGAAAACTGGATATCTATATGTAGAAGAATGGAACTAGACCCTCATCTCTCACCATATACAACAATTAAATATAAATGGACTACAGATTTAAAGCTAAGACCTCAAACTATAAAACTACTACAAGAAAACGTTAGTGGAAATCTCCAGGACATTGGTCTGGGCAAAAATATCTTGGGTAATACCCCATAAGCACAGGCAACCAAAGCAAAAATAAACAAATGGGATTACATGAAGTTAAAAAGCTTCTGCACAGCACGGAAAACAATCAACAAAGTGAAGAGATAACCCACAGAATGGGGGACAATATTTGCAAACTACCAATCTAACAAGGGATTTATATTCAATACCTATAAAGAACTCAAACAACTCTATAGGAAAGAACTCAATTACAAGAACTCTGATTAAAAAATGGCCAAAATACCTGACTAGATATTTCTTAAAAGAAGACATACAAATGGCAAACAGGCATATGATCAACATCAACATCAACATCATTGATCATCAGAGAACTGCAAATCAAAATCACAATGAGATATTGTCTCACCCCAGTTAAAATGGCTTATATCCAATGACAGGCAATAACAAAGGCTGGTGAGGATGTGGAGAACAAAGGCTGACGGGATGTGAGGATGTGTATGCTGTTGGCGGAATGTAAATTAGTACAACCACTATGGAGAGCAATTTGGAGGTTTCTCAAAAAACTAAAAATAGTGTGACCATATGATCCAGTAATCCCACTGCTGGGTATATACCCAACATAAAGGAAATCAGTAAGTATATCAAAGAGATATCTCCATTCTCATGTTTGTTCCAGCACTGTTCACAACAGCCAAGATCTGGAAGCAACCTAAGTGCCCATCAACATGTTACTGGATAAAGAAAATACGGTACATATACAAAATTGAGTACTATTCAGCCATAAAAATGAATGAGATTCTGTCATTTGCAACAACATGGATGGAACTAGAGATTGTTATATTAACCGAAATAAGCCAGGCACACAAAGACAAAAATCACATGTTCTCACTTACATGTGTGATTTAAAAATCAAAATAATTGAACTCACAGAGATAGTTGAAGCAGAAGGATGGTTACCAGAGGCTGGGAAGGGTAGTGGGCAGTTGAATCAGGCGAAGGTGGGGATGGTTAATGGGTACAAAAAAAATAGTTAGAAAGGATGAATAAGATCTACTGTTTGATAATACAACAGGGTGACTATAGTCAATAATAATTTAACTGAACATTTTTAAATAACTAAAAGAGTATAATTGGATTTTTTTTTAACACAAAAGATAAATATTTGAGGGATGGATACTTCATGCTCCATGATGCGATTATTGCACATTATCATGCTCCATGATGTGATTAGTACACATTTCATGCCTGTACCAAAACATGTCATTTACTCTATAAATATACACACCTACTATGTACCCACAGAAATTAAAAATAAATAACTTTTGGCCTGGTGCAGTGGCTCACTCCTGTAATCCCAGCACTTTGGGAGGCCAAGACGGTTGTATCACAAGGTCAGGAGATCAAGACCATCCTGGCTAACATGATGAAACCCTGTCTCTACTAAAAATACAAAAAATTAGCCAGGCGTGGTGGTGGGCGCCTGTAGTCCCAGCTACTCAGGAGGCTGAGGCAGGAGAATGGTGTGAACCCAGGAGGCGGAGCTTGCAGTGAGCTGAGATTGCACCATTGCACTCCAGCCAGGGTGACAGTGCGAGACTCGGTCTCAAAAAATAAATAAATAAATAAATAAATAAATAAATAAATAAATAAATAAAATAACTTTTAAAAAAAGACCAGGAGTGGGGTCAGAGCAGGGAGCAGGTTATGATTTTAAATATGGTGGTCAGGCTGGGCCTCATTAAGAAGATGACATTTGTGCAATGACTGTAAAGGAATGAGAGAGATAACACTTCTGCCATCTGGCTGCTCTACGAAAATCAGACATAGTGAGTGTATTAATCTCCTAGGGCTTTCATAATAAAGTACCACAAACTGGGTGACTTAAACAATAGAAATTCATTCTCTCATAGTTCTGGAGACTAGAAGTACAAAATCAGTGTTGGTAGGGACACTCTCTCTGCAAACTCAAGAAGATTCATCCTTGACTCTTCCAGCTTATAGTGCTAATGGCAGTCCTTGGCAGTCCTTTGCTTATAATAGATAGAGGTTCTTTTCACCTCCATTCTCCCACAGCTTTCTCACTCTCTGTGTGTCTCTGCTTACTTATCTTATAAGGACACCAGCCATTGGATTCTAACCCATTTTAATCCAGTAAGACCTCATCTTAATTAATTATCTCGGCAAAGACCCTATTTCCAAATAAGGTCACATTCTGAGGTTCCAGGTGGATATGAATTTTTTGGGGGGGGAACACAATTCAACCCAGTACACTAAGTCAAGGATATAAGCAAGAAGACCTGTTAGGAAATGATAGCAATAATTCATTAGTAAAAATTAATTGTGCTTCAAAATGGTTTGTTAGCAGTAGAGGTAGTAAGGAATGTTAGATTTTTATTACATCTTAAAGGTAAACTAACAAGATTTGTGAGTAGACTAAAAGTAAAACATGGAAGACAGAAGTCAAAGATCAGTTCAAGCTTTTGGCCTGAACAATCTAGAAGGAATGAGTTGCCATCAACTAAGCAAAACAAATAAACAAACAAAACTGCTGACAAATCATGTTTCAGTATCTTTGCTGTAAGAATTAGGAGGGGGACATTCCAACATAGCCAAATAGGAACAGCTCAGTCTACAGCTCCCAGAGTGAGTGATGCAGAAGACGGGTGATTTCTGCATTTCCAACTAAGGTACTGGGCTCATCTCACTGGGGCTTGTTGGACAGTGGGTGTGGGACAGTGGGTGCAGTCCATGGACCGTGAGCTGAAGCAGGGTGAGGTAGTGCCTCGCCCAGGAAGCAGAAGGGGTCGGGGAATTCCCTTTCCTAGCCAAGGGAAGCTGTGACAGACAGCACCTGGAAATTCGGGTCACTCCCACCCTAATACTGGGCTTTTCCAATGGTCTTAGCAAACGGCACACCAGGAGATTATATCCCATGCCTGGCTCAGAGGGTCCCACACCCATGGAGCCTCACTCATTGTTAGCACAGTGGTCTGAGATAGAACTGCAAGGTGGCAGCGAGGCTGGGGAAGGGGTGCCCATCATTGCTCAGGCTTGAGTAGGTAAACAAAGCAGCCAGGAAGCTCGAACTGGGTGGAGCCCACCACAGCTCAAGGAGGCCTGCCTGCCTCTGTAGACTCCACCTCTGTGGGCACGGCACAGCTGAATAAAAGGCAGCAGAAACTTCTGCAGACTTAAACATCCCTGTCTGACAGCTTTGAAGAGAGTAGTGGTTCTCCCAGCACGGACAAACTGCCTCCTCAAGTGGGTCCCTGACCCCTGAGTAGCCTAACTGGGAGGCACCTCCCAGTAGGGGCCAACTGACACCTCATACGGACAGGTCCCCCTCTGAGATGAAGCTTCCAGAGGAACGATCAGGCAGCAACATTTGCTGTTCTGCAATATTTGTGGTCCTACAGTGATGCCCAGGCAAACAGGGTCAGGAGTGGACCTTCAGCAAACTCCAACAGACCTGCAGCTGAGGGTCCTGACTGTTAGAAGGAAAATTAACAAACAGAAAGGACATCCACACCAAAACCCCATCATATGTTACCATCATCAAAGACCAACAGTAGATAAAACCACAAAGATGGGGAGAAACCAGATGAGAAAAGCTGAAAATTCTAAAAATCAGAGTGCCTCTTCTCCTCCAAAGGAATGCAGCCCCTCACCAGCAACAGAACAAAGCTGGATGGAGAATGACTTTGATGAGTTGAGAGAAGAAGGTTTCAGAAGATCGGTAATAACAAACTTCTCCAAGCTAAAGCAAGATGTTTGAACCCATTGCAAAGAAGCTAAAAACCTTGATAAAACATTAGACAAATGGCTAACTAGAATAAACAGTGTAGAGAAGATCTTAAATGACCTGATGGAGCTGAAAACCATGGCATGAGAACTACGCGACACATGCACAAGCTTCAGTAGCCAATTAGATCAAATGGAAGAAAGGGTATCAGCGATGGAAGATCAAATGAATGAAATGAAGCAAGAAGTTTAGAGAAAAAAAGAGTAAAAAGAAATCAACAAAGCCTCCAACAAATATGGGACTATGTGAAAAGACCAAATCTACGTCTGATTGGTGTACCTGAAAGTGACGGGGAGAATGCAACCAAGTTGGAATACACTCTACAGGATATTATCCAGGAGAACATCCCCAACCTAGCAAGGCAGGCTAACATTCAAATTCAGCAAATACAGAGAATGTGACAAAGATACTCCTTGAGAAGAGCAACCCCAAGACACATAATTGTCAGACTCACCAAAGTTGAAATGAAGGAAAAAATGTTAAGGGCAGCCAGAGAGAAAGGTCAGGTTACCCACAAAGGGAAGCCCATCAGACTAGCAGCAGATCTCTCAGCAGAAACTCTACAAGCCAGAAGAGAGTGGGGGCCAATATGCAACATTCTTAAAGAAAAGAATTTTCAACCCAGAATTTCATATCCAGCCAAACTAGCTTCACAAGTAAAAGAGAAATAAAATCCTTTACAGACAAGCAAATGCTGAGAGATTTTGTCATCACCAGGCCAGCCTTACCAGAGCTCCTGAAAGAAGCACTAAACATGTAAAGGAACAACCAGTACCAGCCACTGCAACAACATGCCAAATTGTAAAGACCATCAATGCTAGGAAGAAACTGCATCAACTAACGAGCAAAATAACCAGCTAACATCATAATGACAGGATCAAATTCACACATAACAATATTAACCTTAAATGTAAATGGGATAAATGCTCCAAATAAAAGACACAGACTGGAAAATTGGATAAAGAGTCAGGACCCATCAGTGTGCTGTATTCAGGAGACCCATCTCACATGCAGAGTCACACATAGGCTCAAAATAAAGGGATGGAGGAAGATCTACCAAGAAAATGGAAAACAAATAAAAGCAGGGGTTGCAATCCTCATCTCTGATAAACAGACTTTAAACCAACAAAGATCAAAAGAACAAAGAGAGCCATCACATAATGGTAAAGGGATCAATTCAACAAGAAGAGCTAACTATCCTAAATATATATTCACCCAATACAGGAGCACCAAGATTCATAAAGCAAGTCCTTAGAGACCTACAAAGAGACTTAGACTCCCACACAATAATAATGGGAGACTTTAACACGCCACTGGCAACATTAGACAGATCCATGAGATGGAAAGTTAACAAGGACATCGAGGAATGAACTCAACTCTGCACCAAGCAGACCTAATACACAGCTCCAGAACTCTCCACCCCAGATCAACAGAATATATATTCTTCTCGGCACCACATCGCACTTATTCCAAAATTGACCACATAGTTGGAAGTAAAGCATTCCTCAGCAAATGTAAAAGAACAGAAATTATAACAAACTGTCTCTCAGACCACAGTGCAATCAAACTAGAACTCAGGATTAAGAAATCAGTCAAAACTGCTCAAATACATGGAAAATGAACAACCTGCTCCTGAATGACTACTGGGTACATAACAAAATGAACATAGAAATAAAGATGTTCTTTGAAACCAGTGAGAACAAAGACACAACATACCAGAATCTCTGGGACACATTTAAAGCAGTGTGTAGAGGGAAATTTATAGCACTAAATGCCCACAAGAGAAAGCAGGAAAGATCTAAAATTGACACCCTAACATCACAATTAAAAGAACTAGAGAAGCAAGAGAAAACACATTCAAAAGCTAGCAGAAGGCAAGAAATAACTAAGATCAGAGCAGAAAGGAAGGAAATAGAGACACAAAAAAACCCTTCAAAAAAATCATTGAATCCAGGAGCTGTTTTTTTGAAAAGATCAACAAAATTGATAAAGCACTAGCAAGACTAATAAAGAAGAAAAGAGAAAAGAATCAAATAGATGCAATAAAAAATGATAAAGGGGATATCACCACTGATCCCACAGAGATACAAACTACCATCAGAGAATACCATAAACACCTCTACGCAAATAAACTAGAAAATCTACAAGAAATGGATGGATTCCTGGACACATACACCCTACCAAGACTAAACCAGGAAGAACTGGATAGACCAATAACGGGCTCTGAAATTGAGGCAATAATTAAGAGCCTAACAACCAAAAAAAGTCCAGGACCAGATGGATTCACAGCCGAATTCTACCAGAGGTGCAAAGAGGAGCTGGTACCATTCCTCCTGAAACTATTCCAATCAATAGAAAAAGAGGGAATCCGAGAGGGAGGAGCCAAGATGGCCGAATAGGAACAGCTCCGGTCTACAGCTCCCAGCGTGAGCGACGCAGAAGATGGGTGATTTCTGCATTTCCATCTGAGGTACCGGGTTCATCTCACTAGGGAGTGCCAGACAGTGGGCGCAGGCCAGTGTGTGTGCGCACCGTGTGCGAGCCGAAGCAGGGCGAGGCATTGCCTCACCTGGGAAGTGCAAGGGGTCAGGGAGTTCCCTTTCCGAGTCAAAGAAAGGGGTGGCAGACAGCACCTGGAAAATTAGGTCACTCCCACCCGAATATTGCGCTTTTCAGACCAGCTTAAGAAACGGCGCACCACGAGACTATATCCCACACCTGGCTCAGAGGGTCCTACGCCCACGGAATCTCGCTGATTGCTAGCACAGCAGTCTGAGATCAAACTGCAAGGCGGCAACGAGGCTGGGGGAGGGGCGCCCGCCATTGCCCAGGCTTGCTTAGGTAAACAAAGCAGCCAGGAAGCTCGAACTGGGTGGAGCCCACCACAGCTCAAGGAGGCCTGCCTGCCTCTGTAGGCTCCACCTCTGGGGGCAGGGCACAGACAAACAAAAAGACAGCAGTAACCTCTGCAGACTTAAGTGTCCCTGTCTGACAGCTTTGAAGAGAGTAGTGGTTCTCCCAGCACGCAGCTGGAGATCTGAGAACTGGCAGACTGCCTCCTCAAGTGGGTCCCTGACCCCTGACCCCCGAGCAGCCTAACTGGGAGGCACCCCCCAGCAGGGGCACACTGACACCTCACACGGCAGGGTATTCCAACAGACCTGCAGCTGAGGGTGCTGTCTGTTAGAAGGAAAACTAACAACCAGAAAGGACATCTACACCGAAAACCCATCTGTACATCACCATCATCAAAGACCAAAAGTAGATAAAACCACAAAGATGGGGAAAAAACAGAACAGAAAAACTGGAAACTCTAAAACGCACAGCACCTCTCCTCCTCCAAAGGAACGCAGTTCCTCACCAGCAACAGAACAAAGCTGGATGGAGAATGATTTTGACGAGCTGAGAGAAGAAGGCTTCAGACGATCAAATTACTCTGAGCTACGGGAGGACATTCAAACCAAAGGCAAAGAAGTTGAAAACTTTGAAAAAAATTTAGAAGAATGTATAACTAGAATAACCAATACAGAGAAGTGCTTAAAGGAGCTGATGGAGCTGAAAACCAAGGCTCGAGAACTACGTGAAGAATGCAGAAGCCTCAGGAGCCGATGCGATCAACTGGAAGAAAGGGTATCAGCAATGGAAGATGAAATGAATGAAATGAAGCGAGAAGGGAAGTTTAGAGAAAAAAGAATAAAAAGAAATGAGCAAAGCCTCCAAGAAATATGGGACTATGTGAAAAGAGCAAATCTACGTCTGATTGGTGTACCTGAAAGTGATGTGGAGAATGAAACCAAGTTGGAAAACACTCTGCAGGATATTATCCAGGAGAACTTCCCCAATCTAGCAAGGCAGGCCAACGTTCAGATTCAGGAAATACAGAGAACGCCACAAAGATACTCCTTGAGAAGAGCAACTCCAAGACACATAATTGTCAGATTCACCAAAGTTGAAATGAAGGAAAAAATGTTAAGGGCAGCCAGAGAGAAAGGTCGGGTTACCCTCAAAGGAAAGCCCATCAGACTAACAGCGGATCTCTCGGCAGAAACCCTACAAGCCAGAAGAGAGTGGGGGCCAATATTCAACATTCTTAAAGAAAAGAATTTTCAACCCAGAATTTCATATCCAGCCAAACTAAGCTTCATAAGTGAAGGAGAAATAAAATACTTTATAGACAAGCAAATGCTGAGAGATTTTGTCACCACCAGGCCTGCCTTACAAGAGCTCCTGAAGGAAGCGATAAACATGGAAAGGAACAACCGGTACCAGCCACTGCAAAATCATGCTTAAATGTAAAGACCATCGAGACTAGGAAGAAACTGCATCAACTAATGAGCAAAATCACCAGCTAACATCATAATGACAGGATCAAATTCACACATAACAATATTAACTTTAAATATAAATGGAATAAATTCTGCAATTAAAAGACACAGACTGGCAAGTTGGATAAAGAGTCAAGACCCATCAGTGTGCTGTATTCAGGAAACCCATCTCATGTGCAGAGACACACATAGGCTCAAAATAAAAGGATGGAGGAAGATCTACCAAGCCAATGGAAAACAAAAAAAGGCAGGGGTTGCAATCCTAGTCTCTGATAAAACAGACTTTAAACCAACAAAGATCAAAAGAGACAAAGAAGGCCATTACATAATGGTAAAGGGATCAATTCAACAAGAGGACCTAACTATCCTAAATATTTATGCACCCAATACAGGAGCACCCAGATTCATAAAGCAAGTCCTCAGTGACCTACAAAGAGACTTAGACTCCCACACATTAATAATGGGAGACTTTAACACCCCACTGTCAACATTAGACAGATCAACGAGACAGAAAGTCAACAAGGATACCCAGGAATTGAACTCAGCTCTGCACCAAGCAGACCTAATAGACATCTACAGAACTCTCCACCCCAAATCAACAGAATATACATTTTTTTCAGCACCACACCACACCTATTCCAAAATTGACCACATAGTTGGAAGTAAAGCTCTCCTCAGCAAGTGTAAAAGAACAGAAATTATAACAAACTATCTCTCAGACCACAGTGCAATCAAACTAGAACTCCGGATTAAGAATCTCACTCAAAGCCGCTCAACTACATGGAAACTGAACAACCTGCTCCTGAATGACTACTGGGTACATAACGAAATGAAGGCAGAAGTAAAGATGTTCTTTGAAACCAACGAGAACAAAGACACCACATACCAGAATCTCTGGGACGCATTCAAAGCAGTGTGTAGAGGGAAATTTATAGCACTAAATGCCTACAAGAGAAAGCAGGAAAGATCCAAAATTGACACCCTAACATCACAATTAAAAGAACTAGAAAAGCAAGAGCAAACACATTCAAAAGCTAGCAGAAGGCAAGAAATAACTAAAATCAGAGCAGAACTGAAGGAAATAGAGACACAAAAAACCCTTCAAAAAATCAATGAATCCAGGAGCTGGTTTTTTGAAAGGATCAACAAAATTGATAGACCGCTAGCAAGACTAATAAAGAAAAAAAGAGAGAAGAATCAAATAGACACAATAAAAAATGATAAAGGGGATATCACCACCGATCCCACAGAAATACAAACTACCATCAGAGAATACTACAAACACCTCTACGCAAATAAACTAGAAAATCTAGAAGAAATGGATACATTCCTCGACACATACACTCTCCCAAGACTAAACCAGGAAGAAGTTGAATCTCTGAATAGACCAATAACAGGCTCTGAAATTGTGTCAATAATCAATAGTTTACCAACCAAAAAGAGTCCAGGACCAGATGGATTCACAGCCGAATTCTACCAGAGGTACAAGGAGGAACTGGTACCATTCCTTCTAAAACTATTCCAATCAATAGAAAAAGAGGGAATCCTCCCTAACTCATTTTATGAGGCCAGCATCATTCTGATACCAAAGCCGGGCAGAGACACAACCAAAAAAGAGAATTTTAGACCAATATCCTTGATGAACATTGATGCAAAAATCCTCAATAAAATACTGGCAAACCGAATCCAGCAGCACATCAAAAAGCTTACCCACCATGATCAAGTGGGCTTCATCCCTGGGATGCAAGGCTGGTTCAATATACGAAAATCAATAAATGTAATCCAGCATATAAACAGAGCCAAAGACAAAAACCACATGATTATCTCAATAGATGCAGAAAAAGCCTTTGACAAAATTCAACAACGCTTCATGCTAAAAACTCTCAATAAATTAGGTATTGATGGGACGTATTTCAAAATAATAAGAGCTATCTATGACAAACCCACAGCCAATATCATACTGAATGGGCAAAAACTGGAAGCATTCCCTTTGAAAACTGGCACAAGACAGGGATGCCCTCACTCACCGCTCCTATTCAACATAGTGTTGGAAGTTCTGGCCAGGGCAATCAGGCAGGAGAAGGAAATAAAGGGTATTCAATTAGGAAAAGAGGAAGTCAAATTGTCCCTGTTTGCAGACGACATGATTGTTTATCTAGAAAACCCCATTGTCTCAGCCCAAAATCTCCTTAAGCTGATAAGCAACTTCAGCAAAGTCTCAGGATACAAAATCAATGTACAAAAATCACAAGCATTCTTATACACCAACAACAGACAAACAGAGAGCCAAATCATGGGTGAACTCCCATTCACAATTGCTTCAAAGAGAATAAAATACCTAGGAATCCAACTTACAAGGGATGTGAAGGACCTCTTCAAGGAGAACTACAAACCACTGCTCAAGGAAATAATAGAGGACACAAACAAATGGAAGAACATTCCATGCTCATGGGTAGGAAGAATCAATATCGTGAAAATGGCCATACTGCCCAAGGTAATTTACAGATTCAATGCCATCCCCATCAAGCTACCAATGACTTTCTTCACAGAATTGGAAAAAACTACTTTAAAGTTCATATGGAACCAAAAAAGAGCCCGCATTGCCAAGTCAATCCTAAGCCAAAAGAACAAAGCTGGAGGCATCACACTACCTGACTTCAAACTATACTACAAGGCTACAGTAACCAAAACAGCATGGTACTGGTACCAAAACAGAGATATAGATCAATGGAACAGAACAGAGCCCTCAGAAATAATGCCGCATATCTACAACTATCTGATCTTTGACAAACCTGAGAAAAACAAGCAATGGGGAAAGGATTCCCTATTTAATAAATGGTGCTGGGAAAACTGGCTAGCCATATGTAGAAAGCTGAAACTGGATCCCTTCCTTACACCTTATACAAAAATCAATTCAAGATGGATTAAAGATTTAAACGTTAAACCTGAAACCATAAAAACCCTAGAAGAAAACCTAGGCATTACCATTCAGGACATAGGCGGGGCAAGGACTTCATGTCCAAAACACCAAAAGCAATGGCAACAAAAGACAAAATTGACAAATGGGATCTAATTAAACTAAAGAGCTTCTGCACAGCAAAAGAAACTACCATCAGAGTGAACAGGCAACCTACAACATGGGAGAACATTTTCGCAACCTACTCATCTGACAAAGGGCTAATATCCAGAATCTACAATGAACTCAAACAAATTTACAAGAAAAAAACAAACAACCCCATCAAAAAGTGGGCGAAGGACATGAACAGACACTTCTCAAAAGAAGACATTTATGCAGCCAAAAAACACATGAAAAAATGCTCATCATCACTGGCCATCAGAGAAATGCAAATCAAAACCACTATGAGATATCATCTCACACCAGTTAGAATGGCAATCATTAAAAAGTCAGGAAACAACAGGTGCTGGAGAGGATGCGGAGAAATAGGAACACTTTTACACTGTTGGTGGGACTGTAAACTAGTTCAACCATTGTGGAAGTCAGTGTGGCGATTCCTCAGGGATCTAGAACTAGAAATACCATTTGACCCAGCCATCCCATTACTGGGTATATACCCAAATGAGTATAAATCATGCTGCTATAAAAACACATGCACATGTATGTTTATTGTGGCACTATTCACAATAGCAAAGACTTGGAACCAACCCAAATGTCCAACAATGATAGACTGGATTAAGAAAATGTGGCACATATACACCATGGAATACTATGCAGCCATAAAAAATGATGAGTTCATATCCTTTGTAGGGACATGGATGAAATTGGAAACCATCATTCTCAGTAAACTATCGCAAGAACAAAAAACCAAACACCGCATATTCTCACTCATAGGTGGGAATTGAACAATGAGATCACATGGACACAGGAAGGGGAATATCACACTCTGGGGACTGTGGTGGGGTCGGGGGAGGGGGGAGGGATAGCATTGGGAGATATACCTAATGCTAGATGACACATTAGTGGGTGCAGCGCACCAGCATGGCACATGTATACATATGTAACTAACCTGCACAATGTGCACATGTACCCTAAAACTTAGAGTATAATAAAAAAAAAAAAAAAAGAAAGAAAAAAAAAAAAAGAAAAAGAGGGAATCCTCCCTAACTCATTTTATGAGGCCAGCATCATCCTGATACCAAAGCCTGGCAGAGACACAACCAAAAAAGAGAATTTTAGACCAATATCCCTGATGAACATTGATGCAAAAATCCTCAATAAAATACTGGCAAACCGAATCCAGCAGAACATCAAAAAACTTATCCACCATGATCAAGTGGGCTTCATCCTTGGGATGCAAGGCTGGTTCAAAATATGCAAATCAATAAACGTAATCCAGCATATAAACAGAACCAAAGACAAAAACTACATGATTATCTCAATAGTTGCAGAAAAGGCCTTCGACAAAATTCAGCAGCAGAAAAGGCCTTCGACAAAATTCAGCAGCCCCTCGTGCTAAAAACTCTCAATAAACTAGGTATTGATGGGACGTATCTCAAAATAATAAGAGCTATCTATGACAAACCCATAGCCAATACCATACCGAATGGGCCAAAACTGGAAGCATTCCCTTTGAAAACTGGCACAAGATAGGGATGCCCTCTCTCACCACTCCTATTCAACATAGTGTTGGAAGTTCTGGCCAGGGCAATCAGGCAGGAGAAAGAAATAAAGGGTATTTAATTAGGAAAACAGGAAGTCAAATTGTCCCTGTTTGCAGATGACATGATTGTATATTTAGAAAACTGCATCATCTCAGCTCAAAATCTCCTTAAGCTGATAAGCAACTTCAGCAAAGTCTCAGGATACAAAATCAATGTGCAAAAATCACAAGCATTCTTATACACCAATAACAGACAAACAGAGAGCCAAATCATGAGTGAACTCCCATTCACAATTGCTTCAAAGAGAATAAAATATCTCGGAATCCAATTTACAAGGGATGTGAAGGACCTCTTCAAGGAGAATTACAAACCACTGCTCAATGAAATAAAAGTGGACACAAACAAATGGAAGAACATTCCATGCTCATGGGTAGGAAGAATCAATATCGTGAAAATGGCCACACTGCCCAAGGTAATTTATAGATTCAATGCCATCCCCATCAAGCTACCAATGACTTTCTTCACAGAATTGGAAAAAACTACTTTAAAATTCATATGGAACCAAAAAAAGAGCACGCATTGTCACGACAATCCTAAGCCAAAAGAACAAAGCTGGAGGCATCACGCTACCTGACTTCAAACTATACTACAAAGGTACAGTAACCAAAACAGCATGGTACTGGCACCAAAACAGAGATAGACCAATGGAACAGAACAGAGCCCTCAGAAATAATACCATACATCTACAACCATCTGATCTTTGACAAATCTGACAAAAACAAGAAATGGAGAAAGGATTCCCTATTTAATAAATGGTGCTGGGAAAACTGGCTAGCTATATTTAGAAAGCTGAAACTGGATCCCTTCCTTACACCTTATACAAAAATTAATTCAAGATGGATTAAAGACTTAAATATCAGACCTAAAACCATAAAAATCCTAGAAGAAAACCTAGGCAATACCATGCAGGACATAGGCATGGGCAAGGACTTCATGTCTAAAACACCAAAAGCAATGGTAACAAAAGCCAAAATTGACAAATGGGATCTAATTAAACTAAAAAGCTTCCACACAGCAAAAGAAACTACCATCAGAGTGAACAGGCAACCTACAGAATGGGAGAAAATTTTTGCAATCTACCCATCTGACAAAGGGCTAATATCCAGAATCTACAAAGAACTTAAACAAATTTACAAGAAAAAATCAAACAACCCCATAAAAAAGTGGTCAAAGGATATGAACAGACACTTCTCAAAAGAAGACATTTATACAGCCAAAAGACACATGAAAAAATGCTCATCATCACTGGCCATCAGAGAAATGCAAATCAAAACCACAATTAGATACCATCTCACACCAGTTAGAATGGCGATCATTAAAAAGTCAGGAAACAACAGGTGCTGGAGAGGATGTGGAGAAATAGGAACACTTTTATACTGTTGGTGGGACTGTAAACTAGTTCAACCGTTGTGGAAGACAGTGTGGCGATTACTCAAGGATCTAGAACTAGAAATACCATTTGACCCAGCCATCCCATTACTGGGTATATACCCAAAGGATTATAATTCATGCTGCTATAAAGACACGTGCACATGTATGTTTATTGCAGCAGTATTCATAATAGCAAAGACTTGGAACCAACCCAAATGTTCATCAATGATAGACTGGATTAAGGAAATGTGGCACATATACACCATGGAATACTATGCTGCCATAGAAAAGGATGAGTTCATGTCCTTTGTAGGGACATGGATGAAGCTGCAAACCATCATTCTCAGCAAACTATCGCAAGGACAGAAAACCAAACACTGCATGTTCTCACTCATAGGTGGGAATTGAACAATGAAGACACTTGGACACAGGGTGGGGAACATCATACACTGGGGCCTGTCGTGGGGTGAGGGGAGGGGGGAGGGATAGCATTAGGAGCTATATGTAATGTAAATGACAAGTTAATGGGTGGATAACACCAACATGGCACATGTATACATATGTAACAAACCTGCACGTTGTGCACATGTACCCTAGAACTTAAAATATAATAATAATAAAAAACAGAATTAAGAATAGGGAGGTTAGAAGTTCAGTTTTACATATATGAAGTTTAAGATGCTCATTCAACATCTCAGTGAAAACATCAATTAAGCAGCTGGATATACAAATATGAAGTGGGGAGAGAGCCTGGCAAATCTGGAGTTGGGGGAGACCTGGAAAGGAGTTGAAAATTTGGGAGTTATTGGCTAGCATTTAAATAAATGCAATATTTAAAACAGTAGCTAGAGATAACCATTCAGAATGTGAGCAGGTGAGTTACCGGGCAATAAGAAAATGAATAAGACACAGAGAGAGAGCAGGAAGAAGCAATTCCCAAGGAATGAGTAAAGCATGCTACCAAAAACATAATGGCAAAAGCAACACTTCTTATCTAATGTGTCAACAAACATCTATGACTTTAAGAAATTTTTTGGTATTTAGAAATAACAAAAACAAGAAATTCTTGCAAATAGTAAGAAGAATCCTTCAATAATAAAAGGACCAAGTGCTGAGAGGGAGTTAGGAAAGAGGATGGAACATGCAAAAGAGTATTTTGGTCTTTGGACAGGGAAATTTTAGAGAGAGCTCACACTGAAAGAGCAACCATTCTCTTGGCATAATAAACAAAGGATGTTTCCTGATTCCTTAGACAGTAACAACTGGAAATGGATATTACAACAATATTTATAGTATTCATGGTTTTTATATTTAATATGTGCTTAAATTAATTACAGAGTAAATGTACTATCACTCATTTGTATGCTGGTAAGGGCAGTCTTTCTTGTTTCATCATAAAGTTTCAAATAAAAATATCTCAGACAGATAATCATAAATATATGTTAAAGTACATTTATATCTAATAGATGCTTCCTAACAAGCATAGTCACAATCTTGACATCACTACCAGTAATTGCTTCATATGTATACCATATGCTGCTACAGTGGAAAGCACTTTGGAAATACACATTAAGAACTTTAAAATGTTCATTTAAAAAAATTTTTTTGAGATGGGGTCTTGGGGGTCTTGTTATGTTTCCCAGGCTGGTCTCAAACTAAGCTCAAGCAATTGTTCCACCTCAGCCTCCTGAATAAATGGGATTACAGGCATGTGCCACTTCACCCAGCTCTGACAAATTTTCATCTGGTAATTTTATTTCAGGAAATATATCCTAAGAATGAATGCCAACACACAACAACAACAACAAAAAATTCAAGGATGCTCATATTACATAATGCTAGAAAATTATAGTATCTTCATACACTGGAATATATTAGGTAATGTGTTAGATGGTATTGATCAGAGATATCAATACTGGAGGATAAGTTGTTATTAAGTATTGTTACAAACAAAAGAAGTCATCAGTCAGTAAATTCAGGGTAGAATAGAGTAATAAGTGTAACCCTATACAAAATCAGATGAAACAAGAAAAACTCAACAGAAAATTTACAGTGTTAAAATTATAGAAGTGAGGTCAGCCAAGACCTCTGTGGGAGTTTAACCTAGTAGGGTAAGATGTAAGCAAAAATGGAGTTGAAAATGTACCTTTTTCTGTTGTCCTAAGATTGGTTCCTTCTTTTATGCCTTCTATATTTTGATAAAATTCCATATATAAATGTGGTAATTGTTAACTAGAAATAAAGCAAAATGTCCTAGTTAGTTTCATCTTAAGGAAAGTTCTGAGAGGGGCCCATTGAATTAGTCAAGTAAAAGGTTCTAAATGACAAAGAGAATAAATTTGGGTTTTATATTTCAGGAATTTCACTGCAGCTGGATGCTTGGGAATGTCTTAGGTATGGTAGACCCGTTGTTCCTATTGCTGAATTTGGTGATAACCTGTATAAACAAAAGGAGTTTTGTGCATTCATAAAATGTATTATACTCTTCTGCATCATTACCAGAAAGAGACTTTTAGCTGGAAAAACACAAAGCTCATTTTCCTGATGGCCTGGGTAAATTGGCTTGGGATTGGATCAATTGCAGCAGCCTGCCATTTAGAATGCTTACTCCATTGCTTGCTAATACCCAGAAGGGTCAACTCTGCTCAAAGTAGGTTGTGGGCATTAAATCAGGAACCAACAGATTACGTAAGCATTAAACATGTTCATGAAGAATTTGCAATAAACCTGGAAAATGCTTATATTAAAAGCAGGAAAATTTTATATATTCAGTAGTATCTCAATAATGTAAAAATTATGAATGAGAAAAAACATTGAGTAGTTCTATCTAGAGTGGCAATGTAAGGATTTTTGTTTTCTTTGTATTTAAAAAAATTACATAAAGAGTACATAGTACTTGTACAAATAGGGAGTGTGGAGAGTTTCTGGGGCTCAGAGTGAAAAATAGCCATTAAGCAGTTTCCTTTAACAAGGTTCATTTCTTTCTGACTATGCTTTATCACTGTTAAACACTAAACTAATTGAGGTCCACAACAAAGAAAATAATTAACAAATTAGTGAATTGTGCTTCTGCTTATACTTCATTCCCCAAATGCCTAATCAACCTTATTAAAAGTAGCTTTTTTTATTAACAGTAAGCAAAAAGCTAACTTGTAAATTTTATTATTGTCCTTCCTTGATACAAATGTTTCCTGGCCCATGGGAAACTATGACAAGTTTTTCTTCTTCCTTTCTTAATCTTTGCTCACTGTGAACCTCTCATTTCAAGTAGAATGCATGACATAGAACTCTCTAAAATTTCATTCAGAACATAGAAAGATGCTGCCACCTGCCTTTCCCTATGTTCATAGATACCCAGCCAACAAAGAAGCAGAGGATGACCACCACTGACACTACCAACTAGAACATATATGTGTGCTCCAGAATCCACCCTTTTTCTAATGACTTGGAGCTGCATACTTTTGAAATGTATGTGATTCTCAAAGACACATTGTTGTATCTCCGCTGTTTCTTTCATAAACCAAGGGATGTTTAATTATAAAAAAGAATCAACAGACCCAATTCACTTTACCTTTGAGCAACCAAGTCCTCAGATGTAGAAGCCACAGAGCATGTTGTGCCAACCTCTCTCTGCTCATGTCCCTACACTTTAGAATTAAGCTATGCATCCATTATCGATTGCCCTGTAGGCATTCACTGACTGATATCTTTGAAAAGTTTTCTAAATCACCTGATTAAAATTGGTTTCTGAGCCCATCAGCATATATCATTAGGTTCCTGAACTTATTCCAAGAACAGTTGTGGCACAGACATCTTGAACAGTCTTCCTGTGTGGGGTCTAAAAAGAGAACACCTTCTGGGTCAACCATTACTTCTAGTGCTCAAAGGTAAGGTTAATTAGGAGCCACAGAACTGGTAAAGTCAAAGGTCCTTTAAAAAAGTGATTAATTACTAAAACCTCTCGAACCCTTTATCACAGCCTCAAAATAGTAGAATGTGAAAATTTTTTATAGGATCAAAAATATTATGTTGACCTGGAGACCTGGAAGAAGGCAACTTCTGCGATAGAATAAAATCTTGAGAAGCAGAAACTGAAGGATCATCATGTATAATCAAAAATCTAGAGCAAATTAAAACTTACATTGGAGGGTTTTACTCTTTCTTAAAACTACTAAGCAAGAGAGCACTCTCAGATGATTAGTTCTGTATAATGGTGTCTTCACTGTTTGTTTATTTGAATGTTCTCTGACAACATTTATCTACAGTTTCACATATTTTTCCATATTCAAATCTTCCTTGCTACTTTATGCTACTCCCAAAAGATGAAATGGAGAACTTAGAAACTTTTACCCCAATCTTCTACTGTAGATTTCAGGATTGAGTAAGGATGATGAAGAGGAAATAAATGGTATTATTGTCAGCCCAGAAGATACTGCAGGAGTATCACATTTTATCAGGACTACCCTGTCTTCATGTAACCTGTACCCTATCTTCGTGTAACCTGAAAATCCACCTAGGCAATTAACCTTAAAACATTCTTCTGCATCTCCTTAGCATATTTCTAATTCTTTGAGAATTTCTTTTTATCCATTGCTAAGGAATCTCCCTTAAAGCTTTCCTTATTTGAACATGATCATGGATTTAGGAAAAATAAAAGCATCAACTAATTTATGGGAAAGATTTTAGGTTTTACTTTTCCCTGAAGAAACTTTATTAGACATAAAACATGATCAAAAGCTTTAAAAGAATCTAAATCCACCTAATAATAAAGATTTTTTATTGGCACATTCTGAGAGCCTTGTTTATCCCACAAATAAAGCTATTCATTTTGTGCTTTTGTTTCCCAGTATCTCATTAGCTTACCTTGCACAAGCACATCTAAAATAATCTCTTCTGCTCTTTCTTTACAATTCAAAATTATCCTTGATAATGGCTTTTAAATGCCAATATCAGATATCTACCACACTTTGTGATCAAAGTGAAATATTGAAAATATAAATATGGTCTCAGGAAGTACCAGGAAAATAATCTCTCCCCTGTGTTTACCACTATATTATTGCTACACAATATAAAATACACAGCATGCCTCCTATCTTCAAGAACTTGTATTATCACCAAGCTGAGGAGAAAAGAAACATATAAAACAACAGTGAGCAATACAAATAGCATAGACTAAAGCTCTATTGATACACTATTGATATTATAGTGGATAATATCATGATTCGGAGAGGAAAGTCAGCATGTATCAGAGTCCACAATAAATTTCAAGAAAATAAATGTGCCTCAAGAGAGCTAATATGTGGAGAGAGTGACTCAAGACATAGGGATCCACCTCAGAGAGGACCAACAGTGTGTTTGTAGAACAGTGAGATTTTTCTGCTCAGAGCCAAGGGTACTACAGAAAGTCCAGGAGTACCTTGAAACAGATAAATGCAAAAATAGAAAGCTCAGTATTCCCATTACTATTACTGTATAACAAATTTCCCTAAAACTTAATGGCTTAAAAAAAACCATTTTATTATGCTCATGGATTTGGTGGGTCAGAAAATTTAGAAAGGGTCATGCAGGGATGGCTCATCTTTGCTCCACAGTGACACTGCTCTCAACTGGGAAGACTTAAAGGCTACATATTGGGGTCATCTAAAGGCTTGTTCACTCACATACATCTACTCTGAGATGACTTGAAGACTAGGACTGCTGACCAGAACACCAGCATGTGACCTGTAATATCTGTGGCTTTGCTTCTTCATGGCATGATGGTCCCAGGGTCATTAGATTTCCTATGTGGCAGCTCAGGGCTCCAAACAGGAGTGCCCCAGAAACAAGGCAAAAGCTACATCATCTATTGACTCAGCCTTGTAAATCACACAGCATCACCTCCATCATACTCTATTGTTCAAAGAAGCCATAGGCCCACTCAGATTCAAGGGGTGGTGTCATAGAGAAAATAATACCCCACCTCTCAATGGGTTAAGTAACAAAGAATTTTGAGGCCATGTTTTAGTATCAACTAACACAGGTTTGCTGATTATTTTCTCCCACATTTAAAATACTTCACAATCTCACAAATACCCATAATACCCATGAAAGGAAAAAGAGTAGAAAATAAGTGTTCAGTGTTGAGATGACCACATGTCTCAGTTCTCTCAGGAATAATCCCAGTTTATACATTATACATTATACATTTTATCCCAATGTAATTATCAATAGCTTTCCCTTTGACTCTCAAAAGTGTCCTGTTGCATGACAAGTTATATGATCATCCTATTTGATCTAATTCAAAGACCTATCTCTACATAAAAAGGGAAAGTAACACCCTCACCTCTCTCCAAATAATTCATCTTAATCTAAAATATCCAAACTAATCAGCTCTATCACATATTCCAAATGCATTTGCTTTTTGAGCAACATGCCAGTTACCTTATCAGTATGTGAAGACACCAACCAGTAGTCGATAGTAAGAACAAGGCAGAACTGGAACCACACAACTTCAAGATTCCCCCTTAATTTAGGTCCTACCTCTGGTAACAGGGCAGTGTATAAATCCAGTTTTGTTTGTTCATGTAAGAAATCATTACCTTCACTGTTAGTTTTCATAGAGTTCTAAATGTAGCAGAGTAGCAGCTATCCATGCTTTCATAAACCTTTTGAGTGTCAAAACACCAAAAAGGGCTATATAAATAAACTGCATATAAAAAATAAACAGTTTCAAAGGCATATTTTCCTACTTCAGTTTGAGAATGAATAGACAAAACAAAAGTCAAATATTCTTTTAAATAGTCTTTGAAAAGATTGAAATTTTTTTGTTGCAACTTTTTTAAGCAAAGGGATTTATTTCCCCAAATGGAGGCTTTGTCCCACTTGGACACATTGTACAAGCCAGACTATGTCCTAACACTAAATTGTATGCATTTACAATTCAGTTAGCACTTTCTTTTAGATGTAAGGGCATTTTTCCTTGGATTTCTAACAGAGTTTGCTGTCCAACTCTAACATTTAAAAATGTTCAGCAAAGAAGAAAGGCGAAAGGAACTTGGTTTGCATTTAACTAAGAAAAATTTATCATATTAACTATGGATGCTTAACACCAGGCCATAAAATTCTTGTCATGCTGTCAGTGGGGCTCTCTCCCTTTATTTGTGCCTGCACTGCTAGAACTAGGAGTTTTCTACCAAAAGGTCCATTTAGGGATTTTCCATTAACAGATTATTAACTACTCTTCTAGTAGATTAAATTCACAAGACTCCATTTATATTGAGAGCAGGGGAAGATTATATGGGCTCCACTTCCCTTAATCTGATTTTATTGTTCTTATGTTAGAAGGACCTCAGTCCACATGTGCTAATTTCTGGATACAGTTGTCAAGAGTTAAAATGCTAGTAAAGAGTTATTTCAAACATCCCTAGTTTAAGTTCCAGAATGTACCATATCCCACATTACAACTTTTATTTCACCTGTAAGTCTATTCCAGTTATGGTTCTGTGCCTGGAGTCCCCAAGTCCATCCCCAGATTTGGTGATGTGCTAGGCAGACTCACAGAACTCACAGTTATGATATACTACAGCCAAAGGGTACAAGCAAAATCAGTAAAGGGAAAAAATACATGGGACAGAGTCTGAGGAAAACCAAGTACACATTTCTAAACATCTTGTCCCTGTAGAGTCATATAGGGCAACTTAAATTGCTTCAGCATTGAACTATGACACTTGTAAAATGTTGCCTCCTAGGACATCTCATTAGAGACTTAGTGCCCAAGGTTTTACTGGGAGCTGGCCATATAAGAACCTCTGCCTAGGACATACCTAAATTCTAGATTCTCAGAATGAAGGCAGGTGCTTAACGTAAGCCACATTGTTTGCACAAATAGTTTAGGCACAATAAACTACTCTTATAAGTCAGAGAATGGTGGGAAACATGCCCAAAATCTAAGTACCAAGATGCCAGCCAAAGGCCAACCCTGCAGCCAGGCCTTTCTAAAAATAGTCTCAGCCCAGCTATGTTAGCTCTTTTCCCTGCCACCTGAGATCTAGATAAGTTTGACTTGAACCCCTTTGCCAATCTTATACACTCTGGAAGATTAAGCCCTCTTAAAGTTTTTTAAACTTCCTGGGGCCATGTCTTAAGGTCTTTAGCTGGATTTTTCAGTTTTTGTGTGTTTTTTGGTTTTGTTTTGTTTTGTTTGTTTTGTTTTGTTTTGTTTGTTTTGTTTTGTTTTGCCTTAGCTGCCTGACCTCACCTACTTGGTAAACAAAGAAGGGCAGTCTTGTGCTCCTTCTTTTATCAGTATTCAAAGTACAATGATGGCAGTGAGCAAGTACACAAGAGCCTCCCCACATTTGTGACAGTACTGTTCATTTCCCCTAGCTCTTTTCTAGGGCTGCTGTCCCTCTCATCACTTTCTACTCTCACTTCTAGCAGTGCTTTTCCCATTGAAATAGAGGTGCCAAGCCAGACAGGATGATTTTAAGATTCAAACCATGCCCAAGTGATTCCCATCAGTGAACCAACAGCCATACTATATATACTGGTTTGCTTATGCAATTCCCTAAAAATACATATCTAAAACAAGGAAAGTTCACCTATTTAATGTTACTTATGAGCCCTTATGTGTTGTCCTTCCCTTATGAGTTCTGGTCAGCCTCCCAGAAGGTGAAAAAAGATTGGAATATTTTAATACATTCTACATAAAATTATCCTTCAAGGAATTTCCTAGATGCTCCTAAATTTGAAAGCAAGAAATGAACCTTCCATAGGGCTCTGCGCCACTGGAAAGAAACCTTCAGCATTAAGTTTTCTGCCCTGTGAAGCACTATTTGACATTGTAATTTTGCACAAATATAACATTTAGGAATATCTACATCAGTGTGTCTCAAAATTCCATCCTTGCAATGTTAGATCTTTGTAACACATCTCTGATTCCTCTCATTTTCATGAAACTCTAGTTGTGCTTTAGAAACTGTTTCCCCCATAGATCATTTTTAATTCAATTTAAATTAAGCAAATGCTCACTTGAGCAGCTAAAGCGCCTTAAGGACACTTAAATTAATGATAATTATTTAAACATTCATATTCTCATATGCAGTTCTCCTGATTTACCCTCTAATCAACATAATTCAAAATTACATCCATGGAGAGAGAGTTAATTCACATATTTTATAGGAGGAAAAAAGTATTTATTTTGAGGGTTATTATTTTAAAGGAAAATGAAACAATTTTAATTGACTTGTGAATTCATTACCTCTATATCATTCAGTTGCAAGATAGTCTATGCAACCTTAAGTAAAATTTTAAAACCTAAGATCCTTGCTAAAACAAAACATATTCATGTAAAGCCTCTTGGTAAAGTCTCATAAATGCCACATTCAAAGCCTTGGGTTTTTCTTTGAACTCTGTCTCCACATGTCCAAGCTTCACTGTCTTAATCTATAAAGAAGAATCATAAATATTAAATAAGAATATCTATGTAAGCTGTGAACGCATTCTGCAAACTATAGCAGGTGACACAGTCATTAGACTAATACTACAAGACAGAAACTTAAGGTCAAGAAATCTTCATGATCCTTTCAGGTTTCCATTAGCCTTATCAGTATCTTGCATTAGATAAGATAACCCTGTCTTATGTTTGCTGTTAGAACATGTTCCTTGAAGGCCAACTCATCTCCATGGCCATCACAACATTTGGCATGGTGACTTACATAACATAAGTGCTCAATAAATACTTATTGAATTAATATAGAAATTGAAGTGCTATTCACCCTTCTCTTCATAAAAACTCAGGCTCATAGTTTAAAAGAAAAGGTGCATATTCCTCAGTCAAATACATCACAGTACTACACAGATTTTAGTTTTAAACCCTCACTGGCCAGTGAATTTAAATGGGCTTTGATGCGGTGGATACACAATAACAAAAAGGAGAATTGAGTTAAATGTGGGTAGGTCTCAAGGTCACTATAGGCCGTACAAGAGGAAACCAGTGAGGCAACTTACATACCTACAATCAAACATAGTAAGAGGATCAGTAATTGAAAACCTGTAAAGCAAATTGAGGCCAAGCAATACATAAAGAATATATCCTTTTTTTGTTTTAATAAAACCAACCACTTGCATCAAGAAAAAAAAACCTTATAAGCTTCCTGGTTCAACAGGAGGCAATTCACAAATTTGACCTACGTGAGGTTTACAGCAGAAGATAAGTGGTGACACTTGGTTAGAGTCGAGAATAAGCAGCCAAGAGAAAAACTATTTGAGATTCATCCATAAGATATAAAAGATAAACATGACATTTCTCGTGACTGTCTGTCTTTGTTTCTTTTGTAAAACTGAACCACGCTTGCTTACATAGCAACACCTCTTAAAATTCAAGACAATGTACATGGGATGAAAGCATTTTTTCTCCTGCAAAGGACTGTATCTCATCCAGTTACAGGAAATACCATGGCAGCATCATCTGAAACACCGTCAGTGAGATCAAGCATAAAATGGAAGTGTAGGTTTCCTACTATCATATACTTACATGGTGTAACCAAAAAGAAACTTAAGATCATACCTTTCCCTAAAATCCTCTAGTCTTTATCAACTTATGTTCTCAACATTAAATTCTCTACTTTTGAATTAGGACATTGACTGCTGGTAGCCATTATTAAAATGCACATATTTCTTAAGAGGCGTAAAATATCAACCCATTCAATGGTTAATCAAACTGTAGTACACCCAAAACATGGAATGGTACTCAGCAATAAAAAGGACTGGAGTATTGACAGATGCATCTTGAATGAATCTCTACAGAATTATGATGAATGGGGAGGGGGAAGGCAATCCCAAAGATATATACTGTATGATCCCATGTATATAATATTTTTGAAATAACAAAATTATAGAAATGGAGAACAGATTAGTGATTGCCAGGTGTTAAGAATGCAAGGCATTTGGAGGCAGGGAGAAATGAGTGTAGTTGTAAAAAAGCAACATGAAGGATTTTTATGTGATGGGACTGTTCTGTATCTTGACTGTGCTGATAGATACACAAACCTGTACATGTGATAAAATTGCACAGAACTAAACACATATACACATGTGCATGCACACACACATACACACACACAAGTACAGGTAAAACAAAGGAAATTGGAACGAGATCAATGAATTGTGTCAATGTTAAATCCTTGTATTATGTTATAGTTGTGTGCAATGGTTAGGACTTGCCTCAATTCTTCTCTTCCTAATTGTACCATAGTTTTTCAAGATGTTATCATTATGAAAAGTAGGATAAAGGATACACAAGATCTCCTCTGTATTTTTCCTTGCAATTACATGTGAATCTACAATTATCTCAAAATAAAACATTTAAATTAAAAAAATATCCATTTTGGGTATTAGATACACATGCTCTTACCTGAAAGCAAGGTTGTAGGACATAGATAAGCCAAATTAATATTCAGAAACCATGTAAAATGAAAAAAAAATGAGCTTCATAATTATAAAGCCTCCATTCAATGCCAAGATCTGCCACTGCTACCAAATTATGTGAACTCTTGGGCACTCATTTTTCTCATTTTCAAAATGGAGCTAGCAAAGCCTATTTTGCATAGTTGTTGTGAGAATTAAATTAAATAACCCGCATCTGGGGACTTGGTTGGAACTGAGTAAATGAGAGATACTATTCTTAACAGGTAAGCAACGAAGAGGAACATCACTGGAGTTTTTCCAAGAAGACAGAAAGTTGGGATATATTGGTAAGGTCCTAGAAGCTCAAGGCAGCTTGCTGGCAAACAGATACTGAGGTACTATGGGGACCAAGTTTGCAGCAGCTACCTCTTCATTTCCCTCTGGAATGCTCTCACCAGATATCTACTGTGCCACGTTCCTCACTTCATTCAGTTCTGTTCAAATATAAGCCTATTTCAAGGTTTAACCTGACTATCATAGGTAGCCATTTTTCCTAGTATGTAGCAAGGTAGAAAGGGAGGTAATCTAAAAAACAGACAAAATGATTATGGCCACTGCCCTCTAAAACAAAATAATTTTCTGCATTCACCTTCTTCTCCTAGTCTCTTCTTTCTACATACCATTTCATTCATTCATTCAGTATAGTATCTACTGTGTGAAAGGCACTCAGGATATGAAGTGCCTTTCATAAACATCTCAATGTTTAAAGCTGCCTCTTCTGATTGGCTTTGGTCCTCAGTAGAATCTAGGATGTTACTCCTTATTTTCTGGTTCTTAGTGAAAGCAAATGGACAAGTCAAACACTTGTGCAAAATTATAAAGCAGGTCCTATTTTATCTTTGATATTATTCTACCTCCATTCCCACCCCATCACTACAAAATGATCATCAAACCATTCCTTGGCTGCCTAAACCAGCATAACATCTTATCCATGTCTGATCATTCATAAAGGTTACCCCATGCCCATAACTTTCCTAAATTTTACAATTACATTAATTTTAGTATCCTTCAAATTACACCAATAAGGAGGTCACATATTTCCCCCTTTTATATAATGTTAAGCCTCTTACTAAATCTTTTCTACTTAAGCTTACCTAAGTACAGCACAAGTATTCTGACAAAAAGTAACTCAGAATACTGTTTAAAAAAAAAGGATGTAGGAAATTAGGAAATTACCATTTCAATTTCAGATTAACTTCCATTCTGATTTGCAACAACTGTATTTCTCTAGTAGAACACAGTAATTTTTAATGTCTTTCACTGTTACATTTATACCACAGTCTGTCTTGTAAAAATGCAAATATCAAATGAAACTTTCAAATCTAGTGAAACACTGTACCATCATTTTTGGGAAAGCATACCTGATTCCATTTCAAAAAGTAAAATATTAGAGAAGTAACATCAAGTTGAAATTATCTATAACAAACCCATGGATGCAATTTCTGTGCAATTAATCCTGCCAATACAATTTTAGATGCTAGCTAAAGTTCTTAATAAGATAAAGCAATATCCACTAAAACAATCTCCGGAGCTAATTGAAGTGGGAAACAAATCTGGACATGTTACACAGAAAGAATGCTTTACTCTAACATTTATCTTTAAACATTTCTAAGAAAACAAAAGCCCTTTTACAAATTTACTAAGAATAGGGGTATGAGGAATTGGTAAGGTTTTTGTTGTGCATTAAAGGTTGAAACTTGGTATGCCAAGGAAAGAGAAATATTAAGATCGTAGACAGAAAAACAGTCGGGCATGCTATGTTTTTAAATTCATTCTTAGTGAACTGAATTATTGAAAGCATGAGAAATGAGTAAGTCAGAGCCCAAAATGGAAAGCTAGAATTTTTCCGATCTGATTTGTTTTACACAAATGCTATATCTCAACAGATTAGGTAACAGATTAGAATATTCAACAAGGTACTTGTTGCATAAACCACCATAAAGCATCAAAAAAGTAAGGGAAAGTAGGAAAACCACCCAACTAGCTCGTCTGCTAAACAAAGGCACTTCATTTTCCTTGGAGAGCTTTGGCAATTAACTTTTGGGAGATTTAGAAGGTTGAGTCTGAATGGGCACAGTTTTTTTTTTTTTTACATAGCCGTAAGTGAATTAAGTGCTTGATTTAATGCTTTCAATGCTGCCTTTCTTTCAGTTTACTTAAAAATGACATAATAATGCAGCATGTACTCATGAATATTCTACCTACAGGGGACCAAGAGCAGCCCACTACGTTACTGTTTTCATCTAAAAGAGTCCTAAAGAACTTTTTGCAATTCATTCATTCCACCTTCTCAAATAAATACTATTAGTGGGTGATAGAATGGGTTCCAATCTTAGCTCTGCTACTTACTAGCTGCATATCCACGACTCAAGTTACATAACTTCTCTGTGCTTCAAGTTTCATATTTGTACAGTAGGGATAGTAACGTTACCTACTTCATAAGTTTGTTTTAAGAATTAAGTAAGTTAATATACCTGATATACTTACAACAATCAGTGGCACATAGTAGTAACTAGTAAGCTTTTCTTGTTGTTTGCCAGGCTAATACTAAGTGCTAAAAATATTATGGCAACCAAAAGCAGAAAAGATTCTGGCTCACGTTGTATTTTCAACCATTAATTTAATACATATATAATTTGCAACTGAAATAGTGGTTCCTGAAGGAACCATTATTTGGTACCAATACTGGTACCAAAACAGATATATAGACCAATGGAACAGAACAGAGCCCTCAGAAATAACACCACACATCTACAACCATCTGATCTTTGACAAACCTGACCAAAACAAGCAATGGAGAAAGGATTCTTGATTTAATAAATGGTGTTCGGAAAACTGGCTAGCCATATGCAGAAAACTGAAACTGGACCCCTTCCTAACACCCTATACAAAAATTAACTCAAGATGGGTTAAAGACTTAAACGTAAGACCTAAAACCATAAAAACCCTAGCAGAAAACCTAAGCAATGCCATTCAGAACACAGGCATGGGCAAAGACTTCATGACTAAAACACCAAAAGCAATGGCAACAAATGCCAAAATTGACAAATGGGATCTAATTAAACTAAAGAGCTTCTGCACAGTAAAAGAAACTATCAGCAGAGTGAACAGGCAACCTACAGAATGGGAGAAAATTTTTGCAGTCTATCCATCTGACAAAGGTCTAATATCCAGAATCTACAAAGAACTTAAACAAATTTGTAAGAAAAAGAACAAACAACTCCATCAAAAAGTGGGTGAAGGATACGAACAGACACTTATCAAAAGAAGACAATTATGCAGCCAACAAACATATGAAATAAAGCTCCTCATCACTGGTCATTAGAGAAATGCAAATCAAAACCACAATGAGATACCATCTCACGCCAGTTAGAATGGCGATCATTAAAAAGTCAGGAAACAACAGATGCTGGAGAGGATGTGGAGAGATAGGAACGCTTTTACACTGTTGGTGGGAGTGTAAATTAGTTCAACCATTGTGGAAGACAGTGTGGTGATTCCTCAAGGATCTAGAACTAGAAATACCATTTGACCCAGCAATCCCATTACTGGGTATATACCCAAAGCATTATAAATCATTCTACTATAAAAACACATGCACACATATGTTTATTGCAGCACTACTCACAATAGCGAAGACTTGGAACCAACCCAAATGCCCATCAATGATAGACTGGATTAAGAAAATGTGGCAAATATACACCATGGAATACTATTAAGCCATCAAAAAGAATGAGTTCATGTCCTTTGCAGGGACATGGATGAAGCTGGAAACCATCATTCTCAGCAAACTACCACAGGAACAGAAAAAACAAACACTGCATGTTCTCACTCATAAGTGGGAGTGGAACAATGAGAACACAGGGACACAGGGAGGGGAACATCACACACTGGGGCCTGTTGGGGGGTGGGGAACTACGGGAGGGATAGTTTTAGGAGAAATACCTAATGTAGATGATGGTTTGATGGCTGCAGCAAACTACTATGGCACATGTATACCTATGTAACAAACCTGCACGTTCTGCACATGTATCCCAGAACTTAAAGTATAATAAAAAATAACATTTAATTTAATTTAATTTTTTAAAAAAGAGGCCATGTGCAGTGGCTCATGCCTGTAATCCCAGCACTTTGGGAGGCAGAGGCGGGTGGACCACGAGGTCAGGAGTTCCAGACCAGCCTGACCAACACGGTGAAACCCCGTCTCTACTAAAAATACAAAAATTAGCCTGATGTGGTGGTGTGCGCCTGTAATCCCAGCTACTCAGGAGGCTGAGGCAGAAGAATCACTTGAACTTGGGAGGCAGAGGTTGCAGTGAGCCAAGATCACACCACTGCACTCCCACCTGGGCAACAGAGCAAGACTCCGTCTCAAAAAAAAAAAGAAAAGAAAAAAAGAAGCCTGGAAGGCTTCTTGAAGACAATCATGTACAGAGACTTTGTAGTAAAAAGCTTCAGGATGAGTAAGTAATAAAACACATCACAAAAAAGGATAATCAACTTGGCTAGTTGCGGTGGCTCACCCCTGTAATCCCAGCACTTTTGGAAGCCAAGGCAGGCAGATCACTTGAAGTCAGGAGTTCGAGACCAGCCAGGCCAACATGACAAAACTCTGTCTCTATTAAAAAATTAAAAAATTAGCCAGGTGTGGTGGTGCACGCCTGTAGTCCCAGCAACTAGGGAGCCTGAAGCATGAGAATTGCTTGAACCCAGGAGACAGAGCTTGCAGTGAGCCAAGATTGCACCACTGCACTCCAGCCTGGGTGACAAAGACAGACTCTGTCTCAAAAAAAAGATAATTAATTCCAGGGAGAATTAAGTTTTTTAAGAAAAAAATGTAACCATAGTACACTACTTGGCTCAGTTGTTAATAATATTTACAAAGCTATAATAATATAAACACTGAATAAATGACCAAAGCTTATGTATGTATGGTAAGAAAATCAAGGAGGAAAACTTGTTGTAGAAAAGGGGTGGTTGGGGAATATGTAAATGAGTTAAAACTTTATCTTCCATAATAGGATAACAGAGGCTAAATGTACAGTGAACAAAATCTAGAAATAGCGGCATATGTCATTTAAAAATATGTAAATCCCAGAAGAATTAGCTAAAGGACTTAAAAGTGCTTGACTATGGGGAAAAGAATTAGATAAGGGTAGGAATAGGCATAGGACAGCTTTTTTCATTGTAAGATTGTAGTACCATTTTATTTTTAAACTGTGTGCATGCAATAGCATGGCAGTCATGGAGGTATACCACTGAGATCTCTTTTAAGAGAACCTGCTATGAAAAGTGTAGTTGACTGACAGCACTAGCTGCTGCTCCCAGGAGCCTAGTGGGGTTCTAGTGCCAGCCAATCCTGCCTAAAACACAACTCCTCTAATGGGCAGTTTTGACTCAGGGATTCCCACTGGCCTAGCTGAAACGTCATAAGAACTGCGCTTAGCTCTGAGGCTCTTCCTACCCAATCTTTTCTTCCTTCTTTCCTTTTGCAGGTGTCCAATCTATATCACATTCTGAATGCTTTCCCTGTCTACTCCTGTTCCTTCCCCTTTATGCTTCACAGGAATCTCCCTGAAGAAATCTCTTGCTTATTGAATCCCATCTTGGTTCCTGCTTCTGAGAGAAGTAACACTGGCAAAATAATTTTGATAAAATTGTTTAAACTTAAAAGTGTAAAAAAGACCTATGAAAAAATCTTTAATGTTCAAATAGAGCTTTGCCACTTAAAAAAAAAAAAAAAAAGAAAAAATTTGACAATATGTGATACCTGAGTTCAAAATCATTTCATTAGATGAAACAGCATGAACTTTGGAGTCAGAGAGGCCAAGCTCAGGTCAACTGTGTAAAAGCCTGGTTTTTTAACTTATGTAGTCTATGATCTTGGGCACAATCAAGACTCTCATTATTTGTAAAAAGTACCTCCTTTTTAAGTTGTTGTTGCATATTAAGTAAAATAACTCAGGTCAAATGTTGCAAAATAACAATAATAATAGCATGAACCACTTAAGGAACTGAAAATAGGCCAATATAGGTGAGAGTTAAATTGGTAGTGTAGTTTTGTTTTATATATATATATATATATATATATATATATATATATATATATCCTCATTATGTTTAGAACTTTTGTCCCTGCAATTCCATTTATAGGTATCTAAACCAAGAATGTAAACAGAAATGCAGCAAAGTTTATAAACAAGTATGTTTATTATCGAATAATCACAATCTAAAAAATGTTAGAAACAACTAAAATATACAAAAATAAGAGGTTATATTCAAATATATGAGTGAAATATATTTCTCAACTATTAGAAAATATTTATAATTTGGGAGTGACAGGAAAGTGGCCACAACATAATACTAAATGAAAAAAGTCAGGTTTATAACTATACATTACATAATTATACAAATATTATGTTTATTTTACATATTATACAGCATGTTAAACAATATCAAATTATTTCTTGTCGGGATATATGTATATGTGGGGGAAGGAGAGAGAGACAGAGAAAGAGAATTTTTTAAATGGCAAATGTTAACAGTACATAACTGAGCAGTAAGATTATGGGTCATCTTTCTTTTCTTAAATGAGGAAATCTGAAAACCATCAGAATAGTATGACAATGCAATAATGCCATCATCCAAAAGCTTAGCACTGAATAGACACTGAGCATACAAAGGGTAAATCTCACTAAGTGACAGTGATGAATACCTACTCTTGAATAAATCATTCAAAATTTAAAAAACAAAAAAACAAAAAACCTAGTTCTCCACCAGTGAATCTATCATATAGAAGAAGCTTACAAGCAGTTGTCAAGAGCATCAAATGTCATAATTGAAAATTGGAATTTACTATGATTGAGAAAAAGAAAAGAGAAATTAAAGTAGAAAATGAGAGTTTTATAATCTGTCATAGGGTTACAGAAAATTTAAAAAGAGTTTTAAGACAGTAGATTAAAGTGATGTACATGCATTCCCTCATAAATTCTACTTCTGCACTTAGGTAAGTAATTTACACTCCACTCAATATAGCATCAGAGTTAATTAAATTTCTGCCTCTCTGACAGTTAAATAGACATACTTAGTTTTCATCAAAGCTAACAAGTTAGAGCACTGAGTATTATTTTATTGAAATAATTAGCAACTGTCATGGATAATGTTCCCCAAACTTCTTTTTCTACCAGACATGAATGGAAAGTGGCAAGAATAAGAAGAAGTTAAAAAAAATCCTGAATGGAGTCCTTTAAAACCCAGCTCACGGAGGCTATTATTCTTAGCAAACTGACACAGGAACAGAAAACCAAATACCATATGATTCACTTATAAGCAGGAGCTAAATGATAAGAACTTATGAACACAAAGAAGGAAACAACAGACACTGGAGTCTACTTGAGGGGTTGGGTGGGAGCAGAGAGACAAGCAGAAAAGAAAACTATTGGGTATTGGGCTTAATACCTGGGCGATAAAATAGTATGTACAATAAACCCCCATGACACGGGTTTACATATGTAGAAACCTTTACATGTACCCCCAAACCTGAAATAAAAGCTTTTAAAAAGCTCAAAATAGCTAATTCCTTTCAGCTATATGTACAGAGATTCTCCCGATTTGTTCTCTATTTTCCTTTTTCAAATTTACAATCTATAGCTGGATTAAAGCATTCAAGCAACAACCCAGGATTCCAGTCTACAAAGAGTGCTAAAATGACACAGGTGTCCTTCCTATAAATCGAAGAGCAAATTTTCTTTCTTCAGTACTTTCTTGTGTAAAGTTTCTTTATGTGGAGGTCTCAAAGAAGCAGATGAAAGGAAAACAGGCATATACATTAAAAATAAAGAGCTATACAATATTTACTTAGTATATAAAATATGATTTTTAATTATGCATAATTTATAAAGAAAATAGGGAATCCAATTGCTTTGGTCTAAATCCTTCTCTCCCTTCTCCCACTTGCTAATCGACCTAGGCAAGTCATTTAACCACTCCATGCCCTCAATTTCTTCATCAATAAAATGAGAATGATAATGCTACCTGTCTCATTGACTTGACATGAGAATTAAATGAGTAAATACCATAAAGAGCCTATAACAATAATGCCCGGAATTATTGTTACTTCTGTTAGTAATAAAAAATATTTATACTCTGCTTCAAAAAATAAATGTTAAAACAAATATTTAAAGAACGTTGGTTTAAAAGGCATTGACTATTTTCTTCTGTTTAAAATGTGCAGTCTCTCAGTTGTCCCAAAACTTTTATCTCCTCCCCCATTGCTGCCCCTCCCCACTTTTCAGTTTCAGCTAATTCAGCTTTGATTGTTAAAAAGCACACTCAGACTGGTTTTCTTCAATGATGCTTTCCCTTAACCTATCACCAGTCCTTGCACGTGCCCTCCCTGTTAGGAATTCTGGATCCCATTTTTGAAAAGGCTTTCCTTGATGTAATATCAGTATGTATTTGGAAAACTTTTACTTTCCATGACCCAAGACCTCCACAGCTGCACTTGAACCAAAGCACACAGAGGCAGTCAAATATATGACTCGAACCTACCTTTCCTCCATGTTATAGAAATTGTAATAACTACATCTAATGCCTCAAATTTTTGCCTGCTCTTTTCCCATTGTTGCAATTTTTATCTTTAGCCCTTTGGGTTTTAGTAGTCCATCCACAGGTTGCAGCAACTACATTCATTGGCGCCATGGTAAACACTAAGTCAAAATGCATTACACAACAAGGAGATAATATATGCCTTAATCTAAAATAATGAGCAAATAAAAACAATCTGAATTATTTACTGGCAATTGTGTCATACGTACTGTATACTTTGTTTTTTATTGATTTAAACCTATACTATTAAAAAGGTATTTATACTGACATTTTCTATTCAATGTCCTCTTTAAAATTAACGGTAAAACTTTTGTTCATCAGCAAATGAATGGATAAACAAAATGTGACATATACATGCAAAGGAATAATATATTTAAAAAGAAAGGAAATTCTGATACATACTACAACACGGATAAAACTTGAAGAGATTATTCTAAGTAAAATAAGCCAGTCTCAAACAAAAAACAAAAACTGTATGATTCTACTTATATGAGGCACCCAGAGTAGTCAAATTCAGAGAGACAGAACATGGAATGGTGGTTGCCAGGGCCCAAAAGGAGTGGGGAATGGAGAGTTGTTTGATGAGGACAGAGTTTCAGTTTTGCCAGATGAAAAGAGTTCTGGAGACTGACTGCACAACAATGTGAATGTAATTTGGGGTATAACTGAACTTTACACTAAAAAAACGTTTAAGATGGAAAATTGTACGTTATGTGTATGCTACAACAATTAAATATTTTTAAGTAAAACAAAATAAATTTTTTAAAATGCCTATGCTCCCAAATGGACAATCCCAACCTTGAAGTTTATCCTAAAGAAATAGTAAGAAATTCCAAACAAGATTTATGGGAAAGAATGTTCACAACAGTATTATTTACAATATGAAAAATTGGAAGGAACTTCAGTACCCAAGAGTAAGAACATAATAACATAAGTGATAATATGGCAATATGATGTAATTTAATTGACATAGAAGCTTAGTCATTAAAGAAAATTTAATGCCAGAAAATACTAATAATATAATTCTAAATGAGAAAAAAAGCAATCTAACATTACTTATACTATATTTCCATTTTTAAAAAATAAAATATATCTTTTAAAGTAAGCATGTAATCTTGTGGTGAGAAATACTTTCTAACTATACTAGTAAAAGCATAACCCAAAAGGAGAGACCGATCCATCTGAGAACATAAATATGTAATAGTTTAGTACCTCAAAATATATCATAAGCAAAATTTAAAGGAAAATTGCAAACTGGGAAAATGTTTACAACATATATGTGATAAAGGATTAATATAATTTACATATAAAGAGCTTTTACAACAAATAAAAATAAACATGACTACTGTTACCTCCATAAAAATGCCACAGCACCTCAACAGGCAATTTGAAGAATCATAACGAAAAATAAGCTTTAAAATATATTCTGTTTACAGTGGCTTTCAAGATGGCTGAATAGAAGCATTTCATGCTGGCCTCCTCCACTTAGAAGAACCAGGTAGTGTATAGACAGTCATACTTCAAGTACATTTCCGAGAGAGAACACTGGAATTGAACAGAGAAATGAACAGAGGACACCAAAAGCAGAGAAAAGGAAGCAGGAGAGGAAGCCTCCCTGGTCAGGATTGACAGAGAGCCAGTAGTGACTTCCCAGCACAGAGAAAGGGTGAGTGAGAGACTTGCAAGAGCCCACATCTCCACTTAGAATTATGCTGTCCTGGCCATGGGAGAATCCTTCATCCCTCCTCACCCCTGAAACTAACCTAGGGAGCTGCTGGGAGACTGTGGGATGTACCTGCTCCATAGAGGGTGCTCATGCTGGGTCCCACACCCTTTCTGAGACCTAAGCAGCTACAGAAAGGTGCTATTTTCAAACCTAGCCTTCAGCAAACTGCACACTGTCCTGGGATCCAGCAGCACCAGGACTGGGTACCTCAGAAACTCAGGCTGTCACTGCTGGGACAGGGGAGTGAGCCAGAAGCAGTCTGACAGCCAGAGCTAGGAAGTGAGTAAGGCCTAGGCAGCAACAGCTGATCTCAAAAAGTGAGCACTACCTTGCCAAGACCTCAGACGGGGACATGAGCAGAGCATGAGCTGCCAATGAGACTTGGTCATGAGCTGGGCGTCTGTTCTTGTAGCTAGGGAAGGTGGTGAGCACCACCAAGACTGGGTCATGAAGGGTACATGCATTTCCCACGCACCAGCCCAGACTGTAACCACTGAGGAAGGACCCACCCTCTCTGGTGGCAGGTCCTTAGCACAGCTGCTACTTCCCCTCCAAACACTCTGTCTATGACCTGAGGATTGCCCCACACCTGCCCTTCACAGTTGATGCCCACTCTTAGCATTGCGGGGCCTAAGCACAATCCCACCTAGCCCAGCTTTGCCCCGCAACTCTGAGACAGAGCACATAGCTCAGAGTCCTGGGGATTTCCCAACCCAATCCACCATCTTGGGCACCTAATTACTCCTCTCAAAGGCCTAAGTTTGTGCCTAAACTCTCACCTGTTAACCATCGTAGCTAGCACCTACCTGCAAGCACCACCTGTGGGTCTGGAGACTGGCCTGCCCAGCCATCACAGGCACTGCCAACACCAATGCACACTGCTTGGGACCCAAGAATCATCTGACATTCCTGCTCTCTTTAGCTATAACACACCATCTGCCCATGTGCCCAAGAACCTACCTACCCTCCAGTCGACAGCTGCCACTACTGGCATCTGAGCAAGCCACCTGGAGGTCCAAGAATCAACCTGCTAATAACCACCAACACAGGTGCCAGGGTATACCACCATGAGTCACAAATATAGGCATACTCAGTCCACTGCTGCCATTACTGTGGCCTAAAGAATGGTGCACCTGGGATCCCAGTCCTGAGCACAAACTCACCAGAGCCTCCACTAAAAACTGCACTCTAATCCACTAAGGAAAGCACAGATACCACTAATGCTATATATAGCCAACAAAATCATACAGAGGCTACAATATTGCATGCACCCAGAATCAAAGCCAAGTACCCTATCCAGCCAAAACCAAAGATAGATCTTTAGGAAAATATCCTTCCCTATGAAAGTAAATTCCAAAAGAGGAAGAAGCAATTATTACACCAGATGCAAACATATCAACATAAGGACATAGGAAACATGAAAAAGCAAGGAAATGGGACACCTCCAAAGGAACAGAATAAATCTCCAGCAATAAAACTTAAAGAGAAATTTTCAAAATCCCAGATAAAGAATTCAAAATATTGATTTTAAAGAAATTCATTGCAATACAATAAAATTCTAACAAACGATACAAAGATATCAGAAAATTCAGAATATGAATGATATATATACCAAAAACACAGATTTTTTTTTAAAGAACCAAATAGAAATTGTGGAACTGAACAATTCATTGAAGAAAATACAAAAGACATTTGAAAGCTGCAACGGACTAGATTAGGCAGAAGAATAATCTCAGAACTTGAAGACAGAAATTTTGAAATAATCCAGTCAGACAAAAACAAAGAAAAGAGAATTTTTTAAAAAATAAGCAAAGCCTTTTAGACATTTGGAAAAACATAAAGTGACTGAATTAACAAATTATTGGTATCCCTGAGGGCAAAGGAATAAATAAATAAATAATTGTAAAACCTATTTAACAAAATAATAGATGAAAACTTTCCAAGTCCAGCAAGAGATTTAGACATTCACATACGGGAGGCTCAACGATTCCCAGGCAGATGTAATGCATAAAGGTCTCCTCCACAACACATTGTAATCAGATTGTCTAAAGACAAAGTTAAAGAGGAAATCCTAAAAACAGCAAGAGAAAAGCATCCAGTCACCTACAAAGAACACCTCATTAAACTAACAGCAGATTTCTCACAGAAATTGTACAGGCCAGGAAAGAATGAAATAATATATTCAAAGTGCTAAAAGAAAAAACTGTCACCCAAGAATATTATATCTAGCAAAATTATCCTTCATTAAAAAAAAAGGGAAGTAAAGTCATTCCTAGACAGAGAAGGGCTGAGGGAATTTGTTACCACTAGGCCAGTACTACAATAAATACTCAAAGGAGTCTAAATCTGGAAGTAAAAGGGTAGGATGACATTTACCATTATGAAACGTATGAAAGTATAAAACTCACTGGTAAAGCAATCATGCAAAGAAGAAAGAAAAAGGACTTAAATAGTACCACTACAGAAATTCACCATTCACAATGACAAACTATGAGAGAAAAAGAAAGGAACAAGAAATAGATAAAACAACCAGAAAATAATTACAATATACCAGAAACAAAGCCTCATATATCAATAATAACCTTGAATGTAAATGGATTAAATTCTCTTCTTAAAAGATACAGAATGGCTGAATGAATTTAAAAACATAATCCAGGTATATACTACTTAAAAGAAACTGACCTTACCAACAAAGTCACAAATAGACTGAAAGTAAAGGTATAGAAAAAGATATTCCATGCAAATGAATACCAAAAGCAAGCAGGAGTAGCTATAATTATATCAGATAAAACAGACTGTAAGTCATAAATAGTAAAAACACACAAAAAAAGGTCACTATATAATGATAAAGGGATCATTCCAGCAAGAGAATATAACAATTCTAAATGCATGTACACCCAACACTGAAGCACCTAGATTCATAAAGCAAACATTACTAGATCTAAAGAAAGAGATGACAATAAAACAATAGTGGAGGATTTCAACACCCCACTCAGCATTAGACAGATTATCCAGACAGAAAATCAACAAAAAAACACTAGACTTAAATTATACATTAGACCAAATGGATCTAGCAGACATTACAGAACATTCTATCCAACAACCACAGAATATACATTCTTTTCATCAGCATATGCAACATTCTCCAGGATAGACCGTATGTTAGGCCACAAAATAAGTTTCAAGAAATTTTGAAAAATCAAATTATATCAATTATCTTCTCATACCATAATGGAATAAAACTAGAAATCAACACCAAGACAAACTCTGGAAAGCATACAAATACATGAAAATTAAACAACATGTTCCTGAATTGCCATTGTGTCAATAAGGAAGTTAACATGAATATCAAAAAATTCCTTGAAATAAATGAAAATGGAAACACAGCATAACAAAACCTGTGGAACACAGTAAAAGCAGTGCTAACAGGAAAGTTTATAGCAATAAATGCCTATGTCAAAAAAGTAAAAAGATTACAAACTACAACTTAACAATGAACCTCATGAAACTAGAAAAGTAAGATCAAACCAAACCCCAAATTAGTAGAAAAACAAGAAATAATTAAGATCACAGCAGAACTAGATGAAATAGAAACTAAAACACACAAAAGATCAGCAAAATGAAAAATTGGTTCTTCAAAGACATAAAGAAAATTGACAAACTTCTAGCTAAAATAACCAAGAAGAGAGAAGACCCAAATAAAAAAATTCAGAAATGAAAAAGTAGACATTATAACTTATATCGTAGAATACAAAAGACCATTAGAGACTATTACAAACAACTATATGCTGACAAACTGGAAAACCTTGAGGAAAGGTGAATATATAATGAATGAATGAATATGCAAACCTCTTAAGATTAACCAAAAAACTAATCACACAGAAATAGAAAACCTGCAGATCAACAATGAGTAGTGAGATTTAAGCAATAATAAAAAGTCTCCCAACAAAGAAAAATTCAGGACTGGATAGACTCACAGCCAAATTCTACCAAACATACATACAAAGAAGAACTAATATCAATCTTCCTGAAACTATTCTTAAAAAAAAATGGAAGAGAAAGATTTTTTCCTATTTTATTCTTTGAGGTCAGCATTACTCTGATACCAAAACCAGACAAAGACACATACACACATACCCACACACAAGAAAACTAAAGACCAACATACCTGATGAACATATATGTAAATATCCTCAACAAAATAATGGTAACCCAAATCCAACAGCACATCAAAAAGATAGCATACCACAATCAGGTGAGATTTATCCCAAGGATGCAAGAATGTTTCAACAAATGCAAATCAATAAATGTGATACATCACATCATCAGAATGAAAAGCAGAAACCATATGATCATCTCAATTGAGGCAGAAAAAACATTTTATAAAATTCAACATCCCTTCATCATAACAACTCTCAACAAACCAGACACAGAAGGAATATATCTGGAAATAATAAAGGCCACATATGACAAACCCACAGCTAACATCATTCTAGCTGGCAAAAAGTTGAAAGCTTTTTCTCTAAGAACTGGAACAAGGCAAGGATACTCACTTTCACCACACTCATTTAACATAGTACTGGAAGTCCCACCCAGAGCAATCAGGAAAGATAAAGAAATAAAAGGAATCCAAAATGGAAAAAAGGAAGTTAAATTGTCCCTCTTTGCTAATGATATGATCTTATACCTAGAAAAGTGTGAAGACTCTACCAAAAAACTCTTAGATTTGATCAATGAATTCAATGATGTTTCAGAATACAAAATAAATGTACAAATCAGTAGCATTTCTATACGCCAATAATGATACAGCCAAGACGGAAATCAAGAAGGCAATTTGACTTTCAATTCCTACCAAAAAATACCTAGAAATAAATTTAACCAAGGAGGTGAAGTACCTCTACAAGGAAAACCTCAAAATACTAATGAGAGAAATGATCGATGATACAAACAAGTGGAAAAACTTCCCATACTAATACATTGGAAGAATTAATATTGTTAAAATGATCATACTGGGCCAGGTGCGGTGGTTCACGCCTATAATCCCAACACTTTGGGAGGCCGAGGTGAGCGGATCACCTGAGATCAAGAGTTCGAGACCAGCCTGGCCAATATGGTGAAACCCTGTCTCTACTAATAATACAAAAGTTAGCTGGGTGTGGTGGCACATGCCTATAATCCCAGGTACTCGGGAGGCTGATGCAGGAGAATAGCTTGATCCCGGGAGGCAGAAGTTGCAGTGAGCCAAAACCACACCATTGCACTCCAGCCTGGGCAATAAGAGCAAAACTCCATCTAGAAAAACAACAACAACAACAAAACAACAACAACAAAAAACCATACTGCTGCCCAAAGCCGTCTACAGATTCAATGTAATTTCACCAAAATAGCAACATCGTTCTTCACAGAATTAGAACAAACAATCCTAAAATTCATACAGAACCAAAAAGAGTCCAAATAGCCAAAGCAATTATGAGCAAAAAGAACAAAGCTTTAGGTATCACATTATCTGACTTAAAAATATCTTAAAAGTCTATAGTAAACAAAGCAGCATGGTATTGATATGAAAATAGGCATGTGAACCAATGGAACAGAATAGAGAACCCAGAAATACAGCCACATATTTACAGCCAACTGATCTTCCACAAAGTTGACATGAAGTTACATTAGGGAAAAGATGCCTTCTTTAATAAATGATGCTGAGAAAATTGGACAGCTACATGCAGAAGAATGAAACTAGACCGCTGTCTCACACCACATACAAAAATCAATCCCAAATAAATTAAAGACTTAATTATAAGGCCCTAAACTATAAAAATACTGGAAGAAAATCTAAGAAAAACTCTTGCACATTAGTCTAGGCAAAGAATTTATCACTGAGATCTCAAAAGCATACACAACAACAGCAAAAATAAACAAATGAGACAATTAGACCTAAAAGCTTGTGCAGAGCAAACAAAATAATCAACAGAGTAAAGAGACAACCTGTTGAATGGGAGAAAATATTTGCAAACTATTCATCTGATAGGTGACTAATATCCAGAATATACAAGGAACACAACTCAGCAGGAACAAAACAAGTAGTCCCATTTAAAAGTGGGCAAAGTACATGAGTAGGCATTTCTTAAAATAAGACATATAAATGACCAACAGGTATATGAAAAAATGCTCAACATTACTAATCATCAGAGATGTGCAAGACAAAACCACAATGAAATATCATCTTACCCCAGTTAAAATGGCTATTATTTAAAGACAAAAAATTAACAGATGTTGGTAAGGATGCAGAGAAATTCCTAACTGTTGTTAGGAATGTAAACTAGTACAGCCACTACTGAAAAAAGGATGGAGATTTCTCAAAAAACTAAAAATAGAATTACCATTTGATTCAGCAATCCCACTACTGGCTATCTACCTAAAGGAAAAAAATATTTCAAAGAGACACCTGAACTCACATGTTTATTGTATTAGGTTGGTGCAAATGTAATTGTAAATGTAAAAAAAAAAAAACACCATTACTTTCACACCAACCTAATAGCACTATTCACAATAGCAAAAATATGGAATCTACGTAAGTGTCCTTCAACAAAAGAATGAATAAAGAAAATGTGATGTATATATATGCAATGGAATACTATTCAACCATAAAAAAGAATGAAAACATGTCATTTGCAGCAATATGGATGGAACGGGAGGTCATTGTCTTAAGTGAAATAAGCCAGGCACAAAAACATAAGTATTGCAAGTTCTCACCTATATGTAAGAGCTAAAAAATTTGAATCCATGGAGGTAGAGAGTGGATAAATAGATAACAGAGACTGGGGAAGGTGCATGGGGGAAAGGAAGAAGGATGCAGAGAAATGGGTTAGAGGGTACAAACATACAGTAAAATAGAAGGAATAAATTCAATGTTTGATAGTAGAGCAGGATGACTATACTTAAATGTGTCATACTCAGGTGATGGACACCCACAGCTATCAAAGATGGAAAACAAAAGGTAAATACATATAGCTTAGGACAGTGTAGCATTACGGATCAAGAGCCCCCAAAAATATGCATTCCTTTTACCCACTAATTATACCATTAGAAATTAAAGCTAAAGAAATATTAAGGGTATACAAAATAACATAAATAAAAAGGATGCTCATCCTAAAGTTCAACAAATGTATACAGTTTAAACGACTTGAAAATATGTTTTTGTTAAATTTTGAATGACATAGTAGAATCTTCTGTGCTCTTGGAGGAGGGTAGGCTTTCACCCAGGGAGTAAAGGAAAGATTACTCTTCTATTCACTTTCCATCTTGATTATCTCTCCCCACTCATGCCCTTAGGACTTGCTAATTAGTTTAATCAGATTCCTGGATGCTTCTTGGGTATATGAAAGGCCATCATACTTGAATTTTTTTTATATCTCCTACTTTTATTCCAAGCTGCTAGATTTATAAATGGAGCCAGGCCCACTTGGTATCTGGCCAGTATACTCCCTCTACTTTGCCCACTCAAGCACCTGACTGAGTTATTGTTTCAGGCTTGGCAGCTAACTGGGGTTAATATGGAACTTAAGGCTGGAAAGAGAAGCTCCATTTAAATCCGAAGGATAAATCCTATGCACAACTTACCAGGCATTTGCTTAGATAAAAATATAAATTTTTTCCCACTTAACCCTGTCTTCTTTGTGTATACTTTAAGATGCTGTCCAAGGAGAGGTGATTATGCCTGTCTGGAATTCATGCCTTTTTGTATTAACTTTCATGATATAGATGTTAAGTAAGAAAAAGTTTCTATAAAACAGTGAGAACTGTGACCACCTATATTAAGATGACCTTAGGACTAAGAAGTAAGACTACATGATCAACATGACTCAGTTATTTGCCCAGGAAAATTAAGACTGTAAACCAACAAGTAATTTTCCTGCCATGGAAATCCCTGAAAATTGATTTCTGAGGCAACACTCTCCTCACCTGAGCAGACCACTCACTTATCAAATACAGTTTACTTATCAAATCTCCATTCAAGACTTATGCCATGCTCTGTTAATCAATCCAAAGCTATTATGTTATAAAACTTGCCTAATTAATGTTTCCACTTTGCAAGGCCCATCTTAAAATCATCTAGTCTACCTTTATAAAACTGACTTTAAAAAATTAAAACTCACTTATCCCAAGAACTGATGTAGTGTGTCTACAAACTACGATTCAATTGACACTTATTTTTCCTTTGGTTTGCTTGACATCCTTAAATATACAATTCTGTTAGCCCATTTTCAGAGTGCTATAAAGAACTACCTGAGACTGGGTAATTTATAAAGAAAAGAAGTTTAATTGACTCAAAGTTCCACATGGCTGGGGAGGCCTCAAGAAACTAACAAGCATGGCAGAAGACAAAGGAGAAGCAGGCATCTTCTTCAAAAGGCAACAGGTGAGAGAAAGAGAATGGGCAAGGAAGTGCCACACTTCTAAACCATCAGATCTCATGAGAAGTCACTCACTATCACAAGAACAGCATGGGGGAAACTGCTCCCATGATCCAATCACCTCCCACCAGGTCCCTCCCTCAACATGTGGGGATTACAATTCAAGATGAGATCTGGGTGGGAACACAGCACCAAACCATATCATAACCCCTTTGGCCCCTCCAAAATCTCATGTCCTTCTCACATTTCAAAACACAGTCATGCTTTCCCAACAGTCCCCCAAAGTCTTAACTCATTCCAGCATTAACCCAAAAGTCCAAGTCCAAAGTCTCATCTGAGACAAGGTAAGTTCCTCCCACCTGAGAGCCTGTAAAATCCAAAACAAGTTAGTTACTTCCAAGATACAATGAAAGTACAGGCATTGAGTAAATGTTCCCATTTCAAAAGAAGAAATTCACCAAAATCAAGGGGCTACAGGCCCCGTGCAAGTCTGAAACCCAGCGGGACAGTCGTTAAATCTTAAAGCTCCAAAATGATGTCCTTTGACACCATGTCTCACAACAGGGCATGTTGATGCAAGGGGTGGGCTCCCATGGTCTTGGGCAGCTCTGCTTCTGTGGTTCTGCAGGGTACACCCCCCACAGCTTTCACAGGCTGGCGTTGAGTACCTGTGGCTTTTCCAGGTGCATGGTGTAAGATGTCAGTGGATCTACCAATTCGGGGGTCTGAATGACAGTGGTCCTTTTCTCACAGATCCATTAGGCAGTGCCCCAGTGTGGGGACTCTTTGGGTGGGTTCCAACCTTCCAACCCCATATTTTCCTTTGCATTGCCCAAGTCAAGGGTCACCATGAAGGCCCCATCCCTGCCGCAGACTTCTGCCTGGACATCTAGGCATGTCCATACATCCTCTGAAATCTAGGTGGAGGTTCCCAATCTTCAACTCTTCTCTTCTGCATACCCACAGACCCAACACCACATGGAAACCACCAATACTTGGGACTGGCACCCTCTGGAGCAACAGCCTGAGCTGTACCTTGGCTCCTTTTAGCCATGGCTAGAGCTGGAGTGGCTGAGATGCAAGGAGCAATGTCCCAAGGCTGCACAAAGTGGTAAGGCTCTGGGATCCACCAAAAAAACCATTCTTTCCTGCTAGGCCTCCAGGCCTGTGATCGGAGGAGCTGCCATGAAGATCCCTGAAATGCTCTGGAGGTATATTCTACATTTTCTTGGCTATTAACATTCAGCTCCTTGTTACTTGTGCAAATTTCTGCAGCTGGCTTGAATTTCTCTCCAGAAAATGGGTTTTTCTTTTCAACCACATGGTCAGGCAACAAGTTTTTCAAACTTTCATGTTCTTCTTCCCTTTTAAACATAAGTTTCCATTTCAAATCATCTCTTTGTGAACACATATGACTATACACTTCCAGGAAAAAACAAGTCACCTCTTGAATGCTTTGCTGCTTAGAAATTTCTTCTGCCAAATACCCTAAATCACCTCTCTCAAGTTCAAAGTTCCACAGAACTCTAGGGCAGAGGCAAAATGCCACCAGTCTCTTTACTAAAGCATAGCAAGAGTGACCTTTGCTCCAGTTCCCAATAAGTTCCTTATGTCCATCTGAGACCACCTCACCCTGGACTTCATTGTCCATATCACTATTAGCATTTTGGTCAAAACCATTCAACAAGTCTCTAGGAAGTTTCAAACTTTCCCATATCTTTCTGTCTTCTTCCAAGCCCTACAAACTGTTCCATCCTCTGCCTGTTACCCAGTTCCAAAGTCATATCCACATTTTTAGGTATCTTTATAGCAATACCCTACTCTTGGTAGCAATTTTCTGTATTAGTCCATTTTCAGACTGCTATAAAGAACTTCGTGACACTGAGTGCTTTATAAAGAAAAGGGGTTTAATTGACTCACAGTTCTGCATGGCTGGGGAGGCCTCAGGAAACTTACAGTCATGGCAGAAGGCACAAAAGAAGTAAGCACCTTCTTCACAAGGCAGTAGGAGAGAGAAAGAGTGTGCGCAAGGGAGTGCCACACTTAAATCAACAGATCTCATGAGAACTCATTCATTATCATGAGAACAGCATGGGGGAAACCACCTCCATGATCCAATCACCTCTCACCAGGTCCCTCCCTCAACACGTGGGGATTACAATTCAAGATTAGATTCTGGTGGGGACAGAGAGCCAACCATATCAACAATCAGTTAGAATAAGAATGCTTCAATCAAAAGTATTGAGTAAACTAGTCAAAGTTATGAGAACTATTAAAATGTTCTGTCTTTTTAATTATAAAAACAGAGAGCCCAAGTATTGCAAGTGTGCCGACATTCTGTTGACAGTGAAATAAAATAAAACAAAGCTCTTTCCTACAGACAAACATTTATAACCCTGCAATGTATTTCTACATTATTTTGCATCTCACCAGAATTGTCATTTTGAAATGAACTTGTTTCTTAAAACCTGTAAATGTTGAACATTTTTTATTGCTACTGTTTATGAGGTGTAGTTTGCTTAGTTAGTACATAGTCTTTATATACACATAAACAAAAAACAAAGTATTTTAACACAACTGCAAAATATATCTGATTTCCTAGTGCACTGTAGTCAGCCTACAAACAGGGAGAATTATTACCACGATGTAGCTAAGGAAAGAAAAAGTGCTTAGGGGTAGGGTTTATCAACATCATTTCTGAGGTTGCCTTTTATTCATATAAGCATAATATAGCTGATACCAGGATTAAATTTCTTTGACCTTCCCTTTTGAGAGGTAAGTGTTCACAATTCATTTACTTGTTAATCAAGCTGCCATATTGAGATTGCCCCTAAGAATGTAGTAAGAATAGTGAAGTTTATTCACAATCCAGTGACAATCAGATTGAAAAAAAATTATTTAAACATCTGGCAGACTTATCATTAGGAAAAACTGGTTTAAATAGAGGTAAATATAAAATTTTCACTAAAAATTACTTTCTAATTTGTCTGTGTAAAGTACCAAAAATAGATAAGAGCAATAATAATATATGTGTTCGTAAACATAAAAAACTCAATACAAAAATATCTAATTCTAATAGTTATAAATGCTAAATGACAAAATATATATCTCATCTCAGGTCTAAAAACTCTTTAAATACCCTTCTCTAATTTCTCCATTTTGAGCCACTTCAAAGTCTCTGTCAAAGTGGTGACTTTCTTACCAAAAGGAGTTCTAGTTAAGCTTTACTATATTAACAGGTTTTCTGATGATACATTGAGAGTTCAACAATAGTTACACATGTTACGACTCCACATATGAATAGTATTTGAGTATCTAGAAGTATAAATAAGGATTATATCAGGTAATTGTGAGATTATTTTCTTTTTTTTTTTCTTTTGAGACGGAGTCTCACTCTTTCGCCCAGGCTGGAGTGTAGTGGCATGATCTTGGCTCACTGCAACCTCCGCCTCCCGGGTTCAAGCAATACTCTACCTCAGTCTCCCGAGGAGCTGGGATTACAGGCACCCACCACCATGCCAGGCTAATTTTTGTATTTTTAGTAGAGACGGGGTTTCACCATCCTGGCCAGGCTGGTCTTGAACTCCTGACCTTGTGATCCACCCGCCTCGGCCTCCCAAAGTGCTGGGATTACAGGCGTGAGCCACCGTGCCTGCCCTTATTTTCTTTTTTCTATGATCTGTTATTTTCAAATGTTCCATAATAACTATTCTTACTTTTAATAGAAAATATTTCTTTTAAAATTTTAAGTCTACCTACCTAGTAACTTTTAAAATTAACCTTGATTTTAATCTTTAAGCTAGCCAATGTCATTGACATTGAACTGAAATTACTGAAACAACACTTCTAGTTAATGTTAGTTCCATAAAATTAGCTCTCAGTTTTGGGAGTGAGTTATCTTGTTATAATCTGAAGCTTTCTCTAGCATTCTGGAAAGTAAACGGCATGAGGATCTTTTGGTCTCCCTTTCAAAATTTAAATAAAAATTACTAATATAAACTAATGGTGGCAATATATGTATTTACCCAAATTGTGTGTAGAGACAAGCAAAAAAATTGAAAATAATTTCAAAACTGAGTTACTGCTATACCAACGATTCACAGTAACATACACTTAAATAATTACCCAAAGTAATGTATCAGACAAAGAAAGCATCTGTCACACACTGACAAGTTACCCCTTAAGTTCAGAGGGAGTCTCTTTGGATTTATTAAGTTTTTCTTTTGTTTTGTTTATTTTTCTTACATGAGTTAAGTTGTTTTTTAAAAAGTATTTTGCACACACATCATTTGTATTGAAATTCACTATGTTTTTACTACTTTTAAGCACATTAATGAAATAAAATCTTTTTCAAAAGACTCGCTTAAGCCAATCCAGAAGGAATTATTAAGCTCACTAGGACATTTTCCCAAATTGACCTAATGAGGAAATAGGTTCTTCTGAGTTTCATATTGGAGGAAGAATAAAATAAATAAGATCAAATTCTAAGCCTGATATTTTAGCAGCAACTCAATTCTATGTAAAACACATCAGTGTTACTTTAAGGTACCCAAACCCCTTCAAAGAGTTTCAAGACTGACTCCAGAATGAAGATTCTCAAAATGTGTCCAAGCATGTGAGACAGCCTGGCATCAAACCTTTCAAGGAAATTTGTCAACCTGTCTTTTAGAGTCTCACAATATACCAACTGACAAAAGTAAGTAAGTTGCATATTTGAGCAAAAAGATATTGAGTTTCTGGAGGTAAATTTTTAATTATTTAAATGTAATCATGATGCTAAATATGATATGTCATTAAAGATTTATCAAAGAGCAAAACTGATCCTTATCCAATAAAACTAAAGTTCTAAGAACAACACAAATATTTGTTACGAATCCTCACTATATCCATTATTTATGGTGCAGAAAATCATATTTCTAAGGGTCTTAAATGGTAAAAAAATGATTTTAAATACTTAAAGATATATTTACAAATTATGTTTTTAAAACTTTCAACTTTTAAACTGAAAAGAAACTTCAAACTCTTGACTGATACTGGATATCTCTGAAAAGAGGCTGTTTCTTTCTTTTTAGTTTCCTATAGTTTCCAAGTTCTCCTTATTAAGTATTTATCAACTTTATAATTGGAAGACATAAGTTGAGGGTGGAAGAATTGTAAGAAAGAAAATAAAACCATACATTCAGGATCTGCAGTTAAATTCTCCCAAATCTCTGCCTTGCCTATTAATCATTAGACCACATTGGCACTTTGATATTGTTGAATTTAAATTCAAAAGCGTAAACAGAATTTCCAGACTTGTGAGTCAAAGAATTATAAATCATAGAATTCTGTCTCACAGGAAAAAGATGCGAAAAATAAACAAATTATATGCAGGATCATATCATGCCAAAATGCAGAACACTTTCTCGTTATTCACATTAAGCCATGCTGAATATGTTCAGCCTTATGCATTTCAGACTTATGTATTTTGGTTACATAGCCATCTTTTATTTTTTAAGAAAAGTACAAAAATGCAATAAAGCCAGTTTTAACAAGGCAATGCTAAAATTCAATGAAAGCTTTATTATCCCCACTTAGTACATTACTCTTGAGATCAAAGTTAATTATCTTTCCTAAGATGACACCTATCTGCCCCATAGTTCTCTTGTTCAGTAACTTCCATTTAAAATTTTCTCTGCTTCCAAATCAAAGGAAATGTTAAGGTACATGAGGTGTCTCTGAAGATCTAAGACTCCAAATGCTTTTGGTCTTTAGAAGTGCAACTACAGAGAAACCACAAAGGACTACAAAGCAGGATGAAATATTAGCCATGGCCCTTGTGTAGATTACAGCCAAAGGAGTATACTTGGCTTGAGGGATTCAATGATTTATTACTGTTCAACTAACCTCCAATGGAAGTATTGCAATGTCTCTGGAACAGACTTTAGAAACATCTCTAGGTATCAAGCACAAGAGAGAGGGAGAGACGGACTTAGCATATAGACTGAGTCTATCACTGTCAATAATACTATAAAAGCATAGTATAAAATATTTCCAAGTCCCCTCTGGCTAGTAAGAAAGACCAAGCTCTGAGCTCAAAAGCTCATAAGGTCTTGATTTACTGCCACTGTTTTCAACACATTTGCTCACTTGCTCTTAATAAAGTTGAAATCATGATACTCCTTTTATATTTAGAAATAGTCATTCTACTTGCATGCTTCCTGGTTCAGGAATCAAAAAATAGCTAAGGAAACATGGTGTTGGGTGTATGGCTGTGTGATAGGAATACAAATGTAGAGAATGTAGCAATGATGAATTGCTCATACTACAAACCCTGCAATCGATAGAACGTAACTGCTTTCATACTAGTTAGTTTCTTACTCATGAAAATTCCTACTGCTGGTAAGAATTACATCATAACTACTTCTTTAGGAACATATGTTACCATAAGACTTAACACTTGATTTCAATTTCTTTATTGGTTTTTTATGTTGCTTAATTTTTGGACATTATACTAATAATTATTGTCTTCCAAACTCACTGGGGAAAGACTAATCAAAAGGACTTAAGGGATTGACTTTGATTTCTCTATGATAATTCTATTAAAGTGCACACTATTAAGACAACCATACTTCAATATCATTAAACAGACCTTTTAAAATTCATTCAGCCATATCCATTCCTCATATATTTATAAAACAACTATTATATGCCAGTTCTGTTGTAGGCCTCAGAGATGAAAGAAACAACAGAGAAGAAAGTTCTGAATTTAGATTAGTCAGTTGTAAGACAGTATCCTGGGCTATACCTTAAAATTTTAAGATTCTTATTATAATTTTAAACTACTCAGAATTTGTAATAATTCCATTAGCCTGATTAAGATTTTAAAATATTCTGAAGATAGAAATATTCATCTTTGGTCCTTGATAAAGAAAAGGCTTTATTTCATATTGCTGCATGTTAAATTCTAATAAAGGATAATTTATTTAAAAGAAGAAAATATTGCTCTAAGTTTAAGGAATTAAGTTTTCTTTTGGTAGGTAACATAAAATAGCATAAGTAATAGATGCCCCCAAACAGTCATGATTTTTTTTCATTTCACAGAAAATGCCTACATCTTAATGCCTTAAACTACAGACCACAGAGGTAATTTATTCCCAAGTCAACACCTCCACTTCTATCCCCCAGAATAGAAAACAATTGCTAAAACTATAAGAATAAAAACAAACGTTGATTTGCAAAAAGCTGTTTATTACATTCACAGCTGGAAAGCTAGTAAACTTTGGAAAGGTATTTTCCACTCTACTCCAACTCAAATGATAGTGTCTACATCTTCATTCAACAGAAAATAAGTCTGAAAGAAAGAGATTAATCTCTAAATCCCAGCCATTCATCATCAAAGGCAAATTAGGTAACTGCTTGCTGCTGCTTCTACCATTTCAATAATTCATAAGATTCTCCTGCAAAGGTTGCATCAGTTAAATCTCTGGGAGTAAAGTGTCTTTACAGCTGAATTCATGTGGGGTGGTTTAAATAACTGACTTTGACATTTCATGAACTAAGTTGCAGCCAGTCTGAATGGGGTTGAAACGTCATTCGACTACCAAGTTCAGTCCTGACCAAAACTGAGAAAAAAGGAGCTTGCCTTTGGAATTGTCTTATGTCCTTGTCTCTGCCCTTCACTCACTTCTATACTCCCCTTCATTTCAGCTGCCTGGTGCCTGGGCCATCCTCTGAATGTCCAGTGACTGCACTCCAGGATCCAGATTATTAGAAAAGGAGCTGATTGGACTGATTTCCACTAAAATGTGACTGTCATTTTGTTTACTCTCCCAGGAGTATCTGTCTTTTAAGAGCAAATGGAAAAAAGAGAAACTGTTGTTAATGTTTGGTAAACAGTCTTATGCTGTGGTAATTCAGGATGTGTTAACACATCAAAATGAAGAACTTCAAGCAGTTTGTGTAGGGCAGAAAACATTGGGCTGGAAGACTTCCTAGGCCACCCCTCATTCCAACAGCATTGGTCCTGTTTCAGGTTAATAAATAAGTAGAGTTAATCATTCCCTCTATTTCTTTGACACCCTATAAATATGTTTCTTTACCCACCAGTTGTAAAGTACTTCATTTATTCATTCAACACTCAAATGTCTGTCAAATGCATAGCCTGTTCTCGATATTATTTTGGGCCCTAACAGTGCAGCGGTGAAAGAAGAACACTGAGCTTCCCCTTGCAGAACCCACAGTCTGGCGGTAAAAACCCTGTGGTATAAAGTGAAGAAATAAGTAAACAAGATAATTTCATATTATAAAAATATTTATAAGGAAATAAACAAGGTGTTAAGATAGGTTTTGCCTGGGAGAGCTCTTTGAGAATAAGTGGTCAATGAAGGTCTCTCTGAAAAGCTGACTTTGACCTGAGATCTAAAAGGTGAGAATGAGCCATCCAGGCAAACTGCTGGGGAAAGAGCATTTCAGGCAGAGGGAACAGCAATGTGCATAGTCCCCACACCAGGAAGGGGCTTGCATGTTCCAGGAACAGAAGAGAGGCCATTGTGTTGAAACACTGCAAGAGGATGAGTGGTAGGAGGTGAGGTTGGAAAGACAAGCAGGAGCCAAACCTTGCAAGTCTGAATTTTCTTCTCTGTGCCAGTGTAAAGTCAGGGAGAAATTTAATGAGCTGGGGAAGGAAGGGAAGATCTGATTTATATTTTATCACTCATTAAAGATCATTTGAGGTCACCGTCCCACAACCAAAGTATCTTTTTTTATCTTAGTGTCTAAGAGAGCAGCCTCTAAAATTGGACTGCCTAGGGTCAAATCCTGCCTCTACCATTTATAGACCTGTGACTTTTGGCAAGTTTTATAACCTCTTTCAACCACAGCATCCTAATTTTTTAAATGTAGAAAATAATAGTACTTATGAAATCTGTACTTCCTAGTACAAAACAGTTCTTGATTCCCCCTTCTTGTCTCTTGCTAAAACTGTACCTCTCTGTCTTCAATGAATGACACCAACATCCATCCAGTTGTTCTGACCAAATTCTACCTTATAATTTTCCCTCACATGCTACATTTAATTATGTCATTTCTACCTTCAAAAAAGTGTATTCTAAATCTGATCTCCATTGTTAAAACAGTACAGGTTCCCATTACCTCTTTTCTAGCTACTGCAACCACTCTGTCACCCAAGCTGGAGTGAGGTGGTATGATCTTTGCTTAAGTCTCCCAAGTAGCTGGGACTACAGGTGTGGGCCACCATAGTCACTTTTAATCATGTTTTAGGCAGTCTCCTTGGACTGGCTAGTTTTTGTATTTTTTGTAGAGATGAGGTTTTGCCATGTTGCCCAGGCATGTCTTGAGCTAGTGGACTCAAGCAATACACTTGTTTCAGCCACTCAAAGTACTAGGATTACAAGTGTGAGCCACGGCACCCAGCCTGCAACTGCTTTTTAACACTTAAACATGTCTTCTACTCTCAACACCTACAGTCTAGTTTTTATATGGTAAAAAAAGAAAACGTGATCTTTTAAAGACAAAAGTCAGATCTTATTGCAACCCTACCTATAACTCTCAAATAGAATCCCATTACATATTCAGTCTTATTGTGATTTATAAGACCCTGATGACCTGATCCTGGCCCAACACTCTCACCTGATGTCCTACTGGCTTCTTTATTCCTGGAAACACTCAAAACTCTTTCTCTCCTCAGAGTTTTTTCACTGCCTGCTCCCCACCTCCACTCATTGCCTGGAATGCTCTTCTCCTAAATCTTTACCTTGCTTCTTTCTCATAATTCAATTCTCAACTCAAATGTCACCTCCACAGACAAGCCTTTCCTGATAACCCAGTTAAGTTTCATCTCTCTCCATCTCAGTTGTCCCAAACTGTATGGTTTCAGGACCCTTTTGTACTCTTAATAACTATTGAGAACTTTAAAAATCTTTTGTTTATGTAGATTATATGTATTAATATGTAATTTAGAAATGAACACAAGGATGTTTTGAAATTATATGTTTATTGAGTCATTTTAAATAATAATTTACTTACAGCAAAGTAATAACATATTTTTATGAGAAATAACTTTATTTTCCAAAACAAATATATTGAGTGAAAGCAGTGGCATTTGTTTCACATTTTCAAAAACGTCTTTAACATGTGGCTTCATAAAAAACAGCTGGATTCTCATACTTGCTTCTGCATTCAATCAGTTATAAACTGTTGTTTAATGTTAAAGCATATGAATAAAATCTAGCCTATAAATCTAGCCTATATGAATAAAATCCATATAGTTGGAAAAGGGCAGAGTATTCTAAAAGCCTTTCCAGATAATTGTACACCAAGACTCAACAAATAGAAGTTCCTTAAATATTAATTACAATATATAATCTGAAACCATAACAATACACTTCTCTGTTATACTAAAATCTATTGGTCTATCTTGCATTTTGAATTTGTAACATTGTTAGAGAAGGCACACAGCCAGAAATAAACAGACAGGAGAAGCCCTGAGGAAGAGTCTTGGAGACACCTCCCACTGACAGTCAGTGCTGCTCAACTGACAGTCAACGAAAAAGACAATGGCTACACTAACTACTTGTGACCTTGTGTTTGGGCTCCTCTGGATCTGAAGGGAAATTATCAGGCCCTAGCCAGAGATAACCATGGTAGAGACTTTTCTTGCTCATGAGTACACTCACTCCCCCAGTAACTCACCCTAGAGTAAGTAGCCTTTTACTGATAATCATAGTAAAAAACAAACCCTGGGTGGAGATTTTAAATACAAATGAGACATACAACATGTGTACTACCATGTACAATCACAAAACATGCAGGTCCAAGGAAACCACCTAAAACATGATTACAAGTGATACCCCCTCATGCCCCTTCATAAATAATCATGTAAGATTCTCATAAAGAGTCCCCCAGCACTAACTGCTCCTGGCTCACTCTCTCAAGCAGCCCAATCTGCCTCATCTTTCAGAGTGTACTGCCTCTTTAAACCCTGCTGCTGCTGCTGCTGCCGCTACTTTTCAGTCAGGCCAGCCCACTTCTCTCTTGAAATCCACATAAAACAACACTAACCTTAAATGTAAATGAGCTAACTGCCACAGTTAAAAGACACAGAATGGCAATCTGGAGAAAGAACCAAGACCCATTGGTATGCCATCTTCAAGAGACCCATCTCACATGCAAAGACACCCATAGGCTCAAAATAAAGGGATGAGGGAAAACCTACCAAGCAAATGGAAAACAAAAAAGCAGAGGTTTCAGTCCTGGTTTCTGACAAAACAGACTTTAAACCAACAAAGATCAAAAAAGACAAAGAAGGGCATTACATAATGGTAAAGGGTTCCATTCAACAAGAAGAGCTAACTATCCAAAATACATATGCACCCAGTAGAGGAGCACCCAGACTCATAAAGCAAGTTCTTAGAGACTGTCTAAGAGACTTCAACTCCCACATAATAATAGTGGGAGACTTTAACATCCCACTGACAATATTAGGCAGATCATCAAGGCAGAAAATTAACAAAGATATTCAGGACCTGAACTCAGCTCTGGATCAAGTGGACCTAATCAATATCTACAGAACCTCTCCACCCAAAAACAACAGAATATACATTCCTCGCACTGCCACATGGCACTTACTCTAAAATTGATCGCATAATAAGAAGTAAAACACTCCTCAACAATTGCGAAAGAACTGAAATCATAACACTCTCAGACCACAGCACAATCAAATTAGAACTCAAGATTAAGAAATTCACTCAAAACCATACAACTACATGGAAACTGAACAACCTGCTCCTGAGTCACTTTGGGGTTAAATAATGAAATAGAAGCAGAAATCAAGAAGTTTTTTTTGAAACTAATGAGAACAAAGATACAACATACCAGAATCTCTGGGATGCAGCTAAAGCAGTATTAAGAGGGAAACTTATAGGACTAAATGCCAACATCAAGAAGTTAGAAAGATCTCAAGTTAACAACCTAACATCAAAATGAAAAGAACTAGAGAACCAAGAGCAAACAAAGCCCAAAGCTAGCAGAAGACAAGAAATAGTCAACATCAGAGCTGAACTGAAAGAGATAGAGACACAAAAAACCCTTTAAAAAATCAACAAATCCAGGAGCTGCTTTTTTAAAAAATAATAATAAAATAGATAGACTGCTAGCTAGACTAATAAAGAAGAGAGAAGATTCAAATAAATGCAATCAAAATGATAAGGATATCAGCACTGATCCCACAGAAATATGAACAACCATCAGAGAATATTACAAACACATCTATGTATATAAACTAGAAAATACTGCATACACCCTCCCAAGATTGAACTAGGAAGAAATTAAATCCCTGAATAGACCAATAATTAATTCTGAAATTGAGGCTGTAATCAATAGCCTACCAACCAAAAAAAGCCCAAGACCAGAGACAGGTACAGCTGAATTCTACCAGAGGTACAAAGAAGAGCTAATACTATTTCTACTGAAACTGTTCCAAAAAACTGAAAAACAGGAACTCTTCCATAACTCATTCTATGAGACCAGCATCAGCCTGCTACCAAAACCTAGCAGAGATACAAAAAAGAAAGGAAACTTCAGGCCAATATCCCTGACAAACACCGATGCAAAAAATGTCAATAAAATACTGGCAAATTGAATCCAGCAGCACATCCGAAAGCTTATCCACATGACCAAGTTGGTTTCATCCCCAGGATGCAAGGTTGGTTCAACATACACAAACCAATAAATGTGATTCATTACATAAGCAGAACTAAAGACAAAAACCATATGATTATCTCAATAGATACAGAAAAGGCCTTTGATAAAATTTAACATCCCTTCATTTTAAAAACTCCCAATAAACTAGATATTGAAGAAATATTCCTAAAAATAGTAAGAGCCATGTATGCCAAACCCACAGCCAATATCATACTGAATGGGCAAAAGTTGGAAGCATTCCCCTTGAAAACAAGCACAAGACAAGAATGCCCTCTCTCACCACTCCTATTTAACATAGTATTGGAAGTTCTGGCCAGGAAAATCAGGCAAGAGAAAGAAATAAAGGGTATTCAAATAGGAAGAGAGGAAGTCAAATTATCTTTGTTTGCAGATAACATGATCCTATATCTAGAAAACCCCATAGTCTCAGCCCGAAAGCTTCTTAAGCTGATAAGCAACTTCAGCAAAGTCTCAGGGTACAAAAGTCAATAGGCAAAAATCACTAGCTTTCCTATACAACAACAGGCAAGCAGAGAGCCGAATCATGAATGAACTCCCATTCACAATTGCTACAAAAAGAATAAAATACTTAGGAATACAGATAACAAGGAAAGTGAAGGACCTCTTCAAGGATAACTACAAACCACTGCTCAAAGAAATCAGAAGGACACAAACAAATGGAAAAACATTCTGTGCTTATGGATAGAAAGAATCAGTATCGTTAAAATGGCCATACTGCCCAAAGTAATGTATAGATTCAATGCTATTCCCACTAAACTACCACAGATATTCTTCACAGAATTAGAAAAAACTATTTTAGGATTCATATGGAAACAAAAAAGAGCACAAATAGCCAAGACAATTCTAAACAATCATGCTACCCGACTTCAAACTATACTAAAACGTTACAGTGGTTACAGTGGTTTTGGTTAAAACATCATGGTACTGGTACAACAACAGACACATAGACCAATGGAACAAAATAGAGAACTCAGAAATAAGACCACACACCTACAACTATTTGATCTTCAACAAACCAGACAAAAGCAATGGGAAAAGGATTCCCTATTTCATAAATGGTGCTGGGAAAACTGGCTAGCTATATGCAGAAAACTGAAGTTGGACCTCTTCCTTACATCTTATATAAAAATTAACTCAATATGGATTAAAGACTTAAATGTAAAACCTCAAACTACAAAAACCCTAGAAGAAAACCTAGGCAATACCATTCAGGATATAGGCATGGACAAAGATTTTATGACCAAGACACCAAAGCAATTGCAACAAAAGCAAAAATTGATGAACGGGATCTAATTACACTTCTAAAGAGCTTCTGCACAGCAAAAGAAACTATCAACAGAGTAAACAGCCTACAGAGTGGGAGAAAAATTTTGCAAAGAATGCATCTGGCAAAAGTCTAACATCCAGCATCTATAAAGAACGTAAACTCAATTATAAGAAAAAATACAAACCCAATTAAAAGTAGGCAAAGGACACAAACAGGCACGTTTTAAAAGAAGACATACATGTGGCCAACAATCATATGAAAAAAAGCTCACCATCACTGATCATTAGATAAATGCAAATCAAAACCACAATGAGATACCATTTCACACCAGTCAGAGTGGCTATTACTAGAAAATCAAAAAACAGATGCTGGCGAGGTTGTGGAGAAAAAGGAATGGTTATACATTGTTGTTGTGAGTGTAAATTAGTTCAACCATTGTGGAAGACAGTGTGGCAATTCCTCAAAGATCTAGAGGCAAAAATACCATTCAACCCAGCAATCTCATTATTGGACATATACGTAAAACAATATAAACCATTCTGGCAGGGATCAGTGGCTCATGCCTGTAATCCCAGCACTTTGGGAGGCCAAGGCAGGCGGATCACCTGACGTCAGGAGTTCAAGACTAGCCTGGCCAACATGGTGAAACCCTGTCTCTATTAAAAATACAAAAATCAGCTGGGCGTAGTGGTTGGCATATGTAATCCCAGCTACTTGGGAGGCTGAGACAGGAGAATCGCTTGAACTCAGAAGACAGAGGTTGCAGTGAGCTGAGATCATGCCATTGCACCCCAGCCTGGGCAATAAGAGTTTAACTCCATCTCAAAAAAAAAAAAAAGAATATAAACCACTCTATTATAAAGATACATGTACATGTATGTTCATTGCAGCACTGTTCACAATAGCAAACTCATGGAATCAACTTAAATGGCCATCAGTGATAAACTGGATTAAAAAAATGTGGCACATAAATGAGACCATGTCATTTGCAGGGACATGGATGGAGCTGGAGACCATTATCAACAAACTAATGCGAGAACAGAAAACCAAATACATGTGTTCTTACTTATAAGTGGGAGCTGAATGATGAGAACACATGGACATGTGGGAGAAAACAACACACACTGGGGCCTGTCAGAGGGTGGGGGGTGGGAGGAGGGAAAGCATCAAGAAAAATAGCTAATGGACGCTGAGCTTAATACCTAGGTGATGAGATGATCTGTGCAGCAAATCACCATGGTACACATTTACCTATGTAACAAACCTGCACATGTAACCCTGAACTTAAAATAAAAGTTGGAAATTTAAAATAAAAAGAAATGTACTTTACCTTCCTTCAATAAACTCTGCTACTTAATCAGATTAGGTTTGTAGCATTCATTAGACACTGAAAGGGGCTCTGATCTTCTCCCAAAAAAAGGCTGCAAATTATGTATCCTCTACCCAGAAAAATCTGTTTTCTTGTTATTATTATTATCATTAGTATTTTTAAAATGTAATATTTTTCTGCTCTGTTCAAAATGTGTGATGTATTTCAAATTTAAAATAGAAAACAATTTTAAAGTGATGCAAACAAAAAAACAGTAAAGTGAATGATAACATGCAGAGATCACAAAGAGCAAATAGGTCCTTTAAGTTGGGATAAACTTCAATGACTGCTACATACAGTAATTCAAAAAGTGCTGTAAATGAAACAACTTTGATCTTTTAAAAAAGATTATTTGTGCAGGAGATGTATGATCAATGACTCAAAATAGACCTCTCAAAACAACAGTGAAGTAGTTTTATAAAATTAGGAAAAGAATAATTTAAAAATAATAGATTTCAAGTTTGTGTGTAACTAATTCAATATTTTTTAAATAAACTGAAATATTTCATTTGGATCCTTAAAAGTTTATATATGTATATTTATATTTGAGGTTAACTTGTATTTGTGCACATATTGGGATCTACCAAGGTAATCTAGTTAGTGTGTAGCCTATGAAAAGGACATGACTTAAATAAATCAGAGTACTTATATATGATGAAAAACTATGCAGTCTTTAAAAGTTATTTAGAAATTCCTATTTATTGACATAGAAAGGCATATATTGATAAGTAGAAAAAAGCAGTTACCTCATAACATGTATGACACAGCCTTATTTATGTGAAATAATTATATATGTAAATATATAAATGGAGAGAGAGAGATGGAAGGGCCCCCATAAATGTTAATAGTAATTGCCTTCTTTTGAAATGGTATCAGGTGATTTTTACATTTCTTGCTATACTTCTCTATATTACAATTTTTTTCAACAATCCTGCATCATTTTATAAAATTGATCAACATTTTTTAAAGAAACGAAAATTATATGTCTTTCAGATATTACATAGATTCCTATGCAACCATAATTTCTCAATGATAACAGAGCATGACATCATGGTAAATATTCCTGACCTTAATTGCAGTGGCATTTATATTAGTAGTTAGAACATCAAAGAGAAGAAAGAAAAAGAAAATCTCCCAGAACCTAACAATCCACTGAAGAATATTTAAATGCATGAGATTTTAGCCCGATGTAGCTCCATGTGAATCTGCTGCTTCACTTCAAACTACTATTAATATGACTATACTACTGTACTTACTCCCTGACATTAGCAAATATCAATTCACTACATATTATATTAAATGTGATGGCAATTTAAACCATGCATATACTATGATCCTTGCTGTGATGCCATGTTCTTGAATAACCACAATTCGAATTAGGATGGAGAAGTATCCTGTAAGGCAACTGACATGTTTCAAAAGTTCCAAAGAAAAGATCACTTTCAACCCCACTGAGCAAAAGCATTCAAAGGAGGTGGTGGTGTCTCAGCCATGCTGGGAAAAATTAGAATTCCAGGATACTAAACTAAACAGAGAAAAGACCTCCCAGAAGAGGAAGAATAAAACCCAGTCCACATATTCAGATGTATAAGAAAAATACATTTCTTTTCTACAACAACTTTTATCCCAAGCCCCCAGGATATGGAGTAATAGAAAATACTTGATGCTAGTCTTACCCTTTCCCAAATTTATATGAAGTGCCAAGGCACTGGAGTTTGTGGGGGAAGTGATTAATAAGGAATGGCCCAGTCCACACGGGTGGTTTGTTACTGTGACATTCATTATCTCTGATGACTTGGCCTCTTCAGTTTTTATGGCTCTCTGCCATTTCCATAAACAACTTTGGGAGAGAAATGTTATATAATGCCAGAGGATTCCCACTCCCTCTGTAGGGTTTTGCAGCCACCCTAATGGCACTGGAAGCAAGCCCTAGGTCCTTCTTGCCCCAGGTCCCTCTTTTCCCTGGTCCCATGGGCCTCTATCCCTTTTTACTTCCCATCCTGAAGAAAGTTCTTTCTAGTCTGGGACATGGTATATAACCTTGATGTCTTCCCAGCTTCTGATCAGCACTTGTTCTATTCCCATAAATCCTCTTCATATTAAGATTTAGAATTTTGAAACACAATACTCAGAGAGATTCACAACATGCATCTATTTCCTGTCCTGCTACATTCCTCCTCTGAAGCAATGAGCCCAAAATTGACTGCTTGCTTGAGTAGGCGGTGATAAAAAATATAGAAATATTGTTTCAAAGATAATGCCAGCCATAATGCCTTAAAAGGTTTTCAGTCAAGTCCTTGTACCATAAGTATAATTAAAAATCAACTAAATACCAAGAAATCTGCCCCTGAGGGATTAATCTAAGAGATTCTCTTCTTCTCCTGTGGAGATACTGCAGGAAAAAAAAAATCCTTCTACAATACTTGTCCATCTGAAAGCACATACAAAAAAAGCAAGTTGCTCACAGACCAATCTTGACTTAAAGTTATGTTATTATTTTACAAATATAGGGGAAGTGTGCTCAATAAATTTTTAAGTCACATTCTCTAGGAAGACTCAGAATAAAAGTCATTTCCTCTAAGAACACACGGGTTATATTAGTATTAAATCATTTACTCATGGTATAGCCAGGAGGTACTAGAACTAGGATCCCCTACTGTGACCCCAGAGCAAATTCAGCAACAGGAAAGAGATCCTTCAAGTTAATAGCAGCTTTATATAGAGAATGTACCATTAGTGCCACCTAGTGGTTGTATTGAAAAAATCCTGAGGTTTGAGTTTGTGAGTGAAATCTGAGCAGTAAGGAGGTTCCTGAGTATATTTCCACGTGTTTCAATCAGGGAAATGCACCCTGGTACATTCCCACATGTTTCAATCAGAGAAACATAGCTGCTTCTGGAAAATACTACAGCTTGGCAGCCAGGCACCAAGTCTGATTTTCATCCTGTTCAAGTCTTAGAATCTATCTCCCCATAAGTTTCCTCTGTCTTCTTTTAACATTGTATCATTTATATTCCTCAATTTTATTTTATTCCTAACATTCTTTCACCTTCAGTATCCAAATTATCAGTAAGAATCTTCTCCTCCTCCTATTATGAACAACTATAAGCTCACAAACTAGAAAATCTAGATGAAATAGATAAATTCCTGGAAACACACAACCTACCAAGATTGAAACAGGAAGAAATAGAACTAACTCCTGAACAGACCAATAACGAATAGCGAGATTTAATCAGGAATATAAAAACCTCTCAACCAAAAAAAACAGCCGAGGACCAGATGAATTCACAGCCAAATTCTATCAAATATACAAAGAATTAATACCAATCCTCTTGAAACTATTCCAAAAAATCAAGGAGGAATGAATTTTCTTTAACTCATTCCACAATGTCAGTACCTCCCTCATGCCAAAATCAGATAAGGATAAAATAAAAAAAAGAAAACTACAGACCAATATCCCTGATGAACACAGATGTAAAATTCCTCAACAGAATACTAGCAAACCAAATTCAACAGCACATCAAAAAGATAATATACCATGAATAGGTGGGATTCATCACAGGAATGCAAGGATGGTTCAACATATGCAGATCAATAAATATGATATATCATATTAACAGAATTAAAAACAAAAACCATATGATCATCTCAATACAGAAAAAGGATTTGATTAAATTCAGCACACCCTTCATGATAAAAATTTTCAACAAGCTAGGCATAGAAGGAATGTACCTCAACACAATACAGGTCATGTATGACAAAACCACAACCAACATCATACTTAATGGGGAAAAATTGAAAGCATTCCCTTGTTAAAAGAAAAACTTCAGCTGAATTAAATTTAAAGGAGTTTAATTGAGCAAAGAACGATCTGTGAATCAGGTAGCCCCCAGAATCACAGCAGATTTGGAGAGACTACAGAGATGCCTCGTGGTAAAAACAAATTTATAGACAAAAAAAAAAAGGAAAGTGACATACAGAAATCAGAAGTGAGATACAGAAACAACTGGATTGGTTACAGCTCGGCATTTGCCTTATTTGAACACAGTTTGAACACTCAGCAGTGTATGAGTGGTTGAAGTATGGCTGCTGGAATTGGCCAAGACTCAGCTATTGTTGCATACGCCAAAGTTAGGTTTTCAATCTTGTCTACCTATCAAGCTAGTTTGCAGTTCATCCACAAGGACTCAAATATAGAAGTATATTCTCAGGCCACATTTAGTTTGCTTTAACAATTCTCCCCTTTTGGTCATTTTCTCAATTTTGAGAGATTGACCAAAACTTCAATTATTGATGTCATATTACCATCATTAATATACTTTTTGGTTTTGAAACCCACTTGGAAACAGTAGAACAGTGAATTTTTCAAAGGTAGGAACAAGGACTGAGTAGAGGGTACCTCTTTATGCTGCAGCATCCTGTTTACAGGAGAAAAACAAAACCTGGTTCATTCTAGGATCTATGAGTTTACTTAAAGTGTCAGTTTGATTATGTCACATTTAGCAAAAGCAACTCCATTTTTGTTTGGTTTGGTTTCTTGGGGCCTAGTGCATAAGCTCAATCCAAAACAATGGACATCCATAATTTTGTTTTAAAAAAAAAATCTGGCCGGGCATGGTGGCTCACCCCTGTAATCCCAGCACTCTGGGAGGCCAAAGCAGAAGGATCACCTGAGGTCAGGGATTCAAGACCAGCCTGGTCAACATGGTGAAAGCCCACCTCTGCTAAAAATACAAAAATTAGCTGAGTGTGGCAGCACATCCCTGGAGTCCCAACTACTCAGGAGGCTGAGGCAGGATAATCACTTGAACCCAGGAGGCAGAGGTTACATTGAGCGGAGATCATGCCACTGCACTCCAGCCTGGGCGACAGAGTGAGATTCCATCTCAAAAAAAAAAAGACAAAAAAAAAACCAAAAACTTTTTCATCAGGTTCTCACTTAGGTGAGAGTGTTACCAAAATTTAGTCACTCAGTGCCACTCTCAGTTACCATCATTTTGGGTTTCTGGTCTCAGGTTGTCATTCATAAGCTACAGTGTCCTCATGGTCACACATTTCTTTCAGTTCTTGTCATTCCAGTTGAAGAGAGACCATTTGGCATTCTAGACATGGCTGCATGCAAACACTTAAAACATTTGAGAGAATACAGTGCACCAGAGAATATTATGACTATTGAGAGGATAATACCAAGAGTTTGGAGTATGCTCCTTACCATGGGTTCCCATAAACCAAACCACCTAAAATCAAATAGATCAAAGAATGAGCTAGATAAAGAGTCTAGTTGCTTAACTAACTAGTCTTTTCATTAATCCCCTACAACTGAATCTCTATAATACCCAGTGTCTTCTCCATAGGCCATAAGTGCCAGCAGCTGCACATATACTTCTCTATTTAGCCAATTCTATTATTTAGCATCATTTTCACATGAGAATTTAAAGTCTGTTGTGTAACTATAGCCTGTACAGTAGAATCTACTGTAGTTCCTCTCATAAGGGAGACATTTCTAATCATTGCCTCTTTTACTCCAACTATGGGAAAAAAAAAAAAAACGTACTATGCCCTTCTAGAAGAGTAAAGGCCTCCTGGCAATGTTCCCTTTAACCATAATATGGGTTAAGAGAAGTGAACCAATGTTCTGTTTCTGACTGATTATGAGGCAATGTATGTACCATTAAAGTTTCTCACCTACATTGGGTCTTCATCTTTATCAAAGTATAAGGTTATCCATGTATTAAGGCTGGCTGCAAAATAATTCATAAATAAAAGTAAATACATGCACATAACAGACTCCCTTTTCACTTCTATTGTTCATAAAGGCATAAGCAAGGAAAAAAATATCCAAAGATAAGAGTCTCGTAATAGTAAAAGTCTTGACCCATGATCTTGGAAAAAGCTGTTCACATCAAGGATGCCATCCTCTTCTGGGCAGAAATTTCTGTGGTTAGCTTTACCTTAAGGGTTCCAATGAGTGTACTGTTCCAAGAGTATGCAGGGACCCCCTTTTCAGTTGTGAGATTATGAACCCATGGTTCAAGGCCCAAAGTTTTGCTGTAGTATAGACATCAAGGGCAGTCTTTCTCTGATGTTATCGGAAGAGTCAATCTTTGAGTTCTAGATTGTGAAGGGGTTGATTGTCCTCAATCAGTGAATCATAAAAAGCTTTCTTTACCTGATGAAAATACACTGTAGTATAATAATTCACTTTATAATATCAGCCCTCTTGCATGGGAAAGCTTTTAAACAACCAGAAAAAATGCATTGAAAATGACAATTGAATGAAATCCCTTTATAAATATTTAAAGAGTCCATTAGGTAGCCAAATGTACCTGAAGCTTTGATTGTCTTCCCAGGAATATGAGTTTGACAAACCAAACATTGGTCATAAACTATTTTAGCAATTTAGAAGTCACCACACCAATATATATTTAATTTGGACCTTTAATTTTATCTTTTCCATGATGAGTCATGGAATGCAGAACCTTTAATAACAAAAGCTTTAAGGACTCGGGAAGAACACGGTGGCCATCCTGGTTCTCCATATGTCCATGCTTAATTAACATTAGACTTACATCCTCTTGAATACTGGTTGCTTCTCCAAATTAGGTGCATAGCACTGAAAACTGATGGGTTATCGTAAATAAATTGACTTAGACCATGAGTTCATTCAAATTGTATATCTAAATAATTTTAGTATCAGCTAATTTAGCATGAAAATCTGGCAAGGCATTTTCTTGGTATTTAATTAATTTTTGTTCTACTTGGTTTAGCAGTTTTATAACCCAGTCAGTCTTTTCATTACCCAGTTCAAATAATATGATTCTAAAATTATTAGAAACCTGTATTCAAGAGTGCTTTTCAGGAGCATTTCTAGCCTTTCATGAATCTCCTAAAAGACACCATATTCAAGGATTTTGTGTGCTTGTGAAGTTTTCAGAAACTGCAACAGCATTAAGCAATTAACTGTGGAAATGACTTTAAATAGTAATAGTCAAAAACACAATTGATAAGGAAATTTGGTTATTTCTATGGTTTATGGTAACAACCTAATAACCATAATTATGACTGATAACATATACTCAGACATATTAAAATTTTAGAAATCCCATACAGTTTTGGAACATATCGATGACATACACGAAAATACAACCTGAAGAAGGTTAATCATTATCTTTTATTTTGACAATGCTTCCCATGGAACTTAACATGTCAAATAGCCCTATTTATCTCTCTTTTGGATGCTTCAGGGGCCCTCTGTAGGATCTCAAAGTTAGAGGTCAGAAAATACAATTTTGAAGCTGAAATTTTATTTTGGAAAGCCTATCAAATATGTTAAAGGTTTAAAACACTTGATTCTATGAAACAGAATTCCAGGTTACCATAAGTCATTCATTTCGCCAAAATGATGACTTGAACATTGTTAAAAAGGCAAAAACCTTTACTCATTGATAGAGGGAGGACTTAGCTTTCCAAACAATCTGTGTCTTTTCTTTCCCTTCTTTTTTCAGTAGTTTATTCAAAAGGCAAACAATAATCTTTCATTATCCTAATATTACATGAAAATCTTGTTCAAGAGAAAGCTAAATTTCACCCTTGCATCAGTGTATCACTAATGTCAACCCTAATTCTTAATAAAACCTTATAAACAAATTGATTCAATCTTAATCAGTTTGACCACAATGTAAAGTTCTCATACATCTTTTATAACCCTTTATAAATTTTTGTTAAAGAGATTAGTGTTCTAGAAAAACCCATTGTGCTTTTATTTTAATGTTTAATTTACAGAAAAACCTTTAAATTTAGTCAATATGTTCACAGTTTCTTTACAAGAATGATCTTTACAAACCTTTCACAATTTGTTTAAACCTTTAGCTTTATCTCATCCAGTTTAAAACAATCCTTTAACCCTCTGAACTAGGCAAAAATGTATATTCCCATGCCTTCTTATAATTTTTACCAAAAAAACACATTTCACTCTCCTCACACACCTTGCATATAGAACAATTTTTTTGGTGGTCTCATTTGTTATAATGGTAACTCTTAGCAATTTTTAATATTGGTGAAAAATCTTGGTAAGTGAAGGATTTTAATTGTGTACTAGGTGTGGAGCCTAGGACACCAGACAAGGTCTGACTCTTTCCAGCGTAGCTAGGACCATGGCTTTCCACACATCTCAAAGCCTTATCTAGAATCAAATGCTCCAAACTAGGTAAATTAGGGAACAATTTTTAAAAGTCAAAGAAGCAGTTTATGATCTTAAAGCACTTAGCAAACTTAATATCTGACCTGCCTAATTTAGACCAAATGTCTTTATTTTTGCCAATAATCTTTAAAATTTTTATTTCCCAAAGATTACTAAAGTCACATAAACTAAAAGTCATTACAGTTTTTATTTTTCTTTCTTTTTTTTTTTTTTTTTTTGTGAGACAGAGTCTTGCTCTGTGGCCTAGGCTGGAGTGCAATGGCATAATCTTGGCTCACTGCAACCTCTGCCTCCCAGGTTCAAGTGACTCTCCTGGCTCAGCCGCCCAAGTAGCTGGGATTACAGGCACACACCACCACTCCTGGCTAATTTTTTGTATTTTAGTAGAGACAGGGTTTCACTGTGTTGCCAGGGCTGGTCTCCAACTCCTGAGCTCAGGCAATCCACCCACCTTGGCCTCCCAAAGCGCTAGGATTACAGGCGTGAGCCACCACGCCCAGCCTAGTTTTTATTTTTCTTATAAAATATTTGATCTAAGCACTTATTTTTCTTTAATACAGTTAATTAGAGCTCTTTTATATAAACATTACACACATGACACATATATAACTACTCAGATAGACAGAAGAAGATCCAGTAACTGTAAGATTTTTTCATTTGCCAGTTTCTAAGTTTCTCTTTAAAGCATGCAGTTTTTATGGCCTAATAAGCAGGCACAGGTGGAAGACAAAAACAAATCTCAAAAATTAAAGGTCCCATTTTTACATCACATCCTGGATCCCAAAAAGGAAGGAAATGCTATGCGACAAGACAGTGCAATGCTTTTACTGTGCATTTTATCACATAGCATCCCAAAGCCAATTAGCACATTCTGCAATCAGCCTATCCTTAAAAGTATATCTCCTACTTAGTTGTTACACACCAAAGCTCTCTCATAATGCAAAGTAATTTGTGATACGCCCAAAAGTCAAAAACATCAGATAATGCAATGCAAAACAGAGCAGAGTCTTAGATTTTGAGGAAGATATATCCACTTTTAATTCCTAAGTTTTCATGACAAAAACAGAGGGTTTTTTTCAAAACAGGATCTATGGTGCCTCCTTTGCTTTTCCCAAGGAGTCCCAAATTGTTAGAGCTTGAATATCCACTATTAATTAAGGTGACTTTTAAAAATAACCCTCTTTATAAAAGTATTTTTAAATCTCTTATTACCCGACTTAAGCCACACCAAGTGGACAATATTTCTGGCTTTTAAACTTTACCAAAAGTAACCTCACAAGTGAAACCAAAAAGCTTCAATTAAGGTTATGACTTAATCATGAGTGCACGAGGTATTTTCAAAGAAGTGGTAAGCAGTTTTTACAATCTAGAATCTTTAAACATAGCTCAGAGAAAGGAAGGTATAAGAAGGGAAACTAGAAGTTGTTCGTGGAGGGGAATCAGCAAATGGTAAAGGTCACACAGATATCAACCAGAGTACTCATTCCCTAAGCCAGAATTGAACCTGGGCCACCATTGTAAAATGGCAGAGACCAAAAGAAAGTACTGCCACATGGTAACAAAGTCAAGCTCCCAAGCACGTAAAACAAAATGGAGACCTATCCAGTTTTGGGGGGTGTGTGGGTGTGGGTGTGTTTTCAGAGACGTGTAGCAAAGTTTGTAACTGATCAGTTTGCCAGGCTGGCTTGAACAGCGGGGTTATGGGGTCCTAAGCCCATGTTCTAGCTTAAGATATTCCTCCTTATGACAGAACCATACAGAAAGACATAAAAAGCACACCAGATTGGCTACAGCTTGAGACTAGCCTCACAAATGCTTTTTTTCAATTAATCAAAATTTTACAGAGGATATAAACAGGAATCTTTATTATTCATTCAACAGGTTTGCACAGAGACAGAGAGGCCAGAAGTCTAACTGGTAAGCAATTCTTACCTTTTTGCCAACATGTCAGGTTTTGGAGTTCCTCTTCCCTGAGTGGCCCTAGCAACCACTGAGAGGCAAGCTGCATCACAATGGAAAATCACAGAACCACAAGCAAAATCCTCTTACTTTTGCAAGATGCTACCCAGGGGGTGGCATGGGGTAACCAAATTAACATTTTCCATTCTGGCCAGAGCAAAATATGTGTGCTTTAAATAAAAATATTGAAATCTGGCCGGGCGCGGTGGCTCACGCTTGTAATCCCAGCACTTTGGGAGGCCGAGGCGGGCGGATCACGAGGTCAGGAGATCGAGACCATCCTGGCTAACACGGTGAAACCCCGTCTCTACTAAAAATACAAAAAAAATTAGCCGGGCGTGATGGTGGGCGCCTGTAGTCCCAGCTACTCGGGAGGCTGAGGCAGGAGAATGGCGTGAACCCGGGAGGCGGAGCTTGCAGTGAGCCGAGATTGCGCCACTGCACTCCCGCCTGGGCCACAGAGCGAGACTCCGTCTCAAAAAAAAAAAAAAAAAAAAAAAATATTGAAATCTTTTTAGAAGCTTCTGCATATCAATTGGCATCCCTAGATGAGACTAATTTGGGAGCCATCTTTCCTTTTTTACTTTTTTTTTTTTAATGCACTTCAATGCACTGTTGTTCATTTGGAATGTTCCACTGTAAGTTACCTTTAGTAATGTTTTGCCATTTCCGTAAGACTTTGCTCCCTCCCAGGCCTAACATATAAGCCAGAAGGAACTCAGTTTTCCAGAAATTAAGAATTCTATTTTTAACTAAAATATCGGCTTTGCTTTCAGGTTCCGTTAGTGAACTTAGCCAATGATTTTTTTTCTACCTAAGCATGCAAGAAAAATGAAACAAAGGGGTAGAACACAAAAATCCCTGTGAATTTTCAAAAGCCAAATTTTACAGCCCCTGCAATATTACCATTTACTACCAGTTTATCTCCAACCCAGTCAGATGTAAGTGGCCTGTTACTGGATCCAAATCAGTTAATTACTGGATCAAATCCCATCCTGAACCCAGTCTAATATCTGTCGCAACTTCCAAACCCAGTTTGGAACAGAAATTTGCTCAAAGAAACTTAGAGAGCTCAAAACACAAATCCATGGAGCTCTGAAATCTGAGAGAGAACTTACCATGATCTCCAGCTGCTGAGAGATCAAAGGACACAAGTAGCTCCAGCAGATACCTTGCTTGTTCACTCAGCACTCCTGGGGTTCTTATAGAGGCTCTACTTCAGACCCCACTTCTAACACCATCTGTTAAAAAAAAAAAAAAACTTCAGCTGAATTAAATTTAAAGGAGTTTAATTGAGCAAAGAACAATTCGTAAATCAAGCAGCCCCCAGCATCACAGCAGATTCAGAGAGATTGCAGGGATGCCTCGTGGTAAGAACAAATTTATAGACAAAAAAAGGGAAGGAACATACAGAAATCAGAAGAGAGGTACAGAAACAACTGAATTGGTTACAGCTCCGAATTTGCCTTATTTGAACACAGTTTGAACACTCAGCAGTGTATGAGTGGTTGAAGTATGGCGGCTGAGATTGGCCAAGACTCAGCTATTGTTACAGATGCATACTCCTAAACTAGGTTTTCTTTTTATTATTATTATTATACTTTAACTTCTAGGGTACATGTGCACAACGTGCAGGTTTGATACATAGGTATACATGTGCCATGCTGATTTGCTGCACCCATCAACTCGTCATTTACATTAGGTATTTCTCCTAATGCTATCCTTGCCTCAGCACTCCAACTCCCAGATAGGCCCCTGTGTGTGATGTTCCCCACCCTGTGTCCAAGCGTTCTCATTGTTCAATTCCTACCTATGAGGGAGAACATGCTGTGTTTGGCTTCCTGTCTTTGTGATAGTTTGCTGAGAATGATGGTTTCCAGCTTCATCCATGTCCCTGCAAAGGACACGAACTCATCCTTTTTTTTTTTGGCTGCATAGTACTCCATGGTGTATATGTGCCACATTTTCTTAATCCAGTCTATAATTGATGGACATTTGGGTTGGTTCCAAGTCTTTGCTATTGTGAATAGTGCCACAATAAACATACGTGTGTATGTGTCTTTATAGTAGCATGCTTTATAATCCTTTGGGTATATACCAAGTAATGGGATTGCTGGGTCAAATGGCACTTCTAGCTCTAGATCCTTGAGGAATCGCCACACTGTCTTCCACAATGGTTGAACTAGTTTACAGTCCCACCAACAGTGTAAAAGCATTCCTATTTCTCCACATCCTCTCCAGCAGCTGTTATTCCCTGACTTTTTTTTTTTTTCTTTTGAGATGGAGTCTCGCTCTGTCGCCCAGGCTGGGGTGCAGTGGTGCCATCTCAGCTCACTGCAAGCTCCGCTTCCCGGGTTCACACCATTCTCCTGCCTCAGCCTCCCAAGTAGCTGGGACTATAGGTGCCCTACCACACCCAGCTAATTTTTTGTATTTTTAGTAGAGATGGGGTTTTACCATGTTAGTCAGGATGGTCTTGATCTCCTGACCTCATGATACACACGCCTCAGCCTCCCAAAGTGTGGGGATTACAGGCATGAGCCACCCTGCCCAGCTGTTTCCTGACTTTTTAATGATCACCATTCTAACTGGTGTGAGATGGTACCTCATTGTGGTTTTGATATGCTCTTCTCTGATGACCAGAGATGATAAGCATTTTTTCATGTATCAATTGGCTGCATAAATGTCTCCTTTTGAGAAGTGTCTGTTCATATCCTTCGCCCACTTTTGATGGGGTTGTTTTTTGTTTTCTTTTTCTTGTAAATCTGTTTGAGTTCTTTGTACATTCTGGATATTAGCCCTTTGTCAGATGGGTAGATTGCAAAAATTTTCTCCCATTCTGTAGGCTGCCTGTTCACTCTGATGGTAGTTTCTTTTGCCATGCAGAAGATCTTTAGTTTAATTAGATCCCATTTGTCAATTTTGGCTTTTGTTGCCATTGCTTTTCGTGTTTTAGTTATGAAGTCCTTGCCCATGGCTATGTCCTGAATGGTATTGCCTAGGTTTTCTTCTAGGGTTTTTATGGTTTTAGATCTAACATTTAAGTCTTTAATCCATCTTGAATTAATTTTTGTATAAGGTGTAAGGAAGGGATCCAGTTTCAGCTTTCTACATATGGCTAGCCAGTTTTCCCAGCACCATTTGTTAAATAGGGAATCCTTTCCTCAATCTGCTTGTTTTTGCCATATTTGTCAAAGATCACATGGTTGTAGATGTGTGGTATTATTTCTGAGGCCTCTGTTCTCTTCCATTGGTCTATATCTCTGTTTTGGAACCAGTACCATGCTGTTTTGGTTACAGTAGCCTTGTAGTATAGTTGAAATTCAGGTAGTGTGATGCCTCCAGCTTTGTTCTTTTTGCTTAGGATTGTCTTGGCAATGTGGGCTCTTTTTTGGTTCCATATGAACTTTAAAGTAGTTTTTTCCAATTCTGTGAAGAAAGTCATTGGTAGCTCAATGGGGATGGCATTGAATCTATAAATTACCTTGGGCAGTATGGCTATTTTCACTATATTGATTCTTTCCGTCCATGAGCATGGAATGTTCTTCCATTTCTTTGTGTCCTGTTCTATTTTGTTGAGCAGTGCGCTGTAGTTCTCCTTGAAGAGGTCCTTTCCATCCCTTGTTAGTTGGATTCCTAGGTATTTTATTCTCCTTGAAGCAATTGTGAATGGGAGTTCACTCATGATTTGGCTCTCTATTTGTCTGTCATTGGTGTATATGAATACTTGTGATTTTTGCACATTGATTTTGTATCCTGAGACTTTGCTGAAGTTGCTTATCAGCTTAAGGAGACTTTGAGCTGAAATGATGTGGTTTTCTAAATATACAATCATGTCATCTGCAAACAGGGACAATTTGACTTCCTCTTGTCCTAACTGAATACCCTTTATTTCTTTCTCTTGCCTGATTGCCCCGGCCAGAACGTCCAACACTATGTTGAATAGGAGTGGTGAGAGAGGGCATCCTTGTCTTGTGCCAGTTTTCAAAGGGAATGCTTCCAGTTTTTGCCCATTCAGTATGTTGTTGGCTGTGGGTTTGTCATAAACAGCTCTTATTATTTTGAGATGCGTTCCATCAATACCTAGTTTATTGAGAGTTTTTAGCATGAAGGGCTGTTGAATTTTGTCGAAGGCCTTTTCTGCATCTATTGAGATAATCATGCGATTTTGTCATTGGTTCTGTTTATGTGATGGATTATGTTTATTGATTTGTGTATGTTGAACCAGCTTTGCATCCCAGAGATGAAGCTGAGTTGATCATGCTGGATAAGCTTTTTGATGTGTTGCTGGATTCAGTTTGCCAGCATTTTACTGAAGATTTTCACATCGATGTTCATCAGGGATATTGGTCTAAAATTCTCTTTTTTTGTTGTGTCTCTGCCAGGCTTTGGTAGCAGGATGGTGCTGGCCTCATAAAATGAGTTAGGGAGGATTCCCTCTTTTTCTATTGATTAGAATAGTTTCAGAAGGAATGGTACCAGCTACTCTTTGTACTTCTGGTAGAATTCGGCTGTGAATCCGTCTGGTCCTGGACTTTTTTTGATTGGTAGGTTCTTAATTATTGCCTCAGTATCAGAGCTTGTTATTGGTCTAGTCAGAGATTCCACTTCTTCCTGGTTTTGTCTTGGGAGGGTGTATGTGTCCAGGAATTTATCCATTTCCTCTAGATTTTCTAGTTTAATTGTGCATAATTGTTTATAGTATTCTCTGATGGTAGTTTGTATTTCTGTGGGATCAGTGGTGATATCCCCTTTATCATTTTTTATTGAGTCTATTTGATTCTTCTCTCTTTTCTTCTTTATTGGTCTTGCTAGTGGTCTATCAATTTTGTTGATCTTTTCAGAAAACCAGCTCCTGGATTCATTGATTTTTTGAAGGGTTTTTTATGTCTCTATCTCTCAGTTCTGCTCTGATCTTAGTTATTTCTTGCCTTCTGCTAGCTTTTGAATGTGTTTGCTCTTGCTTCTCTAGTTCTTTTAATTGTGATGTTAGGGTGTCCATTTTAGATCTTTCCTGCTTTCTCTTGTGGGCGTTAATTTCCCGCTACACACTGCTTTAAATGTGTCCCAGAGATTCTGGTACGTTGTGTCTTTGTTCTCATTGGTTTCAAAGAACATCTTTATTTCCGCCTTCATTTCATTATTTACCCAGTAGTCATTCAGGAGCAGGTTGTTCAGTTCCCATGTAGTTGTGCAGTTTTGAGTGAGTTTCTTAATCCTGAGTTCTAGTTTGATTGCACTGTGGTCTGAGAGACAGTTTGTTATAATTTCTGTTCTTTTACATTCGCTGAGGAGTGCTTTACTTCCAACTATGTGGTCAATTTTGGAATAAGTGTGATGTGGTGCTAAGAATGTACATTCTATTGATTTGGGGTGGAGAGTTCTGTAGATGTCTATTAGGTCTGCTTGGTGCAGAGCTGAGTTCAAGTCCTGGATATCCTTGTTAACCTTCTGTCTCATTGATCTGTCTAATATTGACAGTGGGGTGTTAAAGTCTCCCACTATTACTGTGTGGGAGTCTAAGTCTCTTTGTAGGTCTCTAAGCACTTTCTTTATGAATCTGGGTGCTCCTGTATTGGTGGCATATATATTTAGGATAGTTAGCTCTTCTTGTCGAATTGATCCCTTTACCATTAGGTAATGGCCTTCTTTGTCTCTTTTGATCTTTGTTGGTTTAAAGTCAGTTTTATCAGAGACTAGGATTGCAACCCCTGTTTTTTTTTTTGTTTTTTTTTTTTTGTTTTTTTTTGCTTTCCATTTGCTTGGTAGATCTTCCTCCATCCATTTATTTTGAGCCTGTGTGTCTCTGCACGTGAGATGGGTCTCCTGAATACAGCACATTGATGGGTCTTGACTCTTTATCCAATTTGCCAGTTCAATTGGGGCATTTAGCCTATTTACATATAAGGTTAATTTTGTTATGTGTGAATTTGATCCTGTCATTATGATGTTAGCTGGTTATTTTGCTTCATACTTGATGCAGTTTCTTCATAGCATTGATGGTTTTTACAATTTGGCATGTTTTTGCAATGGCTGGTACTGGTTGTTTCTTTCTATGTTTCCTTCAGGAGCTCTTGTAAGGCAGGCCTGGTGGTGACAAAATCTCTCTGCATTTGCTTGTCTGTAAAGGATTTTATGTCTCCTTCACTTATGAAGCTTAGTTTGACAGGATATGAAATTCTGGGTTGAAAATTCTTTTCTTTAAGAATGTTAAATATTGGCCCCCACTCTCTTCTGGCTTGTAGGGTTTCTGCCAAGAGATCAGCTGATAGTCTGATGGGCCTCCCTTTGTGCGTAACCCGTCCTTTCTCTCTGACTGCCCTTAACAGTTTTTCCCTCATTTCAACCTTGGTGAATTTGACAATTATGTGTCCTGGGGTTGCTCTTCTCGAGGAGTATCTTTGTGGTGTTCTCTATATTTCCTGAATCTGAATGTTGGCCTGCCTTGCTAGGTTGGGGAAGTTCTGGATAATATCCTGAAGAGTGTTTTCCAATTTGGTTCCATTCTCCCCATCACTTTCAGGTACACCTATCAAACATAGATTTGGTCTTTTCACATAGTCCCACGTCTTGGAGGCTTTGTTCATTCATTTTTACTCTTTTTTCTCTAACCTTGTCTTCTCGCTTTATTTCATTCATTTGATCTTCAATCACTGATAACCTTTCTTCCGCTTGATTGAATCGGCTATTGAAGCTTGTGCATGCATCATGAAGTTCTTGTGCCACGGTTTTCAGCTCCATCAGATCATTTAAGGTCTTCTCTACACTGTTTATTCTAGTTAGTGATTAATCTAATCTTTTTTCAAGGTTTTTAGCTTCCTTGCGACGGGTTTGAACATGTTTCTTTAGCTCGGAGAAGTCTGTTATTACCTACCTTCTGAAGCCTACTTCTGTCAACTCATCAAAGTCATTCTCCATCCAGCTTTGTTCTGTTGCTGGCGAGGAGCTGAGATCCTTTGGAGGAGAAGAGGTGCTCTGGTTTTTAGAATTTTCAGCTTTTTTGCTCTGGTTTCTCCCCATCTTTGTGGTTTTATCTACCTTTGGTCTTTGATGCTGGTGACCTACAGATGGGGTTTTGGTGTGAATGTCCTTTTTGTTGATGTTGATGCTATTCCTGTTTTTTAGTTTTCCTTCTAACAGTCAGGTCCCTCAGCTGCATGTCTGTTGGAGTTTGCTGGAGGTCCACTCCAGATGCTGTTTACCTGGGTATCACCAGCAGAGGCTGCAGAACAGCAAACATTGCAGAACAGCAAATATTGCTGCCTGATCCTTCCTCTGGAAGCTTCGTCCCAGAAGGTCACCTGCCTATATGAGGTGTCTGTCGGTCCCTACTGGGAAGTGTCTCCCAGTTAGACTACACGGGGGTCAAGGATTCACTTGAGGAAGCAGTCTGTCCATTCTCAGAGCTCAAACGCCGTACTGGGAGAACAACTGATCTTTTCAGAGCTATCAGACAGGGACGTTTAAGTCTGCAGAAATTGTCTGCTGCCTTCTGTTCAGCTATGCCCTGCCCACAGAGGTGGAGTCTATAGAGGCAGTAGGCCTTGCTAAGCTGCAGTGGGCTCTGCCCAGATCAAGTGTCCTGGACACTTTGTTTACCTACTCAAGCCTGAGCAATGGTGGATGCCCCTCCTGCAGCCAGGCTGCTGCCTCGCAGTTCCATCTCAGACTGCTGCGCTAGCAGTGAGCAAGGCTCCATGGGTGTAGGAGCCGCCAAGCCAGGCACAGGAGAGGATCTCCTTGTCTACTGGTTGCTAAGACCTTTGGAAATGTGCAGTATTTGGGCGAGAGTGTCCCATTTTTCCAGGTACAGTCTGTCATGGCTTCCCTTGGCTAGGAAAGGGAAATCCCTGACCCCTTGTGCTTCCCAGGTGAGGCAATGCCCTGCCCTGCTTCGATTCACCCTCTGTGGGCTGCACCCAATGTCCAACCAGTCCCAGTGAGATGAACCAGGCACCTCAGTTGGAAATGCAGGAATCACCCATCTTCTGCGTTGATCATGCTGGGAGCTGCAGACCGGAGCTGTTTCTATTTGGCCATCTTGGAACAGCTAAGTTAGGTTTTCAATCTTGTCTACCTATTAAGTTAGGTTGCAGTTTGTCCACAAGGACTTAAATACAGTACGGAGTCCTTCTCAGGCCATAGTTAGTTTGCTTTAACACCCTCTAAGAACTGCAAAAATATAAGGATGTTCACTTTCACCACTCTTATTCAACAAATACAAGAAGTTCTTGCCAGAACAGTTAGGGAAGAGAAAAAATAAGTCATTCAAATTGGAAAAGCAGAAGTTAAATTTTCTCTGTTCCTCAATAATATAATCTTATATCTAGAAAAACCTGAAGACTATACCAAAAAACTCAGAGTTGATAGATGAATTCAATAAAGTTTTAGGATATAAAATTATATGAAGAGAAATCAATAGCATTTCTATACACCAATAACAATCTAGCCAACAACCAAATCAAGAAAGCAAACCCATTTATAATAGGTACCAAAAAAAATTAAATACTTAGGAGTAAATTTAACCAAAGAGGTGAAAGATCTATACAGAAAGAACTACAAAACACTGATGAAACAAATTGAAGATGATACAAACAAATGGATAAACATTCCATACTCATGGATTGGAAGAATCAATATTTTTAAAATAAACATACTGCCCAAAGCAATCTACAGACTCAATGCAATTCCTATCAAATTACCAACAACAGTTTTCATAGAATTAGAAAAAAAATCCTAAAATTCATACAGAACCAAAAAAGAGCCCAAAAAGCTAAATCAATTCTAAGCAAAAAGAACAAAGCTGGAGACATCACATTACTTGACTTCAAATAATGTTACAGGGTTATAATAACCAAAACAACATCATACTGGTATAAAAATAGATACACAGATCAATGTAACAGAATAGAGTGTCCAAAGATAAAGTCACATACCTACAACCAATAAATCTTCCACAAAGTCAATAAAAATATACACTGGGGAAATGTCACTGCACTCAATAAATGGTGCTAGGGAAATTGGATACATGTATTAGTCTGTTTTCACACTGTTGATAAAGACATACCCAAGACTCAGAAGAAAGAGAGGTTTAATGTACTTACAGTCCCATGTGGCTGCAGAGGCCTCACAATCATGGCAGAAGCCAAGGAGGAGCAAGTCACATCTTACATGGATGGCGGCAGGCAAAGAGAGAGAGAGCTTGTGCAGGAGAACTCCTCTTTTCAGAACCATCAGATCTCGTGAGAATTATTCACTATTAGAAGAAAGAACCACCCCCATGGTTTAATTACTTCCCACTGTGTCCCTCCCACAACACGTGGGAATTGTAGGAGTTACAATTCAAAATGAGATTTGGGTAGGGACACAGCCAAACTCTATCAATACCCATATACAGAAGAATGAAACTGAACCCTTACCTTTCATCATATACAAAAATTAACTCAAGATGGATTAAAGACCTAAACATGAGACCTGCAAAAATAAAAAGCCTAGAAAGAAACCTAGGACAAACTCTTCTGGACATCAGCCTAAGCAAAGAATTTATGACCAAATTCTCAAAAGCAAACATGACAAAAACAAAAATAGACAAATGGGACTTAACTAAACTAAAAAGCTTCTGCACAGCAAAAGAAACAATCAACAGAGTAAACAATCTACAGAATAGGAGTAAATATTTGCAAACTATGCATCCTAAAAAGGACTAATATTCAGAATCTACAAAGAACTCAAACAACTCAAAAGGGAAAAAAACAAGTAATCCCATTAAAAAGTGAGCAAAGAATATGGGCATTTTTTAAAAGAAGACATACAAGGAGCCAACAAACACCAGAAAAAATGCTCAAAATTACTAATTAGAAAAATGCAAATTAAAATCACAATGAGATACCATCTTACACTAGTCAGAATGGTCATTAGTATAAAGTCTAAAAACAATAGATGTTACCAAGAATGCAGAGGAAAGGGAATGCTTATACACCATTGGTGGGAATTTGTATTAGTACAACCTTTATGGAAAACAGTGTGGAGATTTCCCAAAGAATTAAAAATTCACCCAGCAATTCCACCATTGGTATCCACCCAAAGGTAAAGAAATCATATCAAGAAGATTCCTGCTCTCATATGTTTATCACAGCACTATTTGCAATAGCAAAGATATGGAACCAACCTAAGTTTCCATCATCATATGTATACACACTTTGGAATACTACTGAGCCATAAAAAGGAATGAAATCATGTCTTTTGCAGCAACGTAGATGGAACTGGAGACCATTATCCTAAGTGAATTAATTCCAAAACAGAAAATCAAAAAACACATGTTCTCACTTATAAGTGAGAGCTAAACGATGGGTATACATGGACATAAAGAAGGGAATAATAGACATTGAAGACTACAAAGGGTGGGAAGATGAGACAATGTGAGGGGCATGAGGGTTGAAAAGTTATCCATTGGGTAAAATGTTCACTATTCAGTGATGGGTACACTAAAAGCCCAGGCTTCACCAGTACACAGTATATGCATATAAGAATCCTGCACTTATACCCACCAAATATGTTAAAATAAAATAACCTCTTTCCCCTTCCTCACCAATACCAATAATATCACAGATAAAGAAAGTAGCTCATAGGGTAGCTCTGAGCTATGAGAAGGTAGCTCATAGTACTGGACCCTGAGGCAAAGTTTTCATGTTAGCAGGGCTCAGATGCTTCTCCTCCCCTTGCACCAAGATTCGAGAGACTACAGGCAATCATCTCACAATTTTACTGCTGGAAGGATACGGATCACTTTACCATTTAGTAAACTGAAACACAAAGGAATGTTTATATGTCCAGCTTTACATACCTAGTTAGTAACACATTGAAAACTGGAAGACAAGCTTTTTAAATTTTCGGCCCAGTATCCTTTCCATGTAATGCTGCTGTACCTACCTTCCCTCTGGAACATTTTCAACAGAAAAAGAAGATTGGCCTAGTGCAGTGAGACCAAGTTTCAAAGAAAATTACTGTGACTCTTGGCCAAGGTCCTAAACTTAAGTTTGCAGAATGGGATAACACTTAATTTGTAATCAACAAAGCTTGACTTCTAATGAAGTTTTCATCATTAGGCAATGTTTCACACTGTTTTTGAGCCCTGCAGTTACTGGACCATGCACTGCCAAATCACATTTGCTATTGTTTTATTCATTTTACGAAGTGCTGAGCACCCAGGCATGCTCCCACATGTATTCCCATTCCCATTCTGTTCTGAACACATCCTAACTTCGTATATGCTATTATTTTGTTCTTACAAGCTTATGACTACAATCCTAGGTGTACTTTTCGTAATAAGTCACACTTCTTGCTTCAGAGAAAAAAAATTGTTCAAACACAACTATTGATTTGCATCTTGCAAATGGCATAATTATAAACTCTTTCCTAGAGAAAGCATCAAAAGAATAAAATTTTGCTAATATCTATATATTGTACACACAAAGCTTAGGCAAAATCTCAGAAATAGCTCACTGATATTTTCTGATATTTGTTGGTCATCCTCTTCTGAAATGAGAGTCTGCACACAACAGGAAAATAATATTATTATATATTTCTAAATCAGCCTCCCATAAATATGGATGGCTTTCTAATATATGAGACTGGTTGCTTCTTAGTCTTTTGGCTAAGAGCAAATATAGTATCTAATGTATGAGAATAAAGTTGATTTCTTTATGCTTTAATTAAAAATAATTAATGTCTGAAATCCAGTTGTCCTTTTGCTCTTGATCTTAGCTTTTCAGCTTCTAATCACTTTTTCTAAGCTAACTACTGCTTTACTTTACCAATTTTGCGTCAGGTAAAGCTCATTCAACCTTCTCCTCTTCTTTATTTTTGTATCTAGTTACACAGTCAGAAGAACAGACATAGTTCAAAAGAAAAATATTGAGTCCAATATTCCAATCGCTTAAACCTTCTGGAAAATAAATGATTTCCTGTGCTCTTTGTAACCATGAGTATGTGGCCTTTTACATGAAGGTGAAGGGTGAAAATTTACAAGTCACAGTCTTGACAGCCGTGAAGCTAATGAAGGCAAACATCCATGCTGATGTAAGCTGGTCAGCATGGTATTTTACTATAGAAAAGTTCCAAGTCATTATTAAATCTCAAATGTTATAGCTGGAGACTTAATAGCCTCACCCCAAGCCATTATTATTTATTTGCTTAAACACCGTTTGCTAGAATTCCCTCTGCTGTGAAAATAAATTGCTGATTAGCCAAATGGGACTTAAGCCTCCCTTCACTGGTCTAGTAAATAGGGTTCCCAAGCTATGTGCCACTCACTGCCTCAAGTACTTTTGAGCGCAATTTCTTTCACAGGAAGCATCACCTCTCTACAGCCCTATACCAAGAAATCAAGATGATGAAAGGCTGAGCCATTAATTTGTAACTCTTTCATAATTGGGGTCACATTCAAGAATGAGAAAATACTTGGCAAAGAAAAATAAACCAGCTTTCAACATACCCTGTTCTTTGCAGCACATGCTGTCTATTCCCAGATTAAGATGAATAAATACTCTTTTCATGAAGATCATACACAGCCTAAAGCAGATTTAAAAGCATTTCTTGCCCTTCTTCACCTCACTATCCCCTGCCACCACCACAACTGTGTAAAATTCTGAAAGACTGCAATTTGGGCCCTTATGAAAAAACATTTCACATGATGAAATTTACTAAATTTCTAGCTCCTGTTCAGTTTCCATATGGACAAAAATAACTGCCTGGAAGGCCCACAAATTTGGAAGTCAACATTTAGAAATTTCTTAGAAAGAGAGGTGGATGATGGAAGAAAGTGAAAACATTGCTGGCATTTCATCTCTTGTCTTCGTGGCAAAAAGAGAATAGTTTCTGAATCAGCGGTAGAGGTGGAGGAAGCCGAGCACGAAATTTCTTGTGCATCTGATTCACCTGTGGAGTCAAAACATTGAGTACAGCTGATAACAAGAAGCACAAGAAGAGAAGGGACACATGGTTCCAAACTAAGAATGTTACCTCCGGTTTCTGGTAAGAAGAGAATTGCAAGATATTTTTTGGCACAAAATCAGAACACAGTTTGAATGCAAAGTAAAAATGTTCAAAAGAAAGATGCTTTAGGCTTTACCTAGGAAACTCTTCACAGGTAAGCATATGTTTGTAGTTAACGTTATCTGTCCAAACAAGAGAGCCATGTTTCATCAAACAAGTGTCTGTTCTGATGACCCAGGTACTAAGCTAGCAGGGAACATCTTTGCTGAAAACAGGGGGAGAAAGCCTTACACCTGCTTAGAAAATATATTCTCCTATGGATGGAAAGGAAAAGAATATGACAAGAAGAAAAGTGTAATTACTGAGCCTCTGACTATCACTACAAATACTCTCTTCCCCTCTTTGCTTCTCTTGGTTTCTCACTGCCCCTCTGTGTTTTTAGACTTTGTCATCTCTTTGAACTTTTGATGAATATTCATGTCTCCGTAGTGATGTGGATGTACTATCATTAAGAACAGACTGAAGTACTTAATATAGCCGCTTCTGATAAAGGAAACAGTTGGGTAGCAAGTCACCCATGTTAATGAGGGACATTTTACTATGACTAGCTAATGAGTAAAACTGTAGGGTCTAGACCTACAGAGAAAATTCGATTGCCTTATCACAACATCAACATTCCCTAAATGTATTTGGGAGATACCACCAAGTAACAATTCTTCTAACCCATTTGTCAGCTAATCAGTCACATTTACAGATCAAATATTTATTGAGCTGTGTTTTATCCTAGGCACAAGGTAAAAGAGGAAAAAGCAGACATAAAAACCTTATACCTGGGCCGGGCGTGGTGGCTCATGCCTGTAATCCGAGCACTTTGGGAGGCCAAGGCGGGCGGATCATGAAGTCAGGAGATCGAGACCATCCTGGCTAACATAGTGAAACCCCCATCTCTACTAAAAATACAAAAAAAAAAAAAAATTAGCCAGGCGTGGTGGCAGGCACCTGTAGTCCCAGCTACTTGGGAGGCTGAGGCAGCAGAATGGCGTGAACCTGGGAGGCGGAGCTTGCAGTGAGCCAAGATTGCACCACTGCACTCCAGCCTGGGCAACAGAGTGAGACTCCATTAAAAAAAAAAAAAAAAAAAAAAAACACCTTATACATAAAACTTAACTAGGGCAGATGCTTTCTGCAGATCATCTGCAGCTACTATGGAAGCTTCTCTTCACAGCCTCTTAAAACATCAGCCACTCAAGCAGCATTACCAACCAGGTAAGGTTGACGGGATGAGTAAGGGGTGAAATTCAACTTGTACTCTGCTCTCCAAAATCTGCCCTACTCAGAGGAGACATCTTTTAAAAAGTCACACAAAGGCAGCACCAGAAGCCACAGCCCTGTTTTAAAGCAGAGGGTCCCCTTCCACATGAATTATTGCACCTTTCCTTCCCTGGGTGTTTCCCAGTAATGCAGAGGCCATACCCACTTGTCAGACCTCAGCCATGGACCTACAAGCTAGAGCTGAAGTAAATAATGTAACTTGGAGCAGAAAACAAAAATCTATATACTAGTGGGACCATAACAGCACAGCCGATCTCAGATTCCTTAGAGGTTTTGACTTAAACCACATAGTTAGTTGTCATTTTATTTTAAAGTTCCAGTCCAGCTTTTCTGAGTTAGTAAGCACCCTGAAGTCCAGAGTCCTTTGTCCAGAGTACATCCACTTTTATCATACAAATTTCTCACATAATAAGGAAGGCAAGAGCCTTTCTCCAACTGACTTACTACGTTCCTATACTTGTTATTAGTAAATATGCAAAAAAACAAAACATGAAAAAGGGCTTTGAAGGAAGACAGGTTTGAGTGAATTATTTGCTGATAGAGATATACAATTTCATTCATACAGTTGATTTGCTGCTAGCAAGTTTCTCAGATTATAGGAAATGGAAACGGCATGTTTTTGTTGTGTGTCTGCTGCCTCTGTTGCAAAGATAAACCCTTAATTGGCAAGCCTTTGACATCTAATGGCATTTCATGTTATGGTCTTATAGAAATAATCTGTCTGGGCTTCGTGACAAAGTTGTTTTGTCATAATGGAGGAAAAGCTGTGATAATGCATGCGTTCTTGTTTGGTACTAAAAATTTACACTAGCTTTAGTCAAAACAAATTTGGATTCTATTACTTGAAAATGTACTTTTTATTCCTTTGATTATAAAAAATTTGGGTTAAAAGCTTATAAAAGCTAATTTTATATGAAGTTCTCTAGCAGGTTATTTATAATGTGATCCTTCCATGAATTATTTGAAATCTGTTTAGCCCGCAAAGATAGCCCATCCAAAAAAAGTCAGAGTATTTTGTATTTTAACTCAAGTCCTAGATTGCCTCTCACTGCCCATGATTCAAGAGCAACTAGAAACTATAGCCAAATCCTGTTTTTATCTATGATTAAAGACTGGTTTCAAATAGACAAGCAAGCAGCAGTCAACATATGCATTAAATGGTGCCTAATAATCGTTAATCTTTCTGACTGCCTCATCAAATAAATTAGCTGTGTCATTTTTTCAACACAATTTTTCCTCACTGCCATGATAGGCTTCAAGTTATGTCATATGAAATAGTTCTTTTTGAAATAAATCAAAAACCATGCAAAAAAAAAAACCCTTTGTCTTTAATACAAGGAAGAGAATCCTGAGAAGGATATAAACTAATGGCCTAGGTCAAAGCCAAATGTATTCATATTAGATAGCCTCCAGAGAAGCTCCCTCAAAGGTAAGACCTGCTATAGTTTGAACATTTGTCCCCTCCAAAATTCATGTGAAATTTAATCACCAATGTACCAGTATTGAGAGGTGAAGCCTTTAAGAGGTGATTGGATCATGAGGGTTCTGCCTTCATCAATGGATTAATCCAATAATGAATTAATGGGCTAATGGTTTAATGGTTTATCATGGGAATGGGACTGGTGGCTTTAAAAGCAGAGCAAGAGGCCTGATCTAGCATGCTCAGCCCCCTCACCATGTGATGTCCCACACTACCTCAGGACTCTGCAGAGAATCCCCACCAGCAAGAATGGTCTTACCAGTTGCATCCACTTGACCTTGGACTTTCAAGCCTCCAGAACTGTAAGGAAACAAATTTCATGTCTTACAAATTACCCAGTTTTAGGTATTCCGTTATAAGTAACATAAAACAGACTAAGACAGACCCCTTCCTCATAAACCAATAGAAATACATCTCACAACTCTTCTTCAACCCCAACCTAAGTTCCAAGGAGCAACAAAGTGGAGAAAAGCCTAGACCCAAATTCCTGAAATGCCTGATTCCTCTTCCTCAGCAGACTATATGTCTCTGGTCCTTTAAGATGTGTCTGATATATTTTCTTCTCTCAAACCCTTTATCTGACTCCAAACATCTCCTTCAGCCTGACTTAGGTATGGCTCCATCTTAGCACTTATCACAGTAACATAAATATCTGTTAATATGTCTTTCATTCCACGACAATATTAGTTTCTTGAGGTCAACAACTGTGTATCTCTGTATTCCTAGTACCAGCCATGATACTTGGAACATAATAAATGCTCAGTAAAAATTTGCTGAATGTAAGAACCAGGAACATAAAGATGAAGCAGTACATTTCCTCCAGCAAATGACTGCTTGGGAATATCTGTTTTACCCATTAACTCCCTGAACAACTAGATGGATCACTACAAAAGGTGGGTTCTTTTCAAAGTTTCAATCATTTTGAACAACTCCCATAGTTTAGTCATCTCCATTTCAAGGATGATCATATGTAAATGTGGTGAGCTTTTTTATTAATAGTTCATTCAACACCTCTCACGTGTCTGGCCAGTCCAGAAGAGCCAATATGGTATAGAATGCTACCTGTAGGTTTCCTTACGGAAGAAGCTAGCAGCAGGAATAGTTACCAATTAACTACTTAACTGTGAATTTCTCCAATTTTCCAAATCAATTTCTTTTTATCTCAGCCTCTAACCTCTTTATGTCCTAAGAAGCTTGCTTATTTGACACACAGGCAGAATTGTCATTTCTACTCCTCATTTACTCATGTTAGCTGAAAGAATAACATGTTTCAAAAATATTGTTCTCCACTATTTGCTTTCATTTAACCAAATGTAGCTTTACTTTGTTAAGCTCTTGAATAAGTTTGCAATTCCATTTCTGAGCACAAATCTACATTCATGAAAATGAATAGTCTTTATGCTCCTGAAAATTACATTCTGTTACTTTTTTAATGGAAAAGGATGCATATATTGCCTTTGACTAGGCTGCCTTTGTGTAGATTTATGAAAAATTAGCAATTCTATATGATTGGATCTTGATATATCTGTCTTATAAACCCATGAAGTTCTTTGATCTCCAGTTTGAATCACTAAGGTAAGCTTTTCATGAGCTGAAACAGCAGGCTTCATTTCTCCATCTGCTGCACAGCACTCCAGAGATGCCACAGGCCTAAGGAAAGTAAAAAACAAGAATATAAAGAAAATTTCTCCGTTTTTTTTTTAAGTGCCTGGAGCAAATCAAACCCAAGAGTCTAGCTGCTAAGGGAATAGGCAAAATCTATCAGCATTTCCAAGGGAAAAGATGGGTCAGTTACCCAAACACAGGAAAATGCCCTCATGCAAAAGAGAAGATAAAATAAAGTACAAAGAAATTCTAAATTGCTGTAATGTTAAAAACTTAAAATAATAAGTTAATCACTAGGAAGACTTCTTTTTAAGGGGTCTCTCTCCCTTACTTTGCTATAAAAATCACACTTTATGAAAGTGGAACAAGAAAATATGCCCCCAAACACTGAGAAAACATTATTTTCAATTTCATGAATGTGAACACACTACTTGATATTTGGTTCCTCGACCAGGTCATTAGCCATGCAAAGAAATGAAATCCTGGATGTCATATGCCCAAATTAAACAGAAATCAGCCTACTGACTCCTTAACCAAGGTTGACAAGCTCTCCAGAAGGAAGGCTGTGTCCATTAAAACTGCCAACTGTCTATTATTATCTCTTCTCTGTGTTATTATTCTATTCTTAGCTGGCAGAGTTACTCTATCCACATGAAAGCATCAGTCAAACTTCTGATTGACCACAAGAGCATTGATTAATATGGACATGAGAGGAGTCCTGCTAAAACTGCAGGATCTTCCTCCAAACAGCTCAGCCACACAAAGCCAAACTTGCTACTGTTGTAACCAGAATACACAGCTTGTTATTTTTAATTATATCCCATCCATAGTTAGGTCTTTTCTTTAGAACAGTGGATTATTATTCAGCAACATTTGAATGACAGGGGTGTGCTTACTATCCAGCAGGGACTCAAGAGGATGCCTCCTATGTTAGATTTGCTCATCAATTCACGGTAGCTAAAATGAAAGTCAAAGCACACAGTGGGTATTAAGATCTTAATTTTAGTCAAACAGCATTACCCCTGCAACACAATACATCACAAATTTAAATATATGGATCCTAAGACCTACATTTCAAAGCCTACGGACTCGTAAGAAATTTTACAATTCAAAGTGAATTCTAAATGCTTTTGACATGTTGGTGGACATTTGGAGAGCTTTTGTGCCTCTGGTTTTTGTTTGTTTTTAATGTTAGTATTGTGTAGATTCAAATCAGTGGTTCCCAAACCAGGGGTCAATTTTATCCCCCAGGGGATTTGACAGTGTCTAGAGAGATTTTTAGTTGTTATTAATGTAAATGGATGGAGGAGAGAGGTGCCACTGAATCAACCCCTAGTGACCAGGAATGCTGCTAAACATCCTCCAACACACAGGACGGCCCTCACAACAAAGAAATATCTGGTTCAACATGTCAATAGTGCCATGCATGGGTGAGAAAAACAGGGTAAGAGGAAAATAGCAATAAGAAATTTTTATTTTTTTAAAGTTATTATTTTATACAATTAATGCATTACCTAACATTAAAAGTTAAATAGCACTAATAGAACCTCTCATGAAAAAAATAGCCATCCTCTGCCTGCTTTTTCCTGTCTTGAGTTTTCCTTCTCAAACATTACATTATTTCCTCTGGCTACCCTTTATTTCTGAAGTATATACTTATACCAAAAATTCTTGATTTAAGCAAGTTTAGATATTATTGTTATTGACACTTTATTTTGCAACGAGATGATTTAGCACTCTTTTAACATCTCACTTTTTCACTTTCTTCTCTAACTTTACCTTCATTTTTCCCTGTTTTCCATTTCTCTCTGGAAGATTTTTCTAACTTTATTTCCAACCCTTTTACTGAAGTTTAATTTCAGCTGCTTTTCTTTAATTTTATTCCCAAATGTTCTTCTTGATCTCTTTTCACTTATTATTCCTTTTTTTTATTATTAGCAACTTGTTTTTGTTTCAGGAATAAAATATCTCCTCACATTTCTTTAATGTTATAAGCTAGATCCTTTTGGAAATTTTCCTTTGCTCACTGCTTTGTTTCTATTTCCTTTGAGATCTGTTTTTGTTTGCTTTTGATAGTCAATCTGTCTAATATGAGGACATTTACTTAACAGTAATATTTTGCTGTCCATTTATGTTTAAAAGTTAGAAATTGAAAGGCTGTGCATGCATGGGTAGGGTTTGCCTACTAGGGATGTCACAGAGCTCAATCTAGTGGTAATTGGCCATACTGATGGTCATCCCAACTGCCAGATGGACTGCCAACTGCCAGTCCCATCCTGCCTATTCATCAGGATAGGCTATGCCCAAAACAAACAAACAAACAAACAAAAAAATTAGTGGTTCAACATACTGGGGCAGTGTGTTCACTACAAATCAAAGTGGCTCTTAAGGGCAGGTATACTTCTCATGGTAGCTCAGCCATCTAGGCTGCTTCCAGGTTGTAGTTCCTTCACACCAGAACACAGCTTCTATGGTCACCACAGAACAGTGACCATATCACTTTCCTTCACATCCCATTGGCCACAAACAGCTACATGACTTCATCTAACTGCAAGAGGGTGGGGGGGGACATTCGAATATTTAGCAGGGAGCCATTCCGCCACTCCATTGGCTTGCCTCACATCTTTACAAGGGATATATCTCTTTTTGTGTTTAGTTTTTTTTGTGTGTGTATGGGTACATAGTAAGTGTATATATGGGCTACATGAGATATTTTGATACAGGCACGCAATGGTAATAATCACACCAGGGTAAATGGGGTATCTATCACTTCAAGCATTTATCCTTTGTGTGACAAACAATCAAATTATAATCGTTATTTTTAAATGTACAATTAAATTGTCTTTGACTATACTCACCCTGTTCTGCTAGCAAATACTAGGTGTTACTCATTCTTTCTATTTTTTTTGTACCCATTAACCATCCTCACTTACCCCAATGCTTCTACTACCCTTCCCAGCCTCTGGTAACCATCTTTCTACTCTCTATCTCCACGAGTACAATTATTTTAATTTTTAGCTCCCACAAATAAGTGAGCATATGCAGTTTGTCTTTCTGTGCCTGGCTTATTTTACTTAACATAATGACCTCCAGTTCCATTCATGTTGTAACAAATGACAGAATCTCATTCTTTTTATGGCAGAATAATGTTTCATTGTGTATATGTACCACATTTTCTTTATCCATTCATCTGTTGCTGGACACTTAGGTTGATTCCAAGTCTTGACTATTGTGCATAGTACTGCAATAAACATGGGAGTGCAGATATCTCTTTGATATACAGATTTTCTTTCTTTTTGGTATATCGCTAGCAGTGAGATTGCTAGATCCTATGTAACTCTATTTTTAGTTTTCTGAGGAACATCCAAACTATTAGTGCACTAATTTACATTCCCACCAACAGTGTGCAAAGGTTGCCTTTTCTCCACGTCCTTGCCAGCATTTCTCATTACCTAACTTTTGGATATAAGCCATTTTAACTAGGGTGAGAGAACATCTTATTGCAGTTTTGATTTGCATTTCTCTGGTGATTAATGATGTTGGGCATTTTCTCATATACCTGTTTGTCATCAGTTTGTCTTCTTTTAAAAAGTGTCTATACAAATTTTTTGCCCATTTAAAAATCAGATTATCATATTTTTTTCCCCATAGAGTTGAGCTCTTGATACATTCTGGCTATTAATCCCTTGTCAGATGGTTAGTTTGCAAATATTTCCTCCCACTCTGTGGGCTCTCTCTTCACTTTGTTGATTGTTTCCTTTGCTATGCAGAAACTTTTTGACTTGATGTGATCCCATTTCTCCATTTTTGCTTTGGTCACCTGTGCTTTTGGGGTATTACTCAAGAAATCTTTGCCCAGTCTAGTGTTCTGGAGAGATTCTCCAATGTTTTGTTGTTTGTTTGTTTGTTTGTTTGTTTGTTTTGAGATGGAGTCTCACTCTGTCACCCAGGCTGGAGTGCAGTGGCGCCATCTCAGCTCACTGCAACCTCTGCCCCTCGGGTTCAAGCAATTCTTCTGCCTCAGCCTCCCGAGTAGCTGGGATAACAGGCACACACCACCACACCCGGCTAATTTTTTGTATTTTTAGTAGAGACGGGGTTTCGCCACATTGGACAGGCTGGTCTCGAACTCCTGACCTCAGGTGATCCACCTGCCTCGCCTCCCAAAGTGCTGGGGTTACAGGTGTGAGCCAACTGTGCCCAGCCAGTATTTTCTCTTAGTAGTTTCATAGTTTAAGGTCTTAGATTTAAGTCTTTAATTCATTTTAATTTGATTTTTGTATATGGTGAGAGATAGGAGTCCAGTTTCATTCTTTTGGATATGGATATCCAGTTTTCCCAGCACCATTTATTGAAAAGACTGTCCTTTTCCCCCCATATATGCTATTGGCACCTTTGTCAAAAATAAGTTCACTATAGATGTATGGATTTATCTCTGGGTTTTCTGTTCTGTTTCACTAATCTATATGTCTGCTTTTATGCTAGTACCATGCTGCTTTGGTTATTATAGCTCTGTAGTATTTCTTTTTTTTCTTCTTTTTTTTTTTTTTTTTGAGACAAAGTCTCCCTCTGTCGCCCAGGCTGGAGTGCAATGGCACGATCTTGGTTCACTGCAACCTCCCACTCCCAGGTTAAAGTGATTCTCCTGCCTCAGCCTCCTGAGTAGCTGGGACTACAGGCCCACACCACCACCCCTAGCTAATTTTTGTATTTTTAGCAGAAACGGGGTTGCACCATGTTGACCAGGCTGGTCTTAAATTCCTGACCTCAAGTGATCCACCCACCTCAGCCTCCCAAAGTGCTAGGATTACAGGGGTGAGCCACTACACTCTGCCATCTCTGCAGTATAATTTAAAGTCAGGTAATGCAATTCCTCCAGTTTTGTTCTTTTTACTTAGGATAGCTTTGGCTGTTCTAGGTCTTTTGTTTGTTCCTACAATTTTTTTTTGTAAGGATTTTTTTTTTCTATTTCTGTGAAGAATGTCATTGGTATTTTGATAGTGATTGCATTAAATCTGTAGATTGCTTAGGGTAGTATGGACATTTTGACAATATTGATTCTTCCAACCTATGAACATGAAATATTTTTCCATTTTTTTGTATCTTCTTCAATCTCTTGCATAAACGTTTTATAGTTTCATTGTAGAGATCTTTTACTTCTTTAAGTTAATTCCTAGGTATTTTATTTTGTTTGTAGCTATTGTAAATGGGATTACTTTCTTGATTTGTTTTTCAGATTGTTCACTGTTGGCATATAAAAATGTTACTGATTTCTGTATGTTGATTTTGCATCATGCAACTTTACTGAATTGGTTTACCAATTACAACAGTTTTTTTGTGGAATCTTTAGGTTTTTCCAAATATAAGATTATATAACCTCTAAGCCAGGATAATTTGACTTCTTCCTTTCCAGTTTTGTTGCTCTTTATGTCTTTCTCTTATCTGATTGCTCTAGCTAGGACTTCTAGTACTGTGTTGAATAACAGTGGTGAAAGTGGGCATATTTGTTGTGTTCCCAATCTTAGAGGAAAGACTTTCAGTTTTCCCTCATTCAGTATACTAGTTGTCGGTGTGTCATATATCGCTTCGATTTGTTGAAATATGTTCCTCCTACATCCAGATTTTTTTCTTTATGGTTTTTATCATGAAACGATGTTAAATTTTATCACCATAGAAGGTAATATATATTATAGATAATATAATCTTACAGTTTTCACTGTATCACATATATTTTGGTATGTTGTGTGTTCATCATTATTTGTTTCAAGAAATGTTTCAATTTCCTTTTTAATTTCTTCATTGACCCACTGGTCATTTAGGAGCATATTGTTTAATTTCCATGGTTGGTATAGTTTTCTAAATTTCTCTTGTTATTGATTTCTAGTTATATTCTACGTTGTCAGATAAAATGCTTGATATTCTATTTTTGAATGTTTTAAGACTTGTTTGTGACCTACCTTATGGTCTTTCCCTTATTATCCATGTGCTAAGGATAAGAATGTGTATTTTGTAGCCATTGGGTAAAATGTTCTGTAAATATCTATAGGTCCATTTGGTCTATAACACAGATTAAGTTTGATGTTTCCTTGTTGATTTTCTGTCTGGAAGATTTGTCAAATCCTGAAAGTGGGGTCTTGAAGTCTCCAGCCATTATTTTATTGGGGTAGAAATTTCTCTCTCTTTAGCTTTAACAATATTTGCTTTAAATATCTGGGTGCTAGTGTTAGGTGCATATATTTTTACAATTGTTATATCCTCTTGTTGAATTGACTCCTTTATCATAATATAGTGACTTTCTTTGTCTCTTCCTATAGTTTTTGTCTTGAAACCTATTCTGTCTCATATAAATGTAGCTACTCCCACTCTTTTTCAGTTTCTATTTATACAGGGTCTTTTCAATCCCTTTAGTTTCCATCTATGTGTATTTTTACAGGTGAAGTATGTTTCTTATAGGCAACAGATCACTGGATCTTGTTATTTAATTCATTCAGCCACTCTATGTCTTTTAATTGGAGAGTTTAGTTCATTTACATTCAATGTTATTATTACTCATTAAAGTTGATGAGTAAGGACTATTCATACCATTTTATTATTTGTTTTCTGGTTGCTTTGTGATTTTCTCTTTCGTCTTGTCTTCCTTCTGGTCTTGCTTTTATTGAAGGTGATTTTCTCTAGTGGTGTGAATTAATTTCTTGCTTTTTATTTATTGTATATCTGGTGTATGGTTTTTTAATATGGGGTTACTATGAGGTTTGCAATTGCTATCTTATAACCCATGCTTTTAAGCTGATAACAACAACACTGTTTGCATAAACAAACAAACAAGCAAAGAGAAACCCAATAAAAACGTAACTTTACTTAATAAAAACCTTAACTTCCTTCCCCAGCTTTTTAACATTTTTTTCTGCTTATGTCTTATTGTACTATGTCTTGAAAAGTTGTTGTAGTCTTATTTTTTATTGTTTCATTGTTTAGTCTTTCTACTTAAGAGTAGTTTACACACCATAGTTACAGTCTTATAAATATTCTGTTTTTCTGTGCACTGTTAGCAGCTAGTTTTCTACCTTCAGATGGTATTTTACTGCTTTTTAATGTCCTCCTTTTCTTTCTGATGGAAGTACTTCCTTTAGCATTTCTAACAGGACAGGTCTGGTGTTGAAGAAATCCCTCAGCTTTTGTCTAAGAAAGTCTTTACTTCTCCTTCATGTTTAAAGGATATTTCAATGAGATAAACTACTCTAGGGTAAAAGGTTTTTTTTTTTTCCTTCAGCACTTTAAATATGTCATACCACTCTCTCCTGGCTAATAAGGTTTCTATTGAAAAATCTGCTTTTGCTACTTTTAGAATCCTTTCTTTATCCTTGGCCTTTGGGAGATTGGTTATTAAATGCCTTGAGGTAGTCTTTTGGTTAAAACTGCTTAGTGTTTCATCAACTTCTTGTAGTTACATATTGATAACTTTCTCTAGGTTTGGGAAGTTCTCTGCCCCTCCACACCTGTGGGCATTTCTCGTTAGATGGAGACGAGAGACTGAGAAAAGAAATAAGACACAAAGACAAAGTATAGAGAAAGAACAGTGGGCCCAGGGGACTGGCACACTCAGCATGCGAGGACCTGCACCGGCACTGGTCTCTGAGTTCCCTCAGTATTTGTTGACTACTATTTTCACTATCTCAGCACGGGGAGTGCAGCAGGAGAACAGAGTGATGGTGGGAAGAAGGTCAGCAGGAAAACATGGGCAAAGGAATCTGCGTCATAAATAAGTTCAAGGGAAGGTACTGTGCCCGATTATGCATGTAGGCTAGATTTACGTTTCTCTTTACCCAAACATCTCAGTGTAGCAAAGAGTAAGAGAGCACTATCACCACTAGTATATCTCGCCTCCAGCCACAGGGTGGTTTTCTCCTATCTCAGAATAGAATGAATGGTCGCCTTTACACCAGACATTCCATTCCCAAGGATATGCAGGAAACAGAGGCCTTCCTCTTATCTCAACTACAAAGAGGCCTTCCTCTTTTACTAATCCTCCTCAGCACAGACCCTTTACAGGTGTCGGGCTGGGGGACGGTAAGGTCTTTCCCTTCCCACGAGGCCATATCTCTGGCTATCTCAGTGGGGAGAAACCTTGGACAATACCCAGGCTTTCTCAGGCAGAGGTCCCTGCGGCTTTCCACCACGCATCGTGTCCCTGGTTAATGAAGAATGGAGAATGGCAATGACTTCTACCAAGCACACTGCCTGCAAACATATTGTTAACAAGGCATATCCTGCATAGCCCTAAATCCCTTAAACCTTGATTCAATACAGCACATGTTTCTGTGAGCACAGGGTTGGGGCTAAAGTTACAGGTTAACAGCATCTCAAAGCAGAACAATTTTTCTTAGTACAGATCAAAATGTAGTTTCTTATGTCTTCCTTTTTCGACATAGACACAGTAACAGTCTGATCTCTCTTCCTTTCCCCCACAAAACTTTCCACCTCTATCTCTTTCTCTATGTCCTTTTTAAGGCCAATAATTCTTAGATTTTCCCTTTTGAGACTATTTTCTAGAACTTGTAGGCATACTTCATTGTTTGTTTGGGTTTTTTTGTCTCCACTGACTGTATTTTCGAATAGCTTGTCTTCAAGCTCCCTAATTCTTTCTTCTGCTTGATCAATTTTGCTATTCAAAGACTCTGATGCACTCTTTTATATGTGAGTTGCATTTTTCAACTCCAGAATTTCTGCTTGATTCTTCTTATTTTAATATGTTTATTAAGTTTATCTAATAGAATTTTGAACTCCTTCTCTGTAGTATCTTGAACTTGAGTTTCCTCAAAACAGCTATTTTGAATTCTCTTTCTGAAAGATGATATATATCTCTGTTTCTCCAGGATTGGTCCCTGGTGCCTTATTTAGTTCATTTGTTGAGGTCATATTTTCCTGGATGGTCTTGATGCTTGTGAATGTTTGTCTGTGTCTGGGTATTGAAGAATTAGATATTTTTTTGTAGTCTTCGCAGTCTGGGATTGTTTGTACCTGTCATTCCTGGGAAGGCTTTCCAGGCATTTGTAAGGACTTGGGCATTGTTATCTAAGCCATATCTGCATTAGGGGACACCCCAAGCCCTGTAACACTGTGGTTCTTACAGACTTATAGAGGTGCCACTTTGATGGTCTTGGATAATATCTGGAAGAATTAATTCTGTGGACTACTAGGCAGAGACTCTTTTCTTCTTCCCTTACTTTCTCCCAAAAAAACAGAGTCTCTCTGTAGTGAGCTACTTGAAGCTGGGAGTGAGGTGACAAAAGCACTCCTGTGACCATCACCACTGAGATAGTGCTGGGTCACACTTGAATCCAGCACAGCACTGGGTCTCATCCAAATCTGCTGTAACCACTATGTGGCTATTGCCTATGTCTGCTCAAGGCTCTGGTCCTCTATAATCAGCAAGTGGCAAAGCCAACCAGGCTTGTGTTCTTCCCTTCAGGATGGTGAGTTCTCCCAGGCCCCAGGGAGGTCTAGAGGTGCTGTCCAGGAGCCAGGGACTGGAGTCAAATACCTTAGAAGTCTACCTGGTGTTCTATTGTAATGTGGCTGAGCTGGCATTCAAACCATGAGACATAGTTTTTCCCACTTGTCCCTCCCCTTTCCACAGGCAGAGGCTCTTCATTTTTAGCCACCACTACCCCAGGCCCACAGGGAATACTGCTGGGCTACCAATGATGTTCCCTTAAGGCCCAAGGGCTTTTCAACCAGTTTTGGTAAATGCTGCCAGGCCTGGGATTCACTCTTCAGGGCAGTGGATTTCCCTCTGGCCCAGGGCAGGTCCAAAAATGTCATCCAATAGCCAAGTCCTGGAATCAGAGGTCCTAAGAACCCACTCAGTGCTCTACCCACCATGGCTGAGCTGGTATCTAATGTGCAATTAAAAGCGCCCTTTACTTTTCCCTCCAGTTTTCTCAAGCAGAAGGAGTCTTTCCCCATAACCACGACACCTGGGAATGTGCTGATTCTCACCTGAAGCCTGCTAGTCTCAGAGTCTTACCCAAGGCCCATGGCATGCTACCTGGCTATCACTGCTGGTTATTCAGGGCCCAAGAGCTCTTTATTTGGCAGGTGATGAATGCTGCCAGGACTGGGTCCTTCTCTTCAAGGGAGTGGGTTCCTTTCTCACACAGGGTGTATCTATAAATATCATCTGGGAGCTAGGGCCTGTAAAGGGGGTCTCATGGCTCTAACCTGTGCCTTATCCTCCTGTTGCTGAGCTGGTACTCAAGATGCAATACAAAGTCCTCTTTAGTCTTCCCTTTTCTATTCCTCAAGTGGAAGGAAGGGGTATCTTTTGAAGCCACAAGCCATACAGCCTGGGTTTGGGGAAGGCATGGTGCGAGTCTGTTAGCCACCCAGGCTGGTCTCTCAGTAGGTCCTATATCCCCCAAATCCACTGGCTCTCAGCCCAGTTCATCACAAGAACTTGCCTAGGAGTTGCAGTCTTTGTGGCCTAGACTACCTTTCAAGTTTATTTAGGGCCCCAGAGCCCTTTAGCCCATGGTGGTGAGGCTTGCCAGAACTCAAGTTCCAGCCACTGGGATGGGCAATTTTCCCTCTGGCTAGGGCTAGTTTAAATTCTCCCACACTGTATGGGCATAAGCTGAGTTCAGCCTGGTTTTGCTTTTTGTTGTAACAGGGCAGCACTAAGTTTAATGAAAATCTTATTATCATTGTGCTCTCCTTCTCCCAAGCACACAGATTCTCTATGCCACATGTCCACTGCCAAGGAATGAGGAAGGGGTGGTGCTGGTGATTCAAGACTGTCTTTCCTACTGTCTTCTAGTGCCTCTTTAAGCTATATGAAGTTAAAACCAGGTACTGTGAGTGCTTACCTGATTTTTAGTTCTCATGAAGTTGCTTTTTCTGTGTGTAGATAGTTGTTAAATTGGTGTTCTTGCAGAGAGGACAATTAGTGGAGACTTTTATTTGGCCCTCTTGCTCAATCCCCAAAAGGGATGTATCTTTAAAAAGGAGAAAACTGCAAAAATGGGGTTTTGAATATTTGGAGAGTTTAGAATATTCAACAGGAACATATCTACCTTTCCTCCCATTCAAATATGTCCCATCTTGACATATTCTTCCTTTTGGCTTCTTTAGGGTTAGACTTGCTCAAAGAGAGAAGAAAAGGGGGAAAAATGCATTTCTGTTTCCTTTTGTCTTTTTTTTTTTTTTTTTTAATTTATTTTTTTATTGATAATTCTTGGGTGTTTCTCACAGAGGGGGATTTGGCAGGGTCTTGGGACAATAGTGGAGGGAAGGTCAGCAGATAAACAAGTGAACAAAGGTCTCTGGTTTTCCTAGGCAGAGGACCCTGCGGCCTTCCGCAGTGTTTGTGTCCCTGATTACTTGAGATTAGGGATTGGTGATGACTCTTAACGAGCATGCTGCCTTCAAGCATCTGTTTAACAAAGCACATCTTGCACCGCCCTTAATCCATTTAACCCTGAGTGGACACAGCACATGTTTCAGAGAGCACAGGGTTGGGGGTAAGGTCACAGATCAACAGGATCCCAAGGCAGAGGAATTTTTCTTAGTGCAGAACAAAATGAAAAGCCTCCTGTGTCCACTTCTTTCTACACAGACACGGCAACCATCCGATTTCTCAATCTTTTCCCCACCTTTCCCGCCTTTCCATTCCACAAAGCCGCCATTGTCATCCTGGCCCATTCTCAATGAGCTGTTGGGCACACCTCCCAGACGGGGTGGTGGCCGGGCAGAGGGGCTCCTCACTTCCCAGTAGGGGCGGCCGGGCAGAGGCGCCCCTCACCTCCCGGACGGGGCGGCTGGCCGGGCAGGGGGGCTGACCCCCCCCACCTCCCTCCCGGACGGGGCGGCTGGCCGGGCAGAGGGGCTCCTCACTTCCCAGTAGGGGCAGCCGGGCAGAGGCGCCCCTCATCTCCCGGACGGGGCGGCTGGCCGGGCGGGGGGCCGACCCCCCCACCTCCCTCCCGGACGGGGCGGCTGGCCTGGCAGAGGGGCTCCTCACTTCCCAGTAGGGGCGGCCGGGCAGAGGCGCCCCTCACCTCCCGGACAGGGCGGCTGGCTGGGCGGGGGGGCTGACCCCCCCCACACCTCCCTCCCGGACGGGGCGGCTGGCCGGGCGGGGGGCTGACCCCCCCACCTCCCTCCCGGACGGGGCGGCTGGCCGGGCAGAGGGGCTCCTCACTTCCCAGTAGGGGCGGCCGGGCAGAGGCACCCCTCACCTCCTGGACGGGGCGGCTGGCCGGGCGGAGAGCTGACCCCCCCACCTCCCTCCCGGACGGGGCGGCTGGCCGGGCAGAGGAGCTCCTCACTTCCCAGTAGGGGCGGCTGGGCAGAGGCGCCCCTCACCTCCCAGACGGGGCGGCTGGCCGGGCGGAGGGCTGACCCCCCCACCTCCCTCCCGGACGGGGCGGCTGGCCAGGCGGGGGGCTGACCCCCCTACCTCCCTCCCGGACGGGGCGGCTGGCCGGGTGGGGGGGCTGACCCCCCCATCTCCCTCCCGGACGGGGTGGCTGGCCGGGCTGAGGGGCTCCTCACTTCCCAGTAGGGGCGGCCGGGCAGAGGCGCCCCTCACCTCCCGGACGGGGCGGCTGGCCGGACGGGGGGCTGACCCCCCCACCTCCCTCCCGGACGGCACGGCTGGCCAGGCGGGGGGCTGACCCCCCCACCTCCCTCCCGGATGGCACGGCTGGCCGGGCGGGGGGGCTGACCCCCCACCTCCCTCCCGGATGGGGCGGCTGGCCGGGCGGGGGGCTGACCCCCCCCCACCTCCCTCCCGGACGGGGTGGCTGCCGGGCGGAGACGCTCCTCACTTCCCAGATGGGGTGGCTGCCGGGCGGAGAGGCTCCTCACTTCTCAGACGGGGCAGCTGCCGGGCGGAGGGGCTCCTCACTTCTCAGACGGGGTGGTTGCCAGGCAGAGGGTCTCCTCACTTCTCAGACGGGGCGGCCGGGCAGAGACGCTCCTCACCTCCCAGACGGGGTCTCGGCCGGGCAGAGGCGCTCCTCACATCCCAGATGGGGCGGCGGGGCAGAGGCGCTCCGATGGTGGGACTTCTCAGCCTCCATAGTTGCATCTCCCTTTTGTCTTTATTTGAATCTCCATGCATGGAATTCTCCTTAGAAATTTAAATCAACACAGAAATGTGGTTAATATAACTGTAGCCATCAGATGGATTGTTAAGGAAAGGGAAATACTGTTTTTAAGTTTTCACACATACTTTTTAAAACTTCAATCACTACATTTACAAAATTCACTACCTTTAAGATGAAGGCATAGATGTGTAGTCCAGTTATGTGTTTCTTCTTAACAAACCACCCCACACCAAACTTAGTGTCCTAAACAATAATATTTATACAGTGCTTAGAGACCTAAGCAGGGCCAGGAATTTAGAAAGAATAAAGCTGGTCTCTGTTCCATGATGTCTGGGACTTTGTCTGGGAAGCCTTCAACCCTGAAAAAGTGACTAAACAGTTGGGGTCTAAGATCATATGAAAGTTCATTCACTCCCATATCTGGAAGTTAATGCTGGCTATTGCTTGCAACTGGACATCCTACATGTGGCATCTCCACATATCTGTATGCACTTCCTCGCAGCCTGATTCCAAGAACAAACATTCCAGGAGAATACAACAGAAGAGTGTTATATTTTTATGACCTACTTTCAGAGTCATCAAGCCTCACTTCCATCATATTCTACTGGTTGAGGCAGTCACAAAGGCCAACCCACCTTCAAAGGCAGGGGACATAAAATCCATCTCTTGATAGGGAAATGCCAAGGTTCTAGAAAACTATATAAGATGAGAGATATTGCCTAAGATAGAGAAACAAGAGTTTACCATTATAGTCCACAGGAGCTGTGGACTATACACAGGAACTTTACTGATAAACAGACTTCATTATCATTTTGCAGCCTCATCATGTCCCGCAAAATTGAATATCTGAAGTTTTAGCTGTCTAAGAATCAAAATTCAGCAATTCAGGAAAAATGCAAAGCCAAAAATCACAAAAAGTGACTACATTATGAATTATTCAAAAGGTAGTAATGTTATCCATCATCTTCTCACTCTAGGAGTGCCTTGTGGGGAGGGTTAAAGGAGAGACAAATCTGTATGTACCTAAAGTATAGATAATGTTCAAAGGATGATCTACTTTTCCATTTTCTCCCTTATCTAAAATTCAGTATAACATGATGAAGAACAGGATTTCACAAACAGATCCCTGAGCTGAAGTTTAGTTGCTAAATTCATTCATTAAATTAACTAAAAAAATTTGAGTTTCTATAACATAGTCAGAAATACAACAGAAACAAGATACTTCCTCTATGTACAAGAAGCTTTTACTCTAACAAGTAAGCTAGCAACACATTGTAATAAATGCTAGGTGGGTATACATGGGGACTCTTCAGGGCGGGTATTTAGACAGATGTTCACAGCCAATATCCATTCTGAATGGACTGTTCTCTGTTTTGATTGCTTAGTGCCAATGCCACTGCAAGTGATTAATATTTTCAGTAGCATCTCTGATGCTATTATAACATGAGTGTAACTGAGTGTCCAGCCTGCATGGGGAACTGCAAGTAATACACCAGAGGTGTACCATAGAATGAAAAGTAGGGAGTGGCAATGGAGGAGGCTGGAGAAATAAACTCTGGGTCTTCTATGTTATTCTGGGGTAAATGAAGGAACTATTGAAGGGGTTTTATTCAAGAGATGAAGCCTATTGGATTGGTCTTTTGAAAATATTATTTTAGCTGGTCAGTGAAAGACTGAAGGGAGCAAGGTGTTAAGTAGATAGTAGGAGGCAATTTCCAGAATCCAGGGAAAAGAAAAGCAAAGTTAAAGGCAGTAAGAATGGAGGAAAGTAGACAAATATTAAGAAGGTAGAATTTGAAGGATTTTGTGATTATTAGATGTCAGTGACGCAGAGGGATTGAGGTGGAGTTTTCAAGGATGACCTTTAGATTTCTGGTGTGGCAACTGGGAGGATGGCTACTACCAAAGACACAACCCTGTCTAATCTTTGACCACGGGCCACTGCAAGGCAGAAAAACAGCAATGGCAGCTCAGTTCCAGCTAAGGATGGTGCTCAAGTCTAGCTTGACAGGGAAGAGAAACCAAGAGGCTTAGGCAGATGGACAGGAGATTATTTTCTCTCTCCCTTCATCTCCTCCACTAAAGATACCTGTAAAGACCTGGAGATTATAATTATCATAAGAGCAGTTGGATGAAGGACATGGAGATTTCTTTAGGGGACTAGTATAAGTGGGAGAAAAATATGGCGAAATTGAGTCCAGGTGGAAATCTGAAACTCACCAGGAAGAACAGAAGTTGGTCCTGAGCATTATATCCTCCTCCAAGAAATACTTTACTACTAGCCCTTCTATACCAAGAAAAGGTACCCAATGGAGCAAGATTTCAAGGGAACCAATAAGCTAGCATGGCCAAGAAATGATTTTTTTTTTATACCCCTATTCCTTTCAGCAATTGAAATCCCCCCGAAATTAAAAATCTTCAGGTGGGGTTGTGAAAATTCAACCATAATAGAATCTTCAAAGAAGGGCAAGCATAAAAGTATTGTCTCAAGTCTTGGAGAAATATCAATACTGAGGTTTCTACATGGTGGTTTCTTGCCCAGGAATTGCTTCCTCTGGGTCATCTTCCATTTCTGGAGCTCTCCAAGGTGCACTTATTTATCATGAAATAGCAACTGATGTCCTCTCTAATTCTGCAAATTTCCCTTAAAATTATATAATGTGTAGGTCCTGCATCTTAAGTAGTTATTAGTTACATTTCACTTCCAAATCTCTTTATTTAATGTCTAAATAATCTTCCTAGAGATTTTGTCATGTTTAGAAGAGGTCATTCTGAGGCATTGTTTCAGTCTCTCCAAAAGTCATTCGTTGGGTCACTTTAAATAACCTATAGAGATTTTGTTTAACTTTTTCCTTTTAGTAGTTTTTAGGCTACCACTATTAGAATTGATTAAAATATCCAACTTCGGAGACAATAGGAGTTTTGCCTACCCCAGATTTACTAAATTGTGTCTCAGCTTTGAATAGAAAGTTAACATTCCAAAAGCAAGTCACTCTATCTATGGTATTAAAATATAAAGCTTATCTAAGAATGTGTCATTGTTTCACAGAATTTTGAAATTGGCAGTACCCAGACTCACTCCCTCTCAGCCTCTACTCTAATTTCGGCTATGGGTGAATGGCTTGGACTTCACACTGACAGTATCTCACCTTGAAGATGTGCTATGCCTCCTGGCTTTCTGCCCCTAGGTAGCTCAGATCAGCAGCTAATGTGTATAGCTCAGAAACTCAGGAGAAGAAGCATCCCCAAGGACAACTCTGGGCTTATGGGGGGTGGAGCTGATTAATAAATGTTCCCATCTCCCTTCTTTTGGAAAGGAATTCTTGGAGGTGCTCTGTATGCTTCTCGGGAGGTCCCAACAGGATGGAATCCCATTGCCCCCATCAGTAGCCTCAGTAATGTTCCCTTATAATAGTTCTTCCTCCTTCCTTGTCCCGCTTTCCCCAGGACCTTCCTCCTTCTTCCGGGTATGACTGCTCAAAATAAGTCACCTGCACACAAACTCTTTCTCTGGCTCTGCTTTTAGATAATACTCAAACTAAGAAAGTTATTCTCTAGTCAAATCCCTTCATTTTAAAGATAAGAAACCTCTTGTACAAGAGCACAATATTAGTTACAACAGAAACTAGATCTCAAAGCTCCCAGCTTCCAGAATAGGGAATTTTATTTTACTGTCTAGGATGCCATCAAACATTGAACAGTATGAAAGAGTAAGTGCTGAACTGTAGTGGAACAGACCTTCAGAGCTACTGACATTCAGAAGGGATAGCCAGGAGTGAACACTGGTGTAGGCAGGGAAGCTTTTATAGAAAAAGGGAACTTCAATAGGGAATCCTTTCCCCATTGCTTGTTTTTCTCAGGTTTGTCAAAGATCAGATAGTTGTAGATATGCGGCGTTATTTCTGAGGGCTCTGTTCTGTTCCATTGATCTATATCTCTGTTTTGGTAGCAGTACCATGCTGTTTTGGTTACTGTAGCCTTGTAGTATAGTTTGAAGTCAGGTAGTGTGATGCCTCCAGCTTTGTTCTTTTGGCTTAGGATTGACTTGGTGATGCGGGCTCTTTTTTGGTTCCATATGAACTTTAAAGTAGTTTTTTCCAATTCTGTGAAGAAAGGCATTGGTAGCTTGATGGGGATGGCACTGAATCTGTAAATTACCTTGTGCAGTATGGCCATTTTCACGATATTGATTCTTCCTACCCATGAGCATGGAATGTTCTTCCATTTGTTTGTATCCTCTTTTATTTCGTTGAGCAGTGGTTTGTAGTTCTCCTTGAAGAGGTCCTTCACATCCCTTGTAAGTTGGATTCCTAGGTATTTTATTCTCTTTGAAGCAATTGTGAATGGGAGTTCACTCATGATTTGGCTCTCTGTTTGTCTGTTGTTGGTGTATAGGAATGCTTGTGATTTTTGCACATTGATTTTGTATCCTGAGACTTTGCTGAAGTTGCTTATCAGCTTAAGGAGATTTTGGGCTGAGACAATGGGGTTTTCTAGATATACAATCATGTCATCTGCAAACAGGGACAATTTGACTTCCTCTTTTCCTAATTGAATACCCTTTATTTCCTTCTCCTGCCTAATTGTCCTGGCCAGAACTTCCAACACTATATTGAATAGGAGTGGTGAGAGAGGGCATCCCTGTCTTGTGCCAGTTTTCAAAGGGAATGCTTCCAGTTTTTGCCCATTCAGTACCCTAAAACTTAAAGTATAATAATAAAAAATAAATAAATAAATAAATAAATAAATAAAAAGGGAACTTATGCTGGGCTGTAAGTAAATGTATAGACATGTGGAGGATATTCCAAGAAAAGGAAACAATGAATGAGAGTGTTACAGGTAATTAAACAGGCATGACTGGGGAAGGAAAGGGCTCTTCCCCTACCCAACAGGAATATCAGGTGATAGTTGGGTAATTACCACATTGAAAGGGGAGAGTTCTCTGACCCCCTTGCACCACTTGTGACAGGGGTGTGACTCATTTGCTGCTGCTGCTGATCAAACCCTTTATGGGAGGGGGAGCAGGCAGAAAAGCAGGTGCAGGAGCCAGGGCGAGCCCTTTTGGGCTCCAGACCTATGGCGGCATCTAGGGGTGTGTTACAACTAATGTTCTTTTAGCAGTTGCCATCCACGGATGGCTAAGTATTAAACCAGCTCAGTGGAGAGTCAGGTTGACAGCCTTTTACACCCTGCCCTCTTGGTACCCAGGTGCATGTCTGGCATCCAGAAAGAATCGGGTCACACACTGACTTGAAGAATGGTGTATGCAGGGATTTTTCTGAGTGGTGGAGGTGGCTCTCAGCAGGATGGATGGGGAGCTGGAAAGGGAATGAAGTGGAAAGATTATCTTCCTCTGGAGTTTGGCCGTCTCCTGCAGCCAATCTCCCTGGCTGTCCCCAGCGGAACTCCTCTTGACATTCAGATGCTCCTTCTCTTCTCCTCCTTCTCTACCACACCGCTCTGCTGCTCTTCTGCTCCTCTGCTTGACCACTCATGGAACCTGGGGTTTGGGGTTTGGGGTTTATATGGGTATAGGATAGGGGGCATTGTGGGCCGAAAGGCAAGATTTGGTTGCAAAAACAGGAATGTCTGTTCCCATTTAGAGCCGCAGTTTCCAGGCTTGAAGGTAGGGCCTTTGCCAGTGAACCACCCTCTTCTACCCAGTATTTCCCTGCTTCCTGTCCATACCAACATTGCCTCTCTAAACATGATAATTTGGCAGCCAAGCCAGGTATAGACAATCTCCTGATGGTCTACAGATGTCACATTAAAGTGTTAATTGAGAGCAGGCACCAGGGAGAGGCAACTTCCCAGATAAAAACACTTGAAATTGATAATAAAATCTCAGGTATTGGGTAAGTGAGCCGGGCATGCTCAGTAAGAGACAAAATGGCATTCCACCAGAAAAGGGAAGAAAGTCCCAGATGGGCACACGTTCAACTTCCTAAACACACTACACATGCTCACTTGCCAAGTGTAATGAGGGCACTGCACATGCAGGCAGCCCACCCCAAGGGAGGAACCAGAGGAAAAGGGCACAAGACCCCGAGAGTGGGCCAATATATAAAGTCCTAGAATCAAGTATAAATGTCACACTTGTCCTTCAGCTTGGCCACTTGGGTCTCTTCCACTTGTACTTTCTTTTCTTTCCTCCTCTAATACCTTTTTTAAATGAACTTCCACTCCTGCTCTAAAATGTGCCTTGGTCTCTTTTACTGCCTTATGCCCATCAGTCAAATTTTTTCTTCTGAGGAGGCAAGAATTGAGGTTGTTGCACATCCGTTCAGATTCACTGCTGGTAACTCAAATACCTTCTACCCCTAACAAAAGTATTAAAATATAAATGAACTGTCTGTATTCTTAAGATATCTTGTATATTAACCTGGCATGTCACATTGACGTATACAGGGAATGCTGAATAGGTAGGATGGTGTCAGGTTACAAAACTTTGCAAGCCAAGCAAAAGAATTTAAAAACTAGTAATCAAATGACTTCATTTCACACATAAAATGTTAAGAAAACTGACCACCAACATTCAACTAGAAACTGGCAATGGTAGAGGCAAATACAGAGTCCCTGTCTCCACAGTTTTAAATCCTGTGGTTTTTTATTTTTTTGTTTGTTTGTTTGTTTGACTACCCTACTCTTCCAAAGTTACCTTGACACACTTTAAAATCTAAGGATATTTTTGTATCTTTTGTATTGTAATATTCATGGAACAAAAAACAAGATCCTTGGCTGGCTTTATTAGATTCGTTGCCATCTGATCACTGCTTTAGCCCTCCTGCCTTACACAACTCATTCAACCCATACCCCATACTCCTGAAGTAGTCTTCATGGTCACTCACACCTTCATGAAAACTTTCTTTCTCTGTTAAGGTTGTGCCATTCTGTTTTTCCACATTATTTCCTCCCTTGCCCTAATTTACTGAACTTTAGCTTATTCACCCTCATTGGGTGAGAACTATGTCCTGGGCTCCCAAGTTCCTTTTATTTCCAGTCTTCCTAAGATTCTGTACAGCCTTAATACCTAGGCAGATGATCCATATAATACCATGGCCTCACATCTTCATGACCTCCCAGATTTCAACTATGCTGTATCGACTTCAACCATAGTCTGGACCTTGTCATCAACCAGAACTGCATCAACTTTGAAATCCTAATTCGAAAATATTAATCTGAATATAAACTCATATTCCTCCTTCTCTTTCACTATCTCGTGTTTATTTGTTCCACCACCTACATGTGCCAGGTGGGACACTGGAGAAACAGGGATGAATGAGACAGACAAGGTCCCTGTTGTCACAGAGCTGGTAGCCTAGTGACAACAACAACCCAAGAAATTAATGGAAATAACTATGATAGGGGAAGTACGGGATGCTATGGGGGCTTATTGAGGGGCACCCAACCCGGACTTGAGGGTCAGGGGCTTCTCAGGAAGTAATGTTTACGGTAGCCTTCATCAAGGCTCTTTAGATGCTTGATCCCTCCATTTTATTCTCATTCATCATCACTCCCACATGGCTTTGCTTCCCTCCCTCACTTCCCTAAACTCCATAATGCAACCTTCTAACTAATCTCTTCCTCATGTGCTCATTACTGATACTAGTCCCCTTATCTTTCTCCCACAGCCATTCTGAATACTTTCAATCTTGGATAAACTTAACAATTAGCCTTCTCTGATCTTATACCTTGGCTGTTGAGAGCTTCTTGAGAAAACCACATCAATGTGCCAACTGATAGCACTGAATTCTGGATCTCTGATCTCCACTGAGCCCCATATACATAATCCTTATTCTAGCCAGATCATTTCTAGTTCCGACAACAACTATTTCAGTGTTTTCTCCTCTGTTCACAACTTTACTATTTCACTAATGTTGCCATCACACACATGCCAAATTCTAAAAACTCTTCACAAATTTCATCTTCCATGACCTCTTTGGAGCATCTAGAAACTTAGATCTCTCCCATTATCTTTAAACTCTCTTTTAATTTTACTTTAATGATATCACTGTCTCCTGGTTCTCTGACTGTATACCTAACCATTGCATCTTAATATCTCATTAAGCTCTTATTCTTCTAGCTATTACTAAAAGATTGGTATATTTCACAATTCTATGCTTGATCTTCTTCTTCTGTGACATGCCACCACAGAGACTTCATCTACTTTTGCAACTTCAAATCATCCTTCTATATGCTCATAACTATAAATCTAGATCTGCTCATAACTATAAACCAAGACATTGTCCTGAAGTCTAGGTCAAGAGCCTGCAGCTATCTCTGCCTAACTTAACATATATAAAACTAAACTAACTATTCTTATTATCTCTCCCCAATCCAATTTCAACTCAATTTTTTATCATATTCACCAGCCACCCAACCAACAAAGACAAGTCTATGAGTTATTGTGTATTCCTCTCTTTTTCTCACTCCCACATCCAAAGATAATCAAATACTGTTTATTCTACTTCAAAAACATTTTTTCTTATCCATTCCCTCGAAATTTGGTCATGTCACTCTGTACACCCTAATCACACAGAATTATTGGATATTGCTTCCAAATCCAGGCTATTATATTCCTATGGCTTTTCTCAGTTTGTTTTGTTATCTGGAATGCCCTCCTTTTTCCTACCCATTTTTCAGGACTCAGATTACACAATTTTCTCAATTAATATTTTCTTGACCCTCTACTGACTCCCCATATCCAACAAAACTTTACCTTTCTATTGAATTTCATATATACCCTAACAAAGCACCTATAATATTAAGACACTATAATTATTAAGACACTATTTACTCAAGGGACTGTTTGCCTGTCCTATCTATAAGCCATATCTATCCTATTGAGCCAAAAATTCCTCCTGAAAGAAACCATTTCTGAATTTACTTTGTATCCCTACGATCTAGCATAGTGCCTGGATCAGCAAATATTTCTTGAATAAATGAACAAATGAATTCAGAACAACATACAGTTCCTGTAACACATCATTTTTGTGCAGGTGCTACTTGAGAACATTGAGAGCATGAGCTTTGGAGTCATATAAACATAGGTTTAAGTTCTCATCTTAACACAGCATAAGTTGTTTGCCCTTAACAAGTTAGCATCTTAAAATTTCAGTTCCTTCATCTGTAAAATGAAAATAACACTACTACCTCATTCAGTTCTTGTTAGGATTAAATAAATGAAGGAAATGTGTAAAAAAGAAACCAGGGGACAATTGGCATCAAGCAAAGATTTAAATACGTGTTAGTCATTAACACTATTATCCTATCCTTTTGCTCAAATCTTCCCTCTATCTGGTGAGTCCCCTCCCCAGGATGGCCTTCCTTAATTTTTTGAACTAACTAATACCTTGACTTCTTTTAAAACTTAAGCAGGCTGTTTTCTCTTCTGGGACTCCGCCCTGACTTCTCCACCCCTTGTGGTTAAGTAGTACTCTTCTTTTTCACTGTTCTCAAAGTTCCTTATGCTATTTCTCCCATAGTAAATATTATACAGAGCATGTGTCTGTTTGCATGCCTAGCTCTTGCATTAGACTATAGGCTCAATAAGAATAGGAGCTATCCATTTTACCCCCATAACCTAGCAATCTGCATAGCAGGTATGTTGCTCAATAAATGATCACTGAGAAGAGAAATACTAATAGAGTACCATGAATGTGGTAAATGTAAATATTTTTTGATGATCAGTGGGATTAAATGGTTGATCTACTGTGCCCTATAAGGTTATTTGGGTAAGATTAATCAATCCCAGTTGGATTAAGTGCTGCTGTCAATTATGTTAACTTGGTCTATATGGAGATATTGTACGTAGCACATAGTAACTATATCCCCTTATTAATAAGCTCTTGGATATATTTGCAGCTCTATCTTATAGCTAAGTTCAAAAAGTTGGCAAAGAAGGCTAGCTTAACAGGAAGTGGAATAAAGCCTGACAGTAAACTCTTTTAATCCCAAAAGCTATTTCTTCCCAGGCTTTTTTTTTTTAATTATTTTAAATGTTTATTGCTGTATTCTCCATCCTGCTTAACACAAGATAATTAAGACTATGAACCCTTGTCTTAATTGCCACATATCACTATACTGAAACCTGCAAAAGATAGCACATTTTTCCTCATGTAATTTGTTTGATTTGTATTTGATGAAGAAAAATTTTTCCCTGAAAACAGCATGGAATCCTGAGATAACGGCTTAAAATATTTATTTATAATTGGAAAGGCAGACAGACTCTTAATCATGGCATGGCTTAATTATAGCAGCATAAGTATAATTAGTACTGTTGTAATAAATTGCTAATTTATAAGATGAATGATCTTGCTTCATATTCAAAGTAGAAAGAGTTCTATATATTATTGTATGTATTCTTGGTTTAAATTATTATCCTCCTGGATCCTGTCTGTTGATAACTAAATATCAAATTTTTCATTTCTCTATATACATTAATTTTAATATCTAAAAGTTGAAAGTAGAAAAGCCAATAAAACCAACCTATTAACCATTTTAATTTATGTTATTAATTAAGCATCGATGTTCATCGTCTATTCACCAGTTTTTAAATCTATTTCAACTAGTTTTCAATATGTGTTATCCTTGTCATTGATAAATGAGTAAAAATCAGCATGGATTTATGCCTAAGAAATGGTGGGGTTTAGTGACAAAGACAGAAAAACAAGTTAATGGCTGCAAAAGTACACGATAAGTAGTTCAAATTCTTCAGAAGTATAATTTTGTATTGCTATAACAATGTCTGGCTTTTATTTTTCAGCTTAATGTTTCAAATTCATTTTTAAGTGATAAAATTTTCTTTTAACCATCATTCTTTAGCAACGAAGACAGTGAAAGCAAAATATTACTTTTTTTTTTTTTTTGAGATGGGAGTCTCACTTTGTTGCCCTGGCTGGAGTGCAGCAACTATTCACAGATGCAGTCATATCTCACTGCAGCCTCGATCACCTGGCCTCAAGCAATTCTCCAGCCTCCTGAGTAGCTGGGACTACAGAAAATATTACTATTTACAACGTCACCTACTTCCAATAGCTTTTTTTCTTTTATTACTTTGCCATTCACTATGAAGTGTATTCCAGTAATATGCTCTAGGCCAGACATATATTGCTAGAGAAAGATGGTTATTTGCTTAAATTCCTCTTTCAATATGATTTGTTACCACAAATCCTAGGCATTCTTTCTTCTTTTTAAAAGAAAAAAGCACAATTTAGGAAAGAAGAATTTGCCACTATTACATCTGAGGCCAGAAAGTCTCTATAAAAGTAAATAAAGGATTTAAACAAATTTCAAGGTTATCTAAATTCCAGTATATGCAAGGCAAAGTGGATTTAAGGAGCTTGAATTATCCTGAAAGTTGACTCAATTCTTTAATTACGTTCAAATTGTAGGGGGGCGATATATTGGAAGTATGTACACTTAAGCCTTGAGAAATTCAACATGTCAGTCTGGGGGTTATGAGGTCATTTTCTGAAAACAGAGATGTAATCACCTCATTCTGGTGGAGTCTTCATTCACAGCCTGACTCACTTCAGAACCACTCAGCAGCCCCTGATCAGCTCTGCAGATTGGCCTGATGTTCAGGCTCATCACAGATGTCTCTCAGATCAGCATTAATGAGACATTTGCCTCTGCCAGGCTTCAAGAATCCAGCCTTCATGATTTAGTGCTGAAATAATTTGCCACCATAGAGAGCCTGGGGAATCAAAGGGGAAAGACTGATTAAGAAATTCTATTTAAAATTAATTACAGAAATTATATAATTTGTAAAAAAATTAACCCAGTTAAACATTTTATTTGATTTTTTTCTCAGGGCAATATACCATGGCCTAGCTCAGTTCTTCTGCATATTCTCATAATAGAGAAATACTGACGATTTTTTGTTAAAAAAAAAAAAAAGTTAATTGCATCTTAAGGTACAAATATTCAATAAAATATATTTATTTTAAGTGAAATTGAAATCTGCAATATTATTGGTTTTTCTCTTTATCTAACTTCTTGCCAGGCAATGTGATGATTTCTTGATAGTACCACTCTCACCATCAGTCATAACTATTGAAGTTGGCTAACATGAGTGAGGGAAAACATCTCTTAAAGATGACAGGGTCATATCACTGACCTTGAGCTTCTGAAGAAAATGAATTGGCTTACTAAAGCAGTCAAGTAGAAAGAAGAAACTATCATTTTCTAAATGTTTTCAAGGTAAAAATCCTCAGGGACAATCTTTTATCAGTGTCTTAGGCTTGATTAACTGTCTTAATTCACTATGATTAATGGCTTTTAAAACTCTGGGGCATCAAGCTTCTTTATATCTTGTATTATATGAACCTTATAAGTGGGATGTTCTTCAAATGAACATCATAACCTACACACAAACCACAACAACAACTGTAACAGATAATTATGCATTATGCCACTCAGTCAGTATGAAAGACATTTCCAGGTAAGGCCCTCCTTTCATTTAAATAGAGATATCAATTTCTCACCCAAAAATACATATCTCTTCACACAGGCAATTTATCCTTCATCAACACATGACACTCCATTCTTCCTGTTTCCATAAGTGATTATGTCACTTAGAAAACCCACTAATTTTTCATTTTTGTCAAATGAAGATTTCAGCCATAGTATTTAAAAATTACTTTGCTTTTTAATAGCTAGTGAATAGAAAATATTAAATAGAAAAGACAAATGTGAATGCATATAGAATATCAAAGCTCTGCGTATGCTTAAAGATAATAAAGTTCAAGTTCCAACATCCAATGCAAATTATATAAAATTCAGTGGACTGCTATTATCTAAAGTGAACAGGACAAAGGTTTCCATCTTCAGTAAAAAGTAGGATCAATTACAAGCTTTGGCCACAAAAATTGTGAAACTGGCACAAAAGTTATATTGAAAATGCCAGCTGGGCACAGTGGCTCAGGCCTGTGATCTCAGCACTTTGGGAGGCTGAGGTGGGCGGATCCCCTGTGGTCTCGAACTCCTGTTCGAGACTGGCTTGGCCAACTTGGTGAAACCCTATCTCCAATAAAAATATAACAACAACAAAAATTATCCAGGTATGGTGGTGCGTGCCTGTGGTCCCAGCTGCTCGAGAGACTGAGGAAGGAGAATTGCTTGAACCCGAGAGGCAGAGGTTGCAGCAAGCTGAGATTGCACCGCTGCACTCCAGCCTGGGCAACAGAGCAAGGCTCCGTCTCAAAAACAAAACAAAACAAAACAAAACAAAACAAAACAAACAAACAAAAAAAGCCAGTCTTTCTCTGTGGGATAGAGGGAATGAGATCCTAAAGTTTTCTTTAAACTCAAGTATGGTTTTCAGAACAGATGCCGAAGATAACTGCACTGTTATGGACTACTTGGGCTTCCACATTAGTCTTGTTTACCCTAGAAGCCAATTTATTTTAAGTCCACAGGCACTCAGAAAAGCAGATATATCTCATGCTTCCAGGTTCTCCTTAGGTGTGTCAGCAAATACACTACTCAAACTCTAGGACTTCCTTATTTCTCCCAGGCTTTAGGATAAAGTCATAACATCCTGAAAAGCAATCAGAAATAGTCAGATTCCCAAATATCACCCAATTGACACTACTGCCTTAAAGGATTTGTACCAAAAGCATACACCAACTTTAAAGAGAAAGGGGCATAGCTCACCTAGGCTGAAATTGATGTGATGTATGTATCAGATGATTATATGAAGCTTTTAGAATTTAGTTAATAACACTGAAAAACAAAGACAGGGAAATTTTACAAGGAAATAAGACCCTCATCCCACCAACCTCCTTCCTTTCTCAAACTTGTATAACTCTAGCTAGTGAAACAATAATAAATTATAATATAATTCTTATGAATCAAACAATTTAAATAGAAATTACCTCTTCTCTAAAGTTTGTATATTTCATTTTAGATGTAGAATTCATCATTTGAGTTATTTTTTCTTCTTCCAGAGGGAAATAATGAGTTCAATTTTACATGGTTGGTATGTGTTTATGATAGCTTTAAAAAGAATACCACAGGAGGCCTTTATCATGGAAAATAAAATTGTTTCAGAGAATACACTGGATGGCTATTAAATTTTTTTCTACATTGTTTCTATATTAAGCTTATTTGATGTAGCTCACTATCTCTTAGTAACATAAAACTTCTTTAATGTTAATTTTTAAATGACAAATTGATTTATAGGGGAAAGAAATGAATACATAGACACATGATTTTTAGGGTATTGATAGGTGTCATTAATCACTCTAAGGTTAAAACAGTACAGCCCCCAGTAAAACTCTGCAACATTTTCTCTAGTATAAGATCTGTGACAGATAAAAAAATCCATCCTATTTCTTTTCTTGTTAATAAAATGCACAACTTATACCTCCGAAAAGTTTTATAGCTAAATCTCTAGTGACTGAATTTCTATACTGTACATAAAAGGAAAGTGTACAGAGGCAGAGCTGGGAGAAGATGACCTTAAGATGTTTATTTATTGGATTATCTCACTCTTAAAGAAGTATAATTTTGAAAAAAAAAAGTGAAAACCCATGATAAATAAATTTATCACTCTCTTTGTGCAAAAAGCTGTATAACGCAATAGTTTATGTTAATACAAAAATATAATTCCCATAAAATACAAGATACAAGGGACAAACAGCATCAAGATGGCTGATCTGAGGTGCCCAACATTCATCTCCACAAAGAAGGACTAAAACAACAAACTTAGATAACTGCACTTTGGGTAGAGTGTCTAAGGGAGAACACTGCAATTCAGCAAGGAAATGACCAATATGCTCTGAGACAAGGAAACTCAGGATAGCAGCATAGAAAGGGAAGCAAAGCACCCAGCTGGGATTGTCACAGAGACAAAGGGGAACTTCTCATTATGGGGAAAAGCTAAGTGGGAGATCCCCAGCAATACCTATAACTACCATGAATACCTGCAATCCTGGCTACAAAAGGCCCTATGTCCGGTTTAGGGAGCTGCCTAGAATCCATGCAGCTGCATGGACTCAAACTTCTGTAGCACAGGGCCATTTTGAGAAAGGAGCCACTGCGGAAATGCAACCTGCTCTGGGGCTCAATTTTACCACTTTTATTCGACACAACACTGGAAGTCCTGGCCAGAGCAATTAGGTGAGAGAAAGAAAGGGCATCCAAATAGGAAAGAAAGAAGTCAAATTAGCCTTGCTTACAAATGACATGATCTTTTTTTCAATTTTTTATTTTAATTTTTATGAAAACATAGTAGATGTACGTATTTATTTCACAAGTATTTGCCGAATGCTATGTGCCAGGCACTGCTCAAGAAACTAGAGATACGGTAATCAACTAGACACATTATGCAGGCTTTCCAGTTCCTACATTTCATTTCTTTCGAAGTGTCTTGCCATGCCCAGAAACCCATTCCATTCTAATTCTAAAACCTCATATTTTTTTCTAACTTGCTCCCATTTTCCCTTGTATCCAACCCACACCTTATCTATCGTCTAGTCCTTAACTTTAATAATTTTTATAGTTAATGCACACATATATAATCCATTCATACATATGTATAAATATTTAATTTATATATCATATAATATAAATAATATATATAAACTCATATGGGAATTTTCCCAACTACTTTGTAATTTCCTTAAGGGGTGACATATTTCTATCTTATGTCCCTAGCACACAGTAGGAACATACAAATATTTAAGGCATAAATCAATGAGAATATCACTGGACGGGGACTATCTATTTGTACATAAATGGAACAAAAGAAAGAGATCATCTTAATTCCTCATTGCAATAATAATAACTCCTATTGAACACCTGCATCGTTGCAAGTGCTTTACACATATTTAATCCCAAAAAAATTCTATGAAGAAGGTACTATTATTATCCCCATTTTTTACATGATAAAATTGAGGCAGAGAGAAGTTAAATGCCTCTTGAAGGCCAGTGAATGGTGGTGTCAGATACAGGAAAATTTTATTTAAAAATCAACCATTCTTATCTACTTTGTCATAGTGTTTTTCATGATTCTAAGTCTAGAGATTTAGACTTCTGACACTATCAAATGCCTCTCTCCTGACAACTTTCCCCATAAGTGTCTCCATACTAATGTCATGGTGAAAGCTCTGTCAATAGAAAAGAAAAACTCCTAATACATTCATGATTTAGACTTCTGTTAACATAGGATGACTTTATAGTTTTTCATCCAAATCAAGACACTTTTAGGAGTAAATGGGGTGCTATATTTTTATATATATTGCTTTATAACAAATTACTCCCAAATTTAGCAGCTTAAAACAACACACACACATCATCTCACATGCTTTCTCAGAGACATGAACTTGGGAGGGCTTAGCTCCTGGTTCTGTTTCAGGGTCTCTCATGAACCTGCAGTCAAGATACAGGCCCATACCCTAGCCATCTGAAGGCTTAACTGGGCTGGAGGATATGCTTCCAAGCTCGCTCAAATGTCTGCTAGTAGAAGGCGTCAGTTCCTTACCATAAGGCTGCTCCTGATAAGGCATCAGGCTTCCCCTAGAGTGAATGATGAAAGAAAGAGAGAGAGGAAAGAGAAAGAGAGTGCAAGAGCAAGATGGAACCAGTGTTTTTATCACCAAATCTCGGAAGTGATGTACTCTCACTTTTGCCTTATTCTATGGTTAAATAGACCAACTGTGATACAATGTGGTAAGGGATTACATATAGTGTGAATGCCGGAAGGTGGGATCATGAGGCACCGTCTTGCAGGCTGGCTACCCACAGGTGTTATTAATAATTATGCCAGGACAGCAGGCATAAATGAAGACAGTTCCTATGCCTTGATTTATATGTAGCACATCAAGAAGTAATTTTCTACCTCCAAAACTATTTAATTCTATAACAATGTCCCTAGAAATCCATGATATGAATAAGTGCCATGACTCTGTCTTACGCGCTCCCACCAAATCACTCCCATGACATTGCTGTGGAAGACAACACTAGTCAATAAGTAGTAGCTTCTCAGCCGGCTCTCTTTTCCTCCACAGCAAATACTAGTCTGTTGCTTCTCTCTGTCCCTAACAATTATACCCAGGCCCCCAAACATCCATAGCAATCTAGGATGTTCACAAATGATAAAAGCTTTAAAGGCCCTGAATAACACTGATGATATTAAAACTTCAGTCCTTTATGATTGAAATAAAACTTGATAAGATGATCCCTGGAATTACAATCGTGACATTTTCTATGACAGATCAATGTACTGGCAGAGAAAAGTGCTAAAACTTAAAAAGGATTTGCTCATAATTATTGGTACTCTCAACCCTGGGCATTTTGCCTTCAACAGCTAACTTGACCATGTGCTGTCTTAATCACTTCCAAGTGAACTTGGTCATGGTGCTAAAGCCAACTCCAACTCATCTTCTGAGTCTGTAAGAACAAGAACTAAAGCAAAAGTAACATATCTAGATTAAATGATTTGGTTATTAAGGGTAATTAATTCTCTTTTGTTTTGGAAATACTAGATATTAAGCAGATCTACCTATACCTTGATATAGGACAAGAAAGAATAATAACAGTGCATGGTAATATATTATTATTTATAAGAATCAAGTTAAGTAGACCAATTAAGTCAGAAAAACAATCCTTCACTTCTAATAACCATTAAAGTAAAGGCAATGAAAATAAAGAATCGTGGACATTGGGATTATAAGTAGAAACGCTAAAATTATTATTTTTTACCCTGTGCATATTATATAAGACCATCTGCTCAGAGGAAAGTTCATTAAAATTGGAGAATGTGGTGGCTGTTTCAAATACAGCAGTAGCCATCATCATATTAAACAGTCAGGGTGGTAATTTGACAGTCAAGCTTAAAACCTGAGAGTCCATGCATGATTCAGTGCTATTGATATGTTGATATATTGGAGAGAGAGGCTGGGGGAGAGGGAAAATAAGAAAGAGAGAGAACAGAGACTGTATCTCCTTTTTCCTAGTTGTTTCTTCAACCCCTTGACCAGAGAAGTCAGGAACTGACTTTGGAAGAACGAAAACGACTGTAAACTTCCCATGAAAGTCAAACAAGAAACAATGAACCCAGAGAAATAGAAATAAAGCATTTCACCAATGTCTATCATGATTCATTACTTACATTTATTCAGTTTCCAGAACCATCTTGACAAGCACTGTTAGTAAGGATAAAGGAAAGTAACTGCATGACCAGGGTACATTAAATTGTTTTCCTTCTTCATCCTTTCAGTTGTGCTGGGGAAACAAGTTAGTTGCTATTTTCTGGGGGTTTTTTTCCCTGTTGATAATATATCTTCCCATCATTTGTAAGCCCAGATCCTTTTTCTCATTTCAGTTTTAAAACAAACCTCCTGCCAGTTGAGGCTGACTTCGCCTTGCTAAAGGCTGGGTAATTCCTCTGGGCAGTAGAATACCTCATCTGTTACTTGAATGTTGTTTTCCTTAGTGGAGTCCTGTCAAATAATTTTTTTCTTGCTCATCTGTTTCCCTCCAATTCAGGGACCCCTATTGATTTACCATAAGTTAAGTCAATTTACTCCTAAATTTTTCTAGCTGTGATTTGGGAATATTCACTCAAGTGCACAGAACACCCACTATGAATCACATTTACATGTGTCTTTAATCTTAAACCTTTAAGCATCTGCTAGAGTTATTCTTGCTTCTCTCTTATTTTTGCAACATGCACACAAAACATTATTTAATGGAGAAGAAAATTTCAAATCTTTTCTTCATGTAGAAGAGGTCATAGAATAGATATATTTCCATGCAAGGAAAATGTGTTACGTGTTTATAAACTGCATCCAAGAGTCACCAATTCTACTTGAAAGAAACTGCAAACTGACCTTATTCCTTAGATTCGGTTTTCCAGACAAACTGAAAGAGTTACTCTTCTAGTCTGTTCTAAATTGCCCATTTTTTCTCTCTAGATTTCCTGGAATTTATAGTAATATGGCTTGTCCTTAGACTAAATTTCAGATTATGTACACAAATCCAATAAAATTAGTTGTTGTCTATTAAACATAGTCCATGTTGTTCTTTACTACTGGTTATCACAAGTTACATAGAAATGACACCCAGGAATAGCAACACAAATATGGTGCCTTCTGCTTTTGCATTTCCTTCCCAGTTGTTCATTACAACCATTGCATTCATATGATAAATATGTATCAAGTACCTGATATGTGCTAGGTACTAAAAAGACAAAGAGACACAATACTATCTTTCTAGACTAATATAATTTCTAAAATTTTTGGTTTATTTTATTTTGAATCTCAAGCCAGTATTCTCAAACTTTCTTAGCTGGATTATATTTTTTTTATTTAATATTACTTTGTGTATACAAGAAATACAAACTGAAAAGCTCTGTTAAAAGCAGGCTCAGTGGGAGCAGCCATCTGGACCCCTGACAGCCTCCAAAACAGCCAATGATACACTGCTAAGACATCTGGGACATCATAGAGCACCTTTCAAACCACAGACATAGCCAACCCACTTATTTTTCAGGTAAATAAACCATGAGTTAGAGGTACTGCATAAGTTGCCCAGAGTCATCAACCAGCCAGGGGCACATTCAGAACTATCCACATTTCCTGACACTTAAGTTCTGGGTTCTTTCCAGGGAGCCCAAACTACTACTTACTTTGAGTAATCTTGTTTCTTTGTCAGAAAGATTTCTGGTTGTAAATATTTACTTTTTAGGGCTTTATGAATTCTTAAGATATAGTTCATTGTATCTCAGAAACAGAAAAAGCATCTTGGCCAGGTGCGGTGGCTCATGCCTGTAATCACAACACTTCAGGAGACAGAGGCAGGCAGATTGCTTGAGCCCAGGAGTCCGAGACCAGCCGGGGCAACATGGCAAAACTCCATCTCTACTAAAAATACAAAACTTAGCCGGGCATAGTGGCACGCGTTTGGAGTCCCAGCTACTTGGGATGTTGAGGTGGGAGGATCGCTTGAGCCTGGGAGGTCGAGGCTGCAGTGAGCCGTGATCGCATCACTGCACTTCAGCCTGGGCAACAAAGTAAGAAGTTGTCTGAAAAAAAAAAAAAAGAAAAGAAAAAGCATCATGAATTGCTCATCTCTGATGTTAGACCATAAGTTGATTTTTAAAAGCCTTATTTCTTCCAAAAGGTAGATGGATGAGAAGCCGGTAGTTGGTCAGTCACTCAAAATTCAGAGCAGTAACCACTGTAGCTCACAGAAAAGAAAAGATTTGTTCACCTCCAAATCACTCAAAGAAATTCCTATTACTAATACCTCTCCTAGCAAATAGAAATCCTGCATAACTCCAGGATAATAAATAATAAAATGGAAAACACTGTTGCATGCCCAAGGCTGCTGTGCTTCCCAGATTATTTCTCTTCTGTTGCTTCGCCCTTTTGTACTATTGCCCCCGGATGCTTCTCACATCCTCTTTCAATACCTAGAGTGAAGTTGTTACGTCACTGCCTTTGCCCCCACTTGCCCATGTCATATGCCCTGCTGGTAATAATATGTTCCCATTGTTGAGAATACAGTGGCATCTGGAACATAGTGGCCTGCCACTACATCATTGCTCATTATTGATCACTGCTATGCATGTATTTAAACTGCTCTAAAAACTAATTTAAACTGCCTTCATCTCTAGCTCTTAATCACAATAAAACATTCTTTTTCACCTCATCAGTTAGTATATATTCATAGCCAGGAGTCCAGCATTTTTTTAAAAAGTTAATTCCAATCTTTTATTTAAAATAAAAACATTAACTGTTACCCCATGCTATGCTGGTAAAACATTAAACTCAAGCTCTTGAGTGCACTGCTTTTATACTGCGGGTATTGAAATGTGACCCTTACCATTATAGATTGATTACAAGGGAAATGTTATGGCATCCCAGCATGTCATCTGCTTTTAAAGATTTTTTTAAAAATGGGGAGTGAAGAATAATGAATTACAAAGACAGTTCAAGTTATCAAAAGGTGCTTAATTTATAAAGCATTTCCTGCAGTTGTGGTTTAAGATGTTGATGCTCATAGCTAAATTAGTTTACAACTCACCTGCATTAAATTCCTTAATTACTCAATTATTACCATGTATACTGTTTAAAGAGGCCAAATTACTCCAGGATAATTGCTTCCTTATTTGTTTTTAATACACATTCAATTCCTTGGAATTGTAGATCATGTACATCAACAGATTTCTTCAATAAAGAGCTAAGCTTTATGTTAGATAGTATAGGGGTAAAAAGGTGTAATATCTTTTCCTCACTCATATCAGGGTCCAAGGCTGACACCCTTATAACAAAAGACACATTAACAAGAGAAGAGGGCTTGGTGTCGTGGCTCATCCCTGTAATCCCAGAGCTTTGGGAAATCGAGGATTGCTTAAGCTCAGGAGTTCAACACCAACTTGGGCAACATAGTGAGACCCTCTCTCTACAAAAATTTTTAAAAATTAGCCAGGCACAGTGTATGCCTATAATCCCAGCTACTCAGGGGGCTCAGGCAGGAAAATTGCTTGAACCTGGGAGGCTAAGGCTGCCGTGAGCTGTGACTGTGCCATTGCACTCCAGTCTGGGTGACAGAGCAAGATCTTGTCTCAAAAATAATAATAATAATAATAAAATTTTTTAAAGAGAAAATCATAAATTTATCTAATCAAAGTTTTACTTGACACAGGAACCTTCAGAAATGAAGACCCAAAGACCCAGGGAAAACTGTATTTTTGTGCTTGTATTCAATGAAGAATGGACAGCCATGTAGAAATGTTACTGGACAAAAAAACACTATGATCTAACAGTAATAAACTAGGGGAACTTAGCAAGGCGCATTTATTCAGATTCTTCTTGGCCTCTTTGTGTAACATTACTCCCCCTAGATTATGGGGTGGGACCCCTCTGGAATGAAGGTCTTCAAGGGAGAAGGGAGAAGGTCAGAGAGTGACCATTTTAGGTTTTATGGCTTGCTTTGGAGAACAGAAGTTCTAGTGTCTATAACACACCTTGGAAAAGAGGAATTCGGGTTCCCGTGCCTCACTTCGGAGGAATAAAAAGGGCAGGAGACAAGAGGGCAAGAGAAGGTCAGAGTCTCTGCTTCTGAGGCTCTTCCAATCTCCTTCAGTTCAAAATACTTAGTATACCAAGATGCCATGCTTTGGGGTATTATATTCTGAGTCCAGACAATAGACAATGTATTTTGGAAATTTACCCAAAAATATTCAGAAGTCATGTATTTTAATACCCTACGATTTATTATCCTCATTATACAATTGTCTGATGTAAGATACAGCCTGTTAGTTTGCATATTTGTATAAAATACATACCTTTTTATTATAAATATGCCCATTATATTAATGATTAACAACAGCACATTTAATTTTCATGGTTTTATAGAAAACAAAGCAGAAATTTGCTACCCCTACTGGTTTAACCTCATATATGTATAAATTAGGTCTCTTTAGATGTTTTGAATGTGAAAAAAGAAGATATGTAATGTTTTAAGTAAAATAATATTAAAATAGACCCAATCTGGCTGGGTGTGGTGGCTCATACCTGCAATCCCAGCACTTTGGGAGGTCAAAGCAAGAGGATTGCTCGAGCCCAGGAGTTCGAGACCAGCCCTGGCAACATAGGAAGGCCCCGTTTGTTCAAAAATAAAAGTAAAAAAATTAGCCAGGCATAGTAGTACATACCTGTAGTCCCAACTACTTGGGAGGCTGAGGTGGGAGGACTGCTCAAGCATTCCTGGAAGGTTGAGGGGGCAGTGGGCCGTAATCATGCCATTGCACTCCAGGCTAGGTGACAGAGCAAGACTTCGTCTAAAGAAAAATGAAAAAGAAAAAATAAAACAGACCCAATCTTACATTATATAGAGTAGCCTTACAATAAAGAAAAGGAATATAGGGTCATTCAAATGCTTTGAAAATACCATAGAACTCTGTTATGTGCAAAGATATGTTCTAAGACCTTGATGAATCCCAAAACTGTGAATATACAAAAGCATATATTCCCTTCATAAAATTCAATGAAGTACAATTGAAAAATTGAGGTGATTACTTGAGACCCTTACTGATTCCATAAATAGGAGACTAGAGTCATTTGTAAAACTATTAAAATGAATTTGCCTTTGAAATAAACTCACTACTACATTACATCATGTCATTACTATAAAAATGTAACACAAAATTAACTGAATCTCTACATTCTTGCAGCTTAAATGAGGCCTTGGCCAAGGATGCATGGCCAGTGGTTGTGTGGGGGCTGAAATCCATTTGCCAGGCTGAGCACTGGGCATGGAACTCATCAGGCCAGCATCAGCCTGGTGGAAAGGGAGGCTTTTTTAAATTCTTACAAATGCTCTGTAGGTCCAACCGATGACCCTACTTCTCCCCATAACTCTGGACAAGCCAAAATTAAGTGATAAATTATATAGTTAAAGCCCATACTGTCTTTCCTGGTCTACTTGTTAGCATCACTGCTTAGAAGGAAACACCAAGTACCTGGAATCCCCCACTGGGGAGAAGGGGGCTATTAACCAGCTTACTCCTGTGTAAGGATTCCAAATAACCTGGGCAGATAGATGTTTGGTTTGCCCAGCCTGTCCTTCCAACCTCCAAGGGAGGATGGGGAGATGAATCACTCTGTGGGGCCAGGTAACAGAGCTCACTGGCCTGCACTGAGGAGGGTGCAGAACTGGAACTGGGCCTGGTACATTCTCTGGGATGGATTTTCCCAAGAAGATAGATGCTAATTACAAGCTAGTTTATATCTGATCCATTTGAAAAATTGGCAGGGGGAGGGATGGAGAAGGAAGGCTTCTCAGGTCCCTGAGGAAACTTGCAGAGAGATTTTCAAATGATGAAACTGCAAGAATTTTCCCCAGGGCAAGGAAGGAAGAAAGGCTCAACTTCCACATGTCCAAAACACAAAGTTCCTTTAGCAAGGGCTTTCTGCAAGGTCCATAGTGCTGGCCAAAAATATAAAAGCTTGGAAGACAGAGAGCAAGGAGTGCTTCTGCAAGGTTTCGTAATGGTTAGAGCCAGGATAGCTAAAGAATTAGAACATGTGTAGAAAACCTGAATGTAATGAAGCTGGGACATATAATCCCTGTGCACTCTCAGCCCAAACTATTTTTGACAGCAGAAGTGAAAAAGCAGCAGCTAACCGTGTTGGAAAAGGAACTGTGCCAGACCTCAAGGAGACCAAGGGAGGTCAATATGAGATGGGGCTTCCCTCCTCTTTCTGCCCAGAGGATAAGGTGACTGTGAGCAATAGGGATACTGGCATGACAGGGGCAGATCTCTAGGTGAGGTCCCCACGGGTTTCCAATTATACCTGGCCACTGGCACAAGGTTGTTAAATCACTCTGCCCTCTGCTGGGAATGGTAATGTCCGTTATATTTTTTCACTGGCCTTTTCTGAAAGGGAGGCTAGACATAAACGAAGTTTCCAACTTAATGTTCTTATCTATGAGTAACTCTGTATTAAAATGCAGGTGTCAAATTTTCTCCCTCAGTCTCTGTGATTGTACTGAAAATGTTTTTTAACATGAGTCCAGGGGTTTCAAAATTTGCTTCATGGGAAATACACATTTCCTCTGATAAAATTAGTATAATTTTTTTTGAAATTTCTTCTTGAAGCAGGACTGTGTGGTATATATGGAGCCTGACTAAATGGACTGATTAGATGTTTCACCTAGGTATGAGGGAATGTGAAAACCTCAACATTTAATCCTTTCCAGGATGGTTTACATTCCCATGTACACTGAATCACAATGGTCTTGAGAACTGTTGGCATAAATATAATATTGTTTTAAATTATTAACATATCTATTTCAGGGATAAATTATTTTTACTTGGGACTGACTTACAACCCAGAGACAGAGATAAGGAAGGGTATAATTTAACATATGCCCACAACGAGGGTTATCAAAATGTTTTTCCCAGAGGCTAGGACTTGTGAAGTATATTTTCTTATTTTCTTTGTTATGTCATTTATGAGGTCCTGGCTTTTGAGCACATCAACACCACCACTCTCGTCACTTCCACAGCCCGTATTTAATAAAGAGTGATTTGTAAAAAATAAAAAATAAAGAGTGATTTGTTCAAGAGAATTACAGTTGCACATTGGAAATGTTTTGTTCTTGGAACTCTGTAACATTAAAATATTTTACTATAAACTAAAGAATAAAAGATGCAATAGAAGTAAGAAGGCAAAACTTTTTACTGAGGGGATTCTTTTACCCTATGCTCTAAACTAAAGTTGAATAAAAATGTTGTTATATTAAACTATTTTATGGACTTTCATCCTATGAATATTTTCTGCTTTTCTTCCACTGGGTAAGCATGAAATTGCCACAGAATACACAATTGGGAATATGACAGTTAAAATTATATACATACATAATTTACATATTATATATTTTGTTTAAGAAATAGATTTAAATAATTGAGTACAAATGTAAAACTGGGAAAATATTTTAAATAAACCTTGAAAGCCAGTGCTCGTCTTATTTTGCCTTTTATTATTATTTTTTATTAAGTTTGCAAGGACTATGTGAAACTGGGTGGTGAGAGACAATTCTTCATGGTCTCTTAAGTTTCTTGCAGGCCAGGGCACTGACCTATCTTTTCAAGGATGCTTATATAATAAACATGTTGTTCAGTGTAGTAAAGGGAGCTCCCCCCAGGGCAAAGTTTGAGAAAATTTGCTTACAGTCCCTTATAAAAAATAGGGGTTTCTAAACTCAGATTCCTCAAAATCCTGCAAAAGCACTGTGCAGCAACCACCTGGGCCTACCTCCATGTAACTGCCATAGGACTTGGGAAATGAAGGGGAACATGAAGCTATGCTGACACTTGTGCTCTGAATAACAGCTGATCTGTGAGTAACAGATCTTTTGTATCTGACTAGGGAATCTTGGGTCTTCTGACAACCTTCATGAAACTGTACAAGCTAACTTGTGAATTTGCAAACAGGCAAAACCTTAGACCCTTCACGGTTCTTGATACTGAGTACACTGTACTTTGAAGGTTCTCTTGTGTTCCCCTGAAGAAAAAATGGAATTTGTTTATTATTGCTTCAGATAGTTGAGGCTTGAATGCTGCTGACAAGGTGCCTTTGGAACCATTTCCAGGATGCTGGAGCCAAGATTCAAAAATGAAGAAATAAAAGGAAATTAAGACTTTAAAGCTTAAAGAGTAATATTGGGTTGGAGAGCCAAGAAGTAATATAACATATACCAAAATTAGCTGACAAAGGAAAAAGCAGTAGCTCGTGAAAGGAGGGAAATAAATAATAAGCTCTTGAACTTAGAAATATCTAAAATAAATTAGACTCATTAATCTCCAGGCATACTTGTGACCTTTTTTCTTTTAAATCTCAATCTTTTCCTAACCTCTGTAGGCCCTGGTTTCTCTCTGTGACCTGACATTCCTTCTAGGCTCACTCTCACACCTGGATGCTTTGAAACCAACTGTCAACCGCCAGCAAGAACTTAAGATGTCACAAGGTCAATACACTCCTTTTGCCAGTTTCTTTTACATGGATTGCACTTGTTTTGATAAGACCTTGATTTCTGGGCTACCTCAGAAAACCATAGAATGTAAAAGCTAAAAAGAGAGACAAAGAGAGAGAGGGCTCATCAAGGCTATACCCTTTATTATATAGATATAGAGAGTGAGACCCAGAGAAACTAAAGAACAATCATGTACCACATAATGTTTGGGTTGACAATGGTCCTTGTGTATGATGGTGGTCCTGTAAGATTATAATACTGTATTTTTACTGTACCTTTTCAATGTTTACATATATTTACATATACAAATACCATTGCTTACAACGGCCTACAGTATTCAGTATAGTAACATGCTGTACAAGTTGTAGCCTAAAAACAATAGGCTATACCATACAGCCTAGGTGTATAGTAGGCTATATCATTTAGGTTTGTGTAAGTACCCTCTATGATGTTCACACAATGATGAAATCACCTAAGAATGCATTTCTCAGGACATATCCCTGTATTAAGCAACACATGACTGTATATTATCCAAGTTGACACTGCTATATTTGGAATTCACTATAGCAATCTAAGAATTCACATCACGGGGCCATCTGAAGCAGAGGAAAGCAAGTCATTGTTTCTGATATCTTTATTTGACAGTATCATTGAACTATTTTTGACAAATAATTCTTTTTCCCATATGGTTTTCAGAATGAAGTTGCTTACATTTGAGCTCTAGAAATTCTAAGTTTAAGATTTTTGAGACTTGAAATGTGTTTTTAAAAAGTTCATTTATTCTAATAATGAACATTGTAAAATGGTACATTTCAAATAGTTTTTTAAACTGTGCTTAAAATTGTGAGAAATAAAATATCCTGCCATTGGGACAAGAAGGATCAGCTTTTAAAACAATCCTAGAGAATTATTTGAATTGGTCCCACATTTGCTGCCCCAGTCCAATCTCCCTGAACCTTGACAACTTTAACTTCTTTTCAGCTCCCTTTGGGACTGTAGTTTTCAGTTACCCTCAGCATCTACTAACTCTGTTCAATATCAGCTTATTTTCCCATTCACTATCCTGCCTTCAAAATCACAAAACGCACCTGTCATTTGTGTAGTAATTTCCAGGGCTGATACTGCGCACTCATGATTGTCATCACTGCCAGATCAAATGTCTTACCTAGTCTTTAACCCTTTTATTCATTTTTGTCTTTTGCTTGGTGCTGATGACTAAATCTACTAACCTCCCAACCTTAGCTCAAAACACAGCCCACTTGATTGTTTATACTGCAGTGGTAATTCCACTTTAACTTGTTGAGTCAGTGTTCCCAGCTGCAGGGCAACCAGCGCTACTGAATTAAGACACCAAGACACTGATAGCAGTTCAGTTCTAAGTCCTTTCAGAGGTCATTATGAAGGCTGAATTCACTTGCAGACAGTAGGTATCCTCTTAACAATCTCTTCACTTTCTTAGGCCTTAGAGGCCCTCTAAGAAAGTGAAGAGCCCAGGCCGGGCATGGTGGCCTGTAATCCCAGCACTTTGGGAGGCCGAGGCGAGTGGATCACGAGGTCAGGAGATCGAGACCATCCTGGCTAATACGGTGAAACCCAGACTCTACTAAAAATATAAAAAAAATTAGCCGGGCGTGGTGGTGGGCACCTGTAGTCCCAGCTACTCAGGAGGCTGAGGCAGGAGAATGGCGTGAACCCAGGAGGTGGAGCTTGCAGTGAGCCGAGATCACACCACTGTACTCGAGCCTGGGCGACAGAGCGAGACTCTGTCTCAAAAAAAAAAAAAAAGTGAAGAACCCTAAGAAAGTGAAGAGATTGTAATAGGATGCCTACTGTCCTTTTTAAAATACTTGTTTTATCCTTACTAATTATAAGATTATTTTAAGATCATTTTCCTTACAGAGGACATAAAGGCAAAATTGGATTTGTGAATTCTCTCTTCTCTTTTTCACCCATCTGTTTTTCCATCAGTCCTGAGCAGGACATGTCACTTCTTTGACTGGCCTATACCCTAAATTTTTAAAAGGCCTTTTTAGCCTCATCATATTTCTATAAGACTCAAGTCATTTGAAGATACAGGCCTTCTGATGCTATTCTTAAAAGTCTCTGGCAGTCTCTCATTCATTCTTAGTCATGTGCTCTTCTTTCTCTCTTTTTGTTCATGGATTTTAAAATCTGATCTCATTTGAGAATCTTCAGTGTCTCCATGTTGATTTCTTTGGGCTCTTCTGCCTCTTCTTCCTCATTTTAATCATATGGCAAAAGCTGACTCTTTGATAATATCTAAACTTCTAGCTCATATCTCTTTCAGGGACCCATGCCATGTAATTATGCCTATATTTTGCCTCTCAACTTTGTAAAATCTGCCTTCCTAAAATCTACGCTGTTCGTCATGCCCAGTCTTCTCTCACTGGTTGTCATTAAGTCTACAGTTATGCAGTCACAGACAATAGGCTGAGTCAGGAAGACATGGATTGTAATTCTGCATTTTACTCATAACTTGGCCATGAACAAGTTACATTACTTCCCTGAGCCCAGATTTCATCATTTGAAAAGTGAAGCTAATATTCTACTAGCTGCCTCATAAAATTACTGGGAGAATTAAGAAATACAATGTATATAAAGTGGCTGCCACATTAAGTACTTGATAAATATTTTCCCTTACTCATCACCCGAAAAAAACTCTCTCTGGTCAGAATTAAGTTCCAGCTAGTGGATCTCTTATTCTGTTAGCTGAAGTTATCACTAAAGCCAGTCAAGAACATGTCAAATGTTCTTGGTTTATAAGAGGTTTAGAATGTTTCCAACAGCTGAAAATATCCATCACTACCGTAGCTCACCATTATGGAGTTTTGTGATCTGATAATACAAACTTACCATCTATTCTGTCATTTGGCAATGTGACCAATAGTAAAATTACACAATACAATTGTTTCTTTTCTTTTATCTCTTTAACAATAGATTTTCTGATAGGCATATTTGTAATTGCCCACAGCAACATTTCCCTGCACCTTCCTAATGTTGGGGCTCAGAAAACAATACCCCAAAGCATGGTGTTTAGCATGCTTACTACTTTAAACTGGAGGACATTGGAAGGGCCTTAAAAGCCCCTCTCTAACCTTCTCCTGTCCTCCTGTCTCCCGTTCTCCCCTCTTCCAAGGCAGGCCATAAAAACTGAACTCCTCTTCCCCATAGTGGGTCATAGAAACTAGAAATATTGCCCTAAACTTCCCCCACCTTTCTGTGTAAAGAGCTGGCAAAAAGAAATCTCTGTCCTACCTTGCCTGATAGTAGTCCTAAGACCCGTGTTCCAGAAGAGGTCCTGCCCTACACCTGGGAGGAAAAAATGCTATACAAAGAGGTCAAGATGAATCTGAACAAATAGGCTTTGCTGGGTTTCCTGCCTTAGTCTATTACCATTAGACCATACCCGTTTAACTTTTTTAATAGAGAAGATGTCTTACAATGTTGACCAGGTTGGTCCTGAACTCCTGGGCTCAAATGATTCTCCCCCCTCGGCCTCCCAAAGTGCTGGGATTACAGGAATGAGCCACTATGCTTGGTCCGCCTATATCCTTTGTGTCTAATCACATTTCTACACAGTTGTCTATACTTAATTGAACCTAAGCATAAAAACTGACAATTTTCCCAGAGTCTTTGGCTCTTCATTTCTGAAGCCTCTCATGTCACATGCAACTTTGATTAAATAAATCTGTTAAGCTTTTCTCTTGTTAACCTGTCTTTTGTTATAAGAGTGCTGGCTGTGGCCCTTATAACATATGTAGCGGAGTAAAGGTATTACAGCCTTTCTGCCCCTTCATTAACATGTCTATTCTTTTAGATAACATATTCTGTTACCCAACTATATTCCAGTTCTCAGTTTGAAATCACCAATGTTTCCTAAGTTTCCTTTGTTGATTATTCATTTTTAATATAATGCTAAGGAGAAATCTGAGGACACAAGTAGCAGTCTTGATCTCTTTGTAATTGTTGTATCATCTATAGAAAGCATCTTCTTCACTCTTTTCTCCAAGTCATACATGATATCATCATTAACTACTATTTTCACTGGTTTATTTGAGTATTTTTCTCTTTCTTTCATTATATTAGATTTAGCATACTCTACTCAAATTAATTTGGCTCTATTGAAGCACATCTCCTATTTTTATGAAATGCATTAACTAAGAGTTCAATCAACTAGTATTTTAATCCATAGGACATAAATACGACTCATATTCATGAGGAACATCTGCATATGCAGCTGTTGACCTCCCAAGTCATCTTCCCTGTTCTATCAGTATTAGGTAGAAATAAACCAATAAATTAACATCTGAGCTCCTAATTCCTTCTGCTTCTATATTTGCTAGATATTTTACCATGAATATTTTACTTCTATAATCACAAAAAAACTTTAAAGGAATTTAAAATATAATTCTAAGGACTTTGGAGAAGGACTTACATTATACAAGAAAAAAGAAAGAAAGGAAAGACAAAATTCTGCCTAATTGAAAGGTCATGGTTTATCCTTGTGCAGTTACTTGAAATTCAGTAAAATATCAACATCTTCAGAAATAGTTGCTGATTCTCTTTTCATGGTAATACAAAAAGAATAATAATAATGAGCTTTGGTAAAATATTTTCTATAGGTCTCCTTAGCTCCAATGCTTACCTAACTTCACCTGACGGATATCATTTCTTCCATTTTCAGCTGAGGAAACTGAGGATCGGGCACATTAAAGCACTTCCCCACTGTCACTCAGCCAGTTACAGGCAGAGCCAAGATTTGAACAAAGTGTGTCTAACTCATGTTCTCCCCAGAATGCCAACATGCCTATTTGTGTATTGAAAGTCAATGTAAGAATTTCTCTGACTACTGCAGGCCCATCTTTTATGAGGCTCCCAAGAGAAGTTTCATACAATGGATCAAGAATCAGAATAAAGTCAGACTTCTCAAGTGCCACACTGGAAGCTGAAGGTCAGGGCACAATGACTTGAAAACCATTTCCTAGATTTTATTATTTCCAAGAATTATTTGCTACAATTCCATAATAGCCAAACTACCAGTTATATGTAAAAATAGAATAAAGGCATTTTCAACACTTTTTGTGCAGCTTCTTAAGAAGATGAAATTGATGGAATATCTGATGTGTTTGAACATATTGAGAAAAGATAAATTAATAAGTACATAGAAAACAAAACAAACAATAAAGAGTATTATTAACCTCAAGGAAAACAGAAAGCTGTGCATACATGCCTACTGCATGGTTCAGATTTCAAGAGAATATACAAAGTCATAGCAATGTAAACATTTAATTTTTATCTAACCAAAATTATAATATAACCTGATTGAGAGGATGAGGGAGAAGAAGTGTATGACAGCATATGTATACACTACTGAATATATATGCTTGGGGTAGAGGGTAAGGAAAAACATTAAATCTTTCATTTAAACAAAAAGAAGCTATCATCCCTCATAGAAAGGAGTCAATAGGTAATACCTATAACTGAAAAATAAACAATACAAGTTTGTTGTTCAAATATTTGGTAATACATGGTCAAAAGCAAATGGTTAAATTGTTGGAATTGGTTGTCTCTGAAAATGGGAAGCAAGAGGATAGAGGGGTCTGTTGTTTTTTGAAACAAGTTGTGGTTTATTATATGACCCTTTAAACTGTGTGATTAAAAAAAAAAGGAAAAAGAAAAAGAAAACTAATCTCTTTAAAAAGAGAGAGAGAGAGAGAGAAGGAAAAAGTTGTTGCTCTCAAGGTGTCCATGAATTAATGGAAGATGTCAACTGGTAATTGGTTAAGTGGTATGAAAGGCATGTACAAGATGTTCAGGGACAACATAAGAAGGTACAATTCATTCTTCCTTGGGCAGAAGGAGGTGGTGAGAAGCTGCATAGATTAGGTCTTCTTTGGATAGGCCTTAAATTTTCAATTAGGAATTTTTCAGTCTGAAAAGGGGAAAGCTATTCTAATCTAGTCAGGGAAAATAGCATTAGCAAAGGCATGGAAGCATGAAATTGCCTTTCAATTCTCAGGAACTCTGCATCATTACTATGGCTAGGCTATTCTGTACATCCAGACGAATAGTAGACGATGGTGCTAGAGAGAGTATTTGGGTGTATATTGCAAAAACAACTTATATATCAACCCATAGAAAGATATTCTTCAAGTTACAAATTCAACCACATATATTGAGTAACATCGCCATCTATCTAGTGGCTTAGTCCATAACTCAGGAGTCATCTTTCACATTCCTTATCTCTTAATTCACATTTCTCATCCATCATCAACTGACACTCCCTTTGAATAGATGTAGTCTTGTGAGTAAGTAGAGTTGGGAGCTTTTGTGCAGTGCTTTAGCTATACAACTGTATGGGGCAAACCTTGTCCACCTAAGTCCAAATTCCCACTATCTCTTACCTGTAATCTCACAAGAGCTTCCTAACTAGTATCTAGGCATGACTCTTTTCCTTCCATTCTTCACTTGCAGCCAGAATGATCTCATCAAAATGCAAATCTTACTATGTTAACCGTCCTATTTAGAATACTTCAGTGACTTTCCATTTCTCTTGATAAAGATCAATATCCTTAACATGGTCTTCAAAACTCTGCAAGGTCAGGTCTGAGCATAACTCCATCATGTCCCAACATGACATGGAGCTATGTCTGCCCTCCAGTTACAATGGCTTTATTTCATAATTTGAACCTTATGTGCCCCTCCACCATTGGTCCTTTGCATATGATGCTCCCTCAGCTCAAATACTGTCTTCCAGTACCTCCCACCACTTTCACCACCACTTTCACAATTATTTGATTAATTTCTACTCATCCTTCAAATGACTGCCCTCAGGATACCATACATAAGTCCTTTATGGTACTGATCATAATTATAAGTTCAAATTCATTTGTAAGATCATTTGATTAAAGCCTATCTCCCTTCTAGACTGTAAGTTCAATGTGAGCAAGAACTAAATCTATATCAATATATATTTGTTTAACTCATGAATGAATAAATAGCACACTTACTAAAACCTACCAAAATTTTTTTAAAAGCCTTAGAGAACAATAGAAAATTCTTATATAGCAGAAATTCCAGAAAAAGTAGCTCTCTGATGCCATGAATACTATCTAAATGGACAAGTTGTCCTGAAATAAAATAAGAAATATATAAAATATATAAATAAGCATAAGATAAATTTGGAAGTGAGCTCCTAAATGGCACGCTTAAGACTTTCTGTCATCTAAAAAATGCAACAGATTTTTACCATGTTTTAGAGGACTCGCCCTTAATCCTCTCTGATTCCTATCCAATCTTTTTAAAAGTCAGCAGTGTGCTGAGAACAGACTCTGAGGAGGTTGATAAAAATAAAAGACTTTTTCAATAGGTAGTCTCCCCTTCTATTTCCTTCTGAGTAAAAAGAGATGTTATCTTCACAAAGCTTCTAGCCATCAGCAGGCCAGATAATCCATCTGGTTTTTTTAATTAAATAGACTAAACACTGCTTCATTTGAATTGGACACTCTCCAATCTTTCTAAAGTTTTTCTACCCACAGAGCAGCTTATCTATTAGAAAAAAATTCAAGGATGATACATCATTTTTCAGTCTTTTACTAAAAGTAGAGATTCCAATTTGCTAACATATTTACTTCCTTAACCCATTATAAACCAGATGATATCTCCAGAAAAACAATGATTAATGTTTTAGTTTAATTAACTATGGATGTTTAAGTGCTATTATGTCTTCTCTTTTTAGATTAGTTGCAAGAACAAAGAATAAAATTACCAATAAAGAGTTAACAGGAAAATTTCTTTATTTTATTAACAATAACTCAATAAGTCACCAAATAGCAAACCATAATGTTCTCAAAGAAATTAGTTGCCCACCTTTGTCCATTCATTTATACAACAAAGGCTTGTATTCATTACTTGTCAGCCACTCTACTTGACTAGGGAAAAAAGAGATGAAAGTTACAGTTCCTGCCTTCAAGGAGCTTGCAGTCTAATCAGGGAGAAAGAAAAAAAATACAGCTTGATAGATGCCAAGACATATTTTGGTCATTCCAGTTGAAAGAATTATCTTCAAAAAAAAAGAGACAGCAGCAACTTAGGCTGAGGAAACTGCATAAACCTTTGAAAAATAAAGGGCTGTAGAAACCGTAAAGGGTGAAAGTGATGGCTAGAAAGGTGAATAGAATCTTTGTTAAGAAAGACCTTGAATATCATGCTGGAGAGTTTGGATTTTATTCTGAAATTGAAGAGAAAGGATCACAGAAGGCTTGTAACATCAAATATCTCATTTAGAAAAATTATCTTCGCAGTGATATGGAAATGAGTTTGAAGAAAGAAAAAATTTCCATTCAATCTAAATGCAACTCCTAAAATAAAAGACAGTTTCATATTACTACAAATGTAAAAAGAATAATGTTACACTTAAGCAGACTGTCTAGAGAGGTTTGAAATACTGTGTAATACCTTTGCAATTCAAATAATTAGTTACAAAAACTCAACAACCCCAGCTCCTTAAATATTTAAAACTTAGTCTCAAAATTATCAACAGTTATTTTCTAACTTTATTTTTAACATGACCAAACAGCCTTAGCATTCCCTTCTGCTTAACTCAACTTTAGACAAGTTTCTCCTCAATATAAGCCCCCAATCTCTCTTCTTACAGTATTCACTTTCAGAAAACTTTCAATTGTCAGTTCTTTTTTCTGCTCCTTTGAGATTGTAAACACAATCTAGGAAAGTCTTTCTCAAGAACTTAAGAGCCATCCCTTTGAAATGTAATCATCAAGAAAGACAGCTTCTATCTCTCAGTCTCTGTTGGAAGGTAGAAGTCTAACTTCAATAAGCACCAATGAGCAACATACATGGCCTAATCACACTGACCAATCTACTCCCTAATGCCCTCCAATACTCTTCCAATAGCTCACTCTAATGCTTATAAAACTCTCCTACCTTTTGCTTCAACAGAGTTGAGTACAATCTATCCCATATTGCCATGCTTAGAGCATTCATCCATATCTCCTTTGTCTTGCTAATCCCTATTCATCCTTCACATCTCAGCCTGAATGTCATTTCCTCTAGAAAGTCTTCTGTGGTACTAGCCATCTAAGTCTAGGTCAAGTACATTCCTCTACTTTAAGACAGCATTTATTACACTTCATTAGTTGCCCATTTACTTGTCCTTAGACTCTATTAAGTCTCCATCAGGATAAGGAGCATATTTGATGTGTTCACCATAGTACATATAGTTTTAATGAATAAATATTTGTTGAATAAATTAATGAATGATGATAAAAATCGCCCAGTTTTCCACTCAAGCCAGCACACTGATTAGGCTCCTGACATTTCAGAATAGAATGCTAACTTTGTTACCTTCTTATCTGTTTTTATCCCATGCGGTCCTGCCTTCAGTCATTCATAGAAAGGATTCTATGCCCTTGTCAAAAAATACAACCTCAAATTGTCTGTTTTCCTCTTTCTTTACAGACCTAGGCAAGAAAATTTGAGACAAATTGCCCTAAAAGAAAACGATCTGCCTTTTTTTCTCTACATGCTCTAAACTATTTACAAAGTCTAAGAAAAAGACAGTTTCACATTACTATAAAAATAAAGATAAGAATCAAGTTGGACCACCAAAAGTCTACATAGTTGGACCATATTAGTTTAGTCCCTCAAAGACTCACCTGGGCCACTACTACATTTGAAAACTCCATGGGCATTATGCACTGAGAAATTTGTGTGAAAGGCACACACACATACTTTATAGTCTGTTTGAATAGCATCCCCTGGAGTTATATAAAGCACAATGGCCTTGAAATCACCTCTATCAGGTTGCTCTATGTGCTAAGTCTCCAGCTTTAATTTTAAGAAGCCAGAAACAGACACAAAAAAATTCACCCCTGGGTTATCAGTAAACATATTGTTAATGAAATTTTCCTCTTCAATAATTAGCATCCAACAAAGAAATATATTTTTGAATTTGATGTTAGCACAATTCCAATGCCAGTTTCTTGAAGAAAGGTAGTAAAACAAACCACTATTAATTCTAGAGGAAAATTCTGAAGGCTCCTCATCCCTCCCTGTCCCCATTCTCTGTGTCCATAAGAAGGAAGAGTCTTCTTGTAAACTAGACAAATTCCAAGGTAATCTTTGGGTTATAGTGCTAGGTATCTTTTGAGAATGTCTAACTTCCATGATGCTGGAGACATAAGATAGAACTCAAGTATTTCACTTTTGGGGGAAGAGGCACTCTCTCCACCTATACCTCATTGCCTTCTTTCCCCTTAAACAGCTATGTGGGAACCAGAGAAAGCTTGAGGGAAAAGGAGTGCACTTTGATCGGACTCTTCTAGGGAAAAAAAGTCCTCCAGAACTAACCTAACTCACTAGCCTTCAGGACTTCCCTGGGGTTTTGAGTTAAATCTCAGGTTAAAAAAAATTATATCCCACAAACACCTCTACGCAAATAAACTAGAAAATCTAGAAGAAATGGATAAATTCCTCGACACATACACCCTCCCAAGACTAAACCAGGAAGAAGTTGAATCTCTGAATAGATCAATAACAGGCTCTGAAATTGTAGCAATAATCAATAGCTTACCAACCAAAAAAAGTCCAGGACCAGATGGATTCACAGCCGAATTCTACCAGAGGTACAAGGAGGAGCTGGTACTATTACTTCTGAAACTATTCCAGTCAATAGAAAAAGAAGCAACCCTCCCTAACTCATTTTATGAGGCCAGCATCATCCTGATACCAAAGCCTGGCAGAGACACAACAAAAAAAGAGAATTTTAGACCAATATCCTTGATGAACATTGATGCAAAAATCCTCAGTAAAATACTGGCAAACCAAATCCAGCAGCACATCAAAAAGTTTGTCCACCATGATGAAGTGGGCTTCATCCCCAGGATGCAAGGCTGGTTCAATATACACAAATCAAAAAACGTAATCCAGTATATAAACAGAACCAAAGACAAAAACTACATGATTATCTCAATAGATGCAGAAAAGGCCTTTGACAAAATTCAACAACTCTTCATGCTAAAAACTCTCAGTAAATTAGGTATTGATGGGACGTATCTCAAAATAATAAGAGCTATCTATGACAAACCCACGGTCAAAATCATACTGAATGGGCAAAAACTGGAAGAATTCCCTTTGAAAACTGGCACAAGACAGGGATGCCCTCTCTCACCACTCCTATTCAACATAGTGTTGGAAGTTCTGGCCAGGGCAATTAGGCAGGAGAAGGAAATAAAGGGTATTCTATTAGGAAAAGAGGAAGTCAAATTGTCCCTGTTTGCAGATGACATGATCGTATATCTAGAAAACCCCATCGTCTCAGCCCAAAATCTCCTTAAGCTGATAAGCAACTTCAGCAAAGTCTCAGGATACAAAATCAATGTGCAAAAATCACAAGCATTCTTATACACCAATAACAGACAAACAGAGAGCCAAATCATGAGTGAACTCCCATTCACAATTGCTTCAAAGAGAATAAAATACCTAGGAATCCAATTTACAAGGGACGTGAAGGACCTCTTCAAGGAGAACTACAAACCACTGCTCAATGAAATAAAAGAGGATACAAACAAATGGAAGAACATTCCATGCTCATGGGTAGGAAGAATCAATATCGTGAAAATGGCCATACTGCCCAAGGTAATTTACAGATTCAATGCCATCCCCATAAAGCTACCAATGACTTTCTTCACAGAATTGGAAAAAACTACTCTAAAGTTCATATGGAACCAAAAAAGAGCCCACATCACCAAGTCAATCCTAAGCCAAAAGAACAAACCTGGAGGCATCACACTACCTGACTTCAAACTATACTACAAGGCTACAGTAACCAAAACAGCATGGTACTGGTAGCAAAACAGAGATATAGATCAATGGAACAGAACAGAGCCCTCAGAAATAACGCTGCATGTCTACAACTATCTGATCTTTGACAAACCTGAGAAAAACAAGCAATGGGGAAAGGATTCCTTATTTAATAAATGGTGCTGGGAAAACTGGCTAGCCATATGTAGAAAGCTGAAACTGGATCCCTTCCTTACACCTTATACAAAAATTAATTCAAGATGGATTAAAGACTTAAACGTTAGACCTAAAACCATAAAAACCCTAGAAGAAAACATAGGCATTACCATTCAGGACATAGGCATGGGCAAGGACTTCATGTCTAAAACACCAAAAGCAATGGCAACAAAAGCCAAAATTGACAAATCGGATCTCATTAAACTAAAGAGCTTCTGCACAGCAAAAGAAACTACCATCAGAGTGAACAGGCTACCTACAGAATGGGAGGAAATTTTCGCAACCTACTCATCTGACAAAGGGCTAATATGCAGAATCTACAATGAACTCAAACAAATTTACAAGAAAAAAACAAACAACCCCATCAAAAAGTGGGCAAAGTATATGAACAGACACTTCTCAAAAGAAGACATTTATGCAGCCAAAAGACACATGAAAAAATGCTCATCATCACTGGCCATCAGAGAAATGCAAATCAAAACCACAATGAGATACTATCTCACACCAGTTAGAATGGCAATCATTAAAAAGTCAGGAAACAACAGGTGCTGGAGAGGATGTGGAGAAATAGGAACACTTTTACACTGTTGGTGGGACTGTAAACTAGTTCAACCATTGTGGAAGTCAGTGTGGCGATTCCTCAGGGATCTAGAACTAGAAATACCATTTGACCCAGCCATCCCATTACTGGGTATACACCCAAAGGATTATAAATCATGCTGCTATAAAGACACATGCACATGTATGTTTATTGCGGCACTATTCACAATAGCAAAGACTTGGAACCAACCCAAATATCCAACAACGATAGACTGGATTAAGAAAATGTGGCACATATACACTATGGAATACTATGCAGCCATAAAAAATGAAGAGTTCATGTCCTTTGTAGGGACATGGATAAAACTGGAAACCATCATTCTCAGCAAACTATTGCAAAGACAAAAAACCAAACACCACATGTTCTCACTCACAGATGGGAACTGAACAATGAGAACACATGGACACAAGAAGGGGAACATCACACTCTGGGGTCTGTTGTGGGGTGGGGGGAGGGGGGAGGGATAGCATTAGGAGACATACCTAATGCTAAATGATGAGTTAATGGGTGCAGCACACCAACATGGCACATGTATACATATGTAACAAACCTGCACATTGTGCACATGTACCCTAAAACTTAAAGTATAATAATAATAAAATAAAAAAAGAAAAAAAAAGTATATCCCTTTTTCTGGTATTGTCCTCTACAAACATATTTCCCCTGAGGGGCAGTAATGAAAGTGTGGAATGAATCTTTGGTGCACTACTTTATTTCCACAGACGTATTCATTTTGAAAGATTTAGGAATAGCCAAAATTTTCAAAAGGGAAAATTAGTGAGGCTTTAAACATTAAAATATATTTAAAAACTGTAACAATTGTTAAATGTGGCATTGCCAGACAAGAGAAATTGAATAGAAGCATTTTAAGTAGGAGAATGACATATTCAGATTTGTATTTTGTAAGAGAATGTGGAGAATGGATTACAAGAGGGCAAGAGTAGACACTAAGACAACAGTTTAGAAGTTTTATGGTAATCCAGGGAGGAAGTCAAAAGGGCTTGAACAAATGGAAATGGAAAAGGGAATGGAGATAAATGGACTGATCCAAAAAATATTTTTAAAATTACAGTCATCACAACTTGCTAGTTGATATGATGGAGGTGAGAGAAAGAACAGGTGTGAATGGTGCTGAGTTTCTTGAATTTACTACATGGTGGATGTAAAAAGAGAACAAAATTTAAGGACCTTTCAAATTTATTATGCCAAGGGGAAAAGTTAAGCCTTAATGCTTTCCAAACAGCTGCCCTCACACTTTGCACTTGAATAAACTCTTTTAACTGGATCCTGAGCCTTTTGATTATTTTAGGTTGACATGGATAAAGATGCCTTTCACAGAGACTGGAAACATAGTAGGGGGAGAAAGTTTGAAAGGAAGATATTAAATGGGGTTTGAGATATTATTAGTGTAAGATATATGCATGATAAACAAATAAAGATAAGAAAGTTGTTGGGTTTGATTTAAAAGATAATTGTGAGACCACGCACGGCAGCTCATGCCTGTAATCCCAGCACTTTGGAAGGCCAAGGCAGGCAGATCGCTTGAGGTCAGGAGTTCAAGGCCAGCCTGACCAACATGGTGAAACCCTGTCTCTACCAAAAATATAAAAATTATCCTCCCGGTTCAAGCATGGTGGCAGGCACCTGTAATTCTAGCTACTCAGGAAGCTGAGGCAGGAGAATCACTTGAACCCGGGAGGCGAAGTCTGCAGTGAGCTGAGATCGCGCCACTGCACTCCACCCTGGGTGACAGAGTGAGACCCTGTCCTCCCAACCCCCCCTCCAAAAAAAAAGATAATTGTGACCTAGAGATGTAGATTTGGGAGTCAGCACCATAGAGGTAATTCTTAAAGCCATGACGGTGCTGAATAGGACCCAAGAGAGTATACAGAGAAAAAAAGTATGGCAAAACCTTGAGTATTACCTAAAGAATGGTAAATAATGGACAGCAAGAAAGGATTCTGCAAAGGGGACTGAAAAGGAGCAAGACAGAGAAACTGGATGAAATATGGGAGAGTAACATGCCAGAGCAACTACTGGAAGAGGGTATTTCAGGAAAAAGAGAGTGTGACTGGGTCAGCAGCATCAAATGCTACTGATAAGTCAAGTAATAGTAAAAGGAACTGGAAAATGCCCATTGGACTCAGCTACAAGGAAGTGAGGACCTTGACAGAAGTACTTCAGTGAAGTGAAAGGATGCTATCTGCAAACAGATTGAAAAATAAATGCAAGTAATGAAACAGCAACAGAGCACATGAACAACATTTCCAAGAGGCTCGAATGTAAAGTAGAAAAAGAAAAAGGAGAAAAATAAGGCAGGATTAGAAGGAGTTGTTGCTACAGGGAGATTTTATTGATTTGATTATTGTTTTTGAGTAGTAATTTTGTGCTGTTGTTTTGTTTTAAAATAGGAGAAAACTGAATATGTTTAAATGCTTATGGGAAGGTATGGGAGTCGGCCTCCAAAATCACCTCCATGATTCCTGCCTCCTGGTATTCATGGCTTTGTGTAGTTCTCTTTCCACTTCACAATGCCCGAACTCTCACATTCAATAGGACAGACCTATATAAACAATAGGATAATACAGAAATGAAGGTGTGTGATTCCTTCATGAAGCTAAGTCATAAAAGGCATTGTAATTTCTTTCTTTCTTTTTTTTTTTTTTTTTTTTGAGACGGAGTTTCACTCTTGTCACCCAGGCTGGAGTGCAATGGCACGATCTCGGCTCACTGCAGCCTCCGCCTCCTGGGTTCAACCAATTCTCCTGCCTCGGCCTCCCGAGTAGCTGGGATTACAGGCTTGTACCACCATGCCCGGCTAATTTTTGTATTATTAGTAGAGACGGGTTTCACCATGTCGGCCAGGCTGGTCTCGAACTCCTGACCTCAGGTGATCCACCCACCTCAGCCTCCCAAAGTGCTGGGATTACTGATGTGAGCCACGGTGCCTGGCCAAGACATTGTAATTTCTTCCTTGTTCTCTTGGATTGCTAAGCTCTGGAGGCAGCCAGTGTCATGTTGTGAAGACACTGAAGTAGTCCTTTGAAGAGGTCCATGTGGCAGGAAACTGAGGCTTCCTGCCAATAGCCCTCTAAGTGAGACATCCTAGAAGTGGATTTTCTAACCCTAATCAAGCTTTCAGATAATTGTCAGCCTTAGCAGACATCTTGACTGCAACCTCATGAGAGACTCTGAGCCAAAATCACCCAGCTTAGTCATTATCGGATTTCTGATGCACAGAGACTGTGAGGTAATAAATATGTGTTGTTTTAAGCTGGTAAGTTGTTATGCCGCAAAAGATAACTAATACACGTTATGGTATTAAAGGAAAGAAGACCAGGTGAGGTGGTTCATGCCTGTAATCCCAGCACTTTGGAAGACCGAGGCGGGCGGATTACCTGAGGTCGGGAGTTCAAGACCAGCCTGCCCAACATGGTGAAACCCCATCTCTACTAAATATACAAAAATTAGCCAGGTGCAGTGGTGCACACCTATAATTCCAGCTACTCTGGAGTCTGAGGCAGGTGAATCGCTTGAACCCGGGAGGCAGAGGTTGTGGTGAGCCGAGATAGCGCCACTGCACTCCAGCCTGGGCGACAGAGCAAGACTTCGTCTTAAAAAAAAAAGGAAAGAAGTTAAAAATATTTTTAAAAAGGAGGAAATCATTGATATGCAACATATCTGGGGACATAGAAGAAGGAAGTGTTCTCTAAGTGAAATGAACAGCCTCAAATGGAAGAAAGAGTGCCTCTTTCATTTCACAGGAGGAAAATAAAAGGACGGCTGTATTAGGTCAAGTTGTTTATCAGTAGCAGGGAATGAGGAAGTATGCATCCAATGTTCTGTTTTCTCTGAAAAGGAGAAAGTGGGGTTATCTGTTAATAATAATGGAGGAAGTGGAGGGGTTTAACTTGAAGAGGATAAAGAAATTTTAAGTAGCTGCTGTGAAAAATAGGAAAGACATGACTAAGGAACCATAAAAGGATTTCTCAATAGCATTGAGATCCCAGTTGATGTTAGAGATCATGAATTTTTTATATAACCAATCTGTGAATTTTCTCCAAAATAGAGGTGAACTACAGGACTGTTGGCAAATCCTCACAAAGCAGCTTTGAATCACACTTCAAATTAAGACAAAGTTGCCTGCACTGTGATCTAATCACAGCTTGACAATTAAAAATGGCATGTGTGATTGAAGAGAAGCACGGTGCTTTACATCCAAAAGAGATGGAAAACTATATGGCTAAGGAAATTCAAACTAATCCCCCAACCATTGTTGTATAGAGCTATGGCTATGTATCTAGCTTCTTTTAAAATGGCAAGAAATCCAATAGTGTAGAAAATTATTAGAAATATTTTCTGGGTATTAGTGATTCATTATTTCTTGCTCTTTCATCTAAATACCTTTCCTTTCTCTTCTAGTCTCTCCTGTTACTTTAATAGGCAACCATTAATAGATCCTAATGAAACACTCCCAAAAAATAAGCAAAAAATACCTCCCTTCATGCTGAGATTTAATAAATTGCATTCTTCAGAAATGGCCCATCAAATATGTTTACCCATTGAATGCAACGTATACATAAATTTAATCTAACAAATAACTCAAGAAATAATTGCTATGATCTAACATATAAACTTTTCTCTCTAAAATAGATATCCATGATTCAAATTCAAATGTCAGAGCAGCAGTATATAAACCACCGTCAATCAAGCTTGTTCTAGTTTGTCTCTTTAAATACTACTTTTTAAATTCCAAGATAAACCAGGCTTAGAAAGACTTATACAGTCCCACCATGCATTAGCAGAACAAGAAACAATACCTTAAATGTGAATGCTGCCCCCTTGTTAATCATATTCATTAAAGAATAAAATATTTTATACAAATAAAAATTTTTAGGCCCCGAAGTATGGAATGTAGTATTTTTCAGCCATGACTTTTTAAAGAGGTATATTTCTAAAAATACCTTGGGCTTTATTTCAGTAAACAATAACACACAATAATACAAACAGATACACTGTCAAGTCATTATTCCCATCCTTATTAAGGCAAATAGCACCACAGACTAACCTGAAACACTATAAATAATGAGAGTGTTAAACTGAATTCAATGAATAATTCATGAAACCCAATTCTTCCAGTTTCCTTGGCAGTACTCTCACAGCCAGATGAAACAATGCAGAATGATTACAAAGATGTATCATCTGTATTATTGGGGTATATGCCTTATCTGTTAAACTACCTCATTTATTTAAAAAATAATAATCATCTCACAGCTACTTAGTATTCTAAATGTTTGCTTTTGTAAGATAATGTGACGCAAATATACCTTACTGGAGTTTGAAAATGAGATAATGTCCAAACGATGTCTGCTTCACATTCAGGACCTGATTTAGGAGTGAACTGAACCTCCAAGGGTAACATGGCACACCCTGTGACTCTCAGAGACACTGTGTTGCATTCCTGATCCAGCACTTCACCAAGATGAACGAGTTCAGTGTCATCAAAAAGGATCTTGGGAGTTAGTGAGCAGAGAGATTGGTTCTATTTCTGGATCTGCCATTGACTTAATTTGACCTCAGCCAAGTAATGAAACTTGTCTAGATTTTCATCCCTAACTCTTTCACATGAGACTATGGACTGGAATAACTATGAGGCTCCTTCTGGTCTTCATTTTCAGCAGTCTACATCATTACCAAACCAATTTTCTAGCTTCCAGCCATATTCTACTAAATTGTAAGAATCATGAATGCAGAGAGATGTTTTGTTCACCAATGTATCCTCAGCACCTAGCACAGCATTGGAGTATTTCAACATATATTTAATGAGTAAATGAACTAACCTAGTATAATTGAAAAACACAATATCAATCCCAAATGTGTTTCTTCTTTAACACAATGTTTGACACAGCAAAAGTTTGGAATTGCTAAAGCCCTAAACTGCTGACAAAAACTAAAGATAAGAGAATCATTACATTCAATAAGAAATATCTTAGTGTTTGGCTTTCTGTCACTGTCAGAGCAATATATTTTTCAAAGTTTATGGTAGAGCAAGTATTGAACTTTTGTTTTTCTATTGCTCAGAGTAGCTAGGCTTAGGTCTCGCATTCTGAATAATCAGCTGGCTATTCGTTTTGATAGTAATCCTATTGCAAAGCTATAAATCCTCTCCCTCTTCCAATATACAGATATGAGCATATATGCACACTTAAGCCTATATCTCTTCTCAAAACACAGACTTAAAAACTATACACACTAAGAAAAGGTTTAAATCATGGAAAATTCTAGAAGAGACTATTCTATAGCTTCTGCCAACTTTATACCTGCCACCAGTCTATCTTGTGATTTATTCCCATTGTCTGATTGAAGCTCTGCCCTATGGAATTTTAGCATTTTCTCTAATAATTGAAGATTAACACTCTGTTACTACCCTCAGAAATTCTTCCTGATCTAGGCCAGCAGTGGCAGTGAGGGAGAAGCATTTTAAGTTTTGGTTTCCCAGATATCTGAAATTTATTCAAGCAGATTCTTATAACCACTCAAAAATAGGAAAAAAAGATATTTTATATCTAATAAATGCCTCTGTGATAGATGATTTCTACCATATTGTGCTTTGTATAATAATGATACAATATGAAAGGTTATAATGTAAACTAAAAAGTATAGCAGATTAAGTCCAGAACCATTGAATAAAGTAACAGTGGTGAACCTTATAAAAGACACCCAATATTTATTCTACCATTGTCCCATTGAATAATAAAACTATGGTTTCAGAATTGTATCTAAGCTTAAGTTTGCTAATAATTTGTTCAAGAATGAGTGGAAACATACCTCGTTTAATTGTGCTTCACTTTAGTGTGCTTCTCAGATGGTGTATTTTTTTATAAATTGAAGGTTTGTGGCAACCCTTACATGGAACAAGTCTATTGGCACCATTTTTCCAACAGCATATGCTTACTTCCTGTTTCTGTGTCACATTTGGTAATTCCCACAGTATTTCAAACTTTGTCATTACTATTATATCTGTTACAGTGATCTGTGATCAGTGATCCTTGATGTTACTATTATAATGTTTTAGGGGCACCAAGAACCACTCCAATATAAGATGGCAATTTTAATATATAAATATAATGTGTGTTTTGAGGGCTCTGTCTCTCTCCCTCTCCTTGGGCCTCCCTATTCCCTGAGACACAACGCCATTGAAATTGGAACAGTTAACAACCCTATAATAGCCTGTAAGTGATCAAGTGAAAGACGGAGTTGCATGTCTCTCACTTTAAATCAAAAGCTAGGAAAGATTTAGCTTAGTGGGGAAGTTGAAAGCAAAATAAACAGAAGGCCAGGCCTCTAGCACCAGTTAGCCAAGTTTTGAATGCAAAGAAAAAATTCTTTAAGGAAATTAGAAGTGTTATTCCAGTGAACACATAAATAATAGGAAAGCAAAACAGACTCATTATTGATAATAAAGTTTGAGTGGTCTGCAGAGAAGATCAAACCAGCCACAAGATTTCCTTAAGCCAAAGCCTAATCCAGAGCAAGGCCCTAATAATTCTTTTTAATTCTATCAAGGCTGAGAGATGTGAGGAAGTTGCAGAAGAAAAGTTAGAAACTAGCAAAGGTAAGTTCATGGGGTTTAAGGAAACAAGCCATCTCCATAACATAAAAGTGAAAGGTGAAGCAGCAAGTGCTAATGTAGAAGCTAAAAGAAGTTATCTCAAAAAATCTAGCTGAGATCATCGATGAAAGTGGCCATGTTAAACAACAGATTTTCAATGTAGACAAAACAGTCTTCTATTGGAAGAAGATGCCATCTAGACTGTAATAGCTAAAGAGGAAAAGTCAATGCCTAGCTTCAAAGCACAGGTTGACTCTTGTTAGGGAATAATGCAGCTGGTGACTTTCAGTTGAAGCTAATGATCTTTTATCAATCCAACAATGCCAGAGACCTTAAGAGTTGTGCTAAATCTACTCTGCCTATGCTCTAGAGATGGAAGAACAAAGCCTGGATGATTCACATCTATGGATAACATGGTTTACTGAATATCTTAAGCCCACTGTTGAAACCCACTACTCAGAAAAAAATTTCTTTCAAAATATTACTGCTCATTGACTGTTCACCTGGTCATCCAAGAGCTCTGATGGAGATGTACAAAGGGATTAATGTTATTTTCATGCCTGCTATTACAACATCCATTCTGCAGCACATGAATCAAGAAGTCATTTCAACATTCAAGTATTATTATTTAAGAAATATGTTTTGTAAGGTTATCACTGCCATAGATAGTGACTGCTGTCATGGATCTGGGCAAAGTGCATTGAAAATATTCTGGGAAGAAAAATCACCATTCTAAATGACATTAAGAACACTTGTGATTCATGGGAGGAGACTGAAATATCAGCATTGAAATAGTTTAGATATTTGTCCACTTCTAATCTCATGTTGAAATGTGATCCCCAATGTTGGAGGAGGGACCTGGTGGGAGGTGTTTGGGCCAGGAAGGTGGATCCTTAATGAATGGCTTAGTGACCTCCCCATGGTAATAAGTGAAGTCTTGCTCTATTAGTTCACACGAAAGCTGGTTGTTTAAAACCAGCCTGGCATCCCCCTCTTGCTCCCTCCCTTGCTATGTAACACACAAGTTCCCCCTTCACCTTTTGCCATGATTGTAAAATTTGAGGCCTCACAGAAGCCAATCCTGGTGCCACGCTTCTTTTACAGCCTGCAGAGCTGTGAGCCAAATATACCTCTTTATAAATTACCCAGCATCCAGCATTTCTTTGTAGCAATGCAAAATGGACTAATATAAACCTTAACAAGAATTTGGAAGAAGTTGATTCCAATCCTCTTGGATGACTTTGAAAGCTTCAAAACTTCAGTGGAGGAAGTAAGTGCAGATGTGATAAAAATAGCAAGAGAACTAGAATTAGAAATGGAGCCTGAAGATGAGACTGAATTGCTGCAATCTCATGATAAGATTTGAACAGGTGACGAGTTGCTTCTTATGGATGAGCAATGAAAGTGGTTTCTTGAGATGAAATCTACTCCTAGTGAAGATGCTGTGAACACTGTTGAAATGACAGAATAAGATTTAGAATATTATATACAGATAGCTGACAAAGCAGCAGCAGGGTTTGAGAGGGTTGACTCCATTTTTAAAAGAACTTCTACTATGGGTAAAATGCTAGCAAATAGCTTTGCACATTGCAGAGAAATCTTTCATGAAAGGAAAAGTCAAACAATGAGGCAAACTTATTATTGTCATATTGCTGCAGCCACCCCAACCTTCAGCAACCACCATTCTGATCAGTCAGCAGTCATCAACATCAACACAAGAGCCTCCACCAGCAAAAGGATTATGACTCACTGAAGGTTCAGATGATCATTGGCATTTTTTAGCAGTAAAACATTTTTAAATTATGGTATGTAGGTTGTTTTTTAGACATAACGCTATTGTATACTTAACAGACTGCAGTGTAGGGTAAACATAACTTTTTATGCACTGGGAAGCCAAAAAATTCACATGACTCACTTTATTTCAATATTCACTTTATTGTGGTGGTTTGCAACTAAACCCACAAATCTCTGGGATATGCTTGTAGTGGCATAATTATTATCAATTAGACATGAAAAGAGAAATGCTAGAAGCCTCTAGAAATATTATTCTTTGTTTATAAAACAGAGTGAGAAAAAACTTGGTGTCTCCTACAGCTGGACAGCTGCACATGAACAAGAAAACATGTAGCTCAGTTGCAGCCACTTAAAAATCACAAAGGGAATCAGCCTTAGTTTGAAGCCTGACATTGCAGATGGCATAATAGAAAACAGAAAGAAGCTAGGTCCATAATGCCATTAATGAGCTACTAAAGCAGTTAAACTTGTAGCCTACCTTACTTCTAGATGCTCTGTTATTTGAGAAAACAAATGTCCTCGTTTAAATTAGTTAAGTTGGGGCTTCTCTTACTTGCAGGCCAAAGAATTCTATCTGATATATATAGTTATCTATTTGTGGAATTTTAAATATGCATATAATTAATGTGATTTAAGATTTTTTTAAAACAGGCCAGGCATGGTGGCTCACGCCTGTAATCCCAGCACTTTGGGAGGCCAAGGTAGGTGGATCACCTGAGGTCAGGAGTTTGAGACCAGCCTGGCCAACATGGTGAAACCCCGTCTCTACTAAAAATACAAAAAATCACTGGGCATGCTGGCAGGTGCCTGTAATCCCAGTCACTCGGAAGGCTGAGGTGGGAGAATCATTTGAACCCAGGAGGCAGAGGTTGCAGTAAGCAGACATCGCGCCACTGCACTCCAGCCTAGGCAACAAGAGTGAGACTCTGTCTCAAAAAAAAAAAAAAAAAAAAAAAACCAGAATTTAAAAAATAATAGCAAACCTGTGAAGAGTTCTGCCATACATAATATATAATTATACACAATAGCCTTCTCTGAGCACATAGTCTACTAAGCAAATATTTCCTATTTGATTTATCAAGGTTTGTTATCTATTCACAAGCAATTTTTTTTAAAAGTTAAACGTAAAAGACATACTAGGAATAAAACTGTATGTGTCAGTCTGTCACTCTGGAAAGAGCTTTATGGAAATAAAAGATGGAAAAGGCCTGTTTGATTTGTACCTTTTCCAAGACATGACAGTTCATTACCACATACTTTCTTGTTAAAATTATACAATGGGTCTCAATCCTGAGGCATTAGTGGATAAGGTGACTTCTAGCTGGGATTGAAATGAGATTTCCCCCCACCCCAAGGAATAGTACTACAAATACAATCAATTGAACTACTGAGGGATTTCACCCTACTCTATAAGACTCCTAGTCTGTTCCAGCGTGATAATTTCTAAATACACAAGAAAAATTAAATTCAATGTAAAAAGTTACTTCATGCCCTCAGCTTCCACACAACCAGGAACAGACATAGTTCCATGTGGAAGTAAACTTTCTAAAAGATCATTCTGCTAGTTATAAATTTTAACTGACCTGCCAATTTTCTAAGGGCCACAAAGACTACCTCAATAATCTAACTTGTCCTCACACCCTAACCACACATCAGTCACATTAATGTAGTTGGGCTTTACAGTTTCTTATATTTATTCTTCGATGTTTTTATTTATGAAGGCTCCTTTGTTTCGGATGAACTCCCCCTCCCCTCATTTATCCCACATTCCTCTCCTCTTCTTCCTCTTCTCTGCTCTTCTGCCACGTTTTCTCTCTCCTTCCTCTTTCCTTTCCAATTCCTACTCATCATTTCAGGTCTAATTCATATCTGACGACGTGCCGAAAACCCTTCCTGAGCACTTCTCTCCTCTGAATTCCTATGAAGGAAAGTCTGTACTACACAATCCCAACATGTCTTGATTTAATAAGGCAAAATGGTATAACAAAGAGCTTAGTCTTTAAGATGAAACAAGTGTTCAAAGCCCAGCTCTGACACTCTTTAACTCTGTGACTTGTATCAGACCTTCAACAAAGAGTACAGATTATTATTACCAATAACAATGGGAATAAATGATTATTAAATCCTGATTCTGCTAGTTAGTACCTTTATGATCTTGAGCAAGACATTTAACCTACCAGAACCTCAGTTTCCCTATGTATAAAATGAATAACATCTGTCCTACTGACCTCATAAAATTGTGAGAATTGAAATAAGATTATGAGAGTAATAGCGTTTGTAATGATTATACAAATATCTACGTGATAGATTCTGTGAAATAAAAATAAATCCTAAGCACCCCCAACCAACGGAATGAACCCTTCTTGGCCAAGGAGACTCCAGAAAAACTTGAAAAACTAAATTTTTGAGCCACGACAAGATGGGAGGTTGGTCACACCTCAGTACACTCTCTTCTTTGCTAACCATTCTCAGACTTTTATTTTCTTTTACTAAGAGTTAAACAGAAACCAGCCCCATAAAACAAAGAACAAAAGACACACTCCTCCACTAACTTCAGTCAACTGCCTGACGCTGCAACCAGACTCTCCTCCATTTCTGTGGTTTCAACATGGCAGCTGACCAGTTTCACAAAGCATCCTTCCTGATAAATGACCACTAATAGTGAATGGTTCTGACTAGTTTACTAAGGCTGCACACTGAGCATCGTTGTGTGCTGTTTTAGCTTTTGAGGTACAGAGCCTAATTTTACTGCATTTTTTCTTGTTCTTTGTCTTTTTTTTTTTTTTCCAGAGACAAGTTCTCACTCTGTCACCCAGGCTGAAGTACAGTGGCACAATCGTGAACTCCTAGGCTCAAGCAATCCTCTTGCCTCAGCCTCCTAGAAGCACAAGTCATCATGCTTGGCTAATTTTTTCTTCATTTTTTTGTAGAGAAACTCGGTGAGATATGAGAGAATACAGACAGATAATGTAACAAAATCAGAAAAACAATTTATGATTTGAATGAGATAATCAGCAAAGAGATAGATATAAAAAAGAGCCAAACAGAAATCTGAGAGCTGAAGAATTCAAGAAATGGAATAAAAAATATAACTGAGAGCTCCAACAATGGACTAGACCAAGCAGAAGAATTTCTGAACTTGAAGACATATGTTTTAAAATAACATAGACAGACAAAAAAAGAAGAAATAATTTTTAAAAATTAAGAAAGCCCACAAGATTTATAGGACACCATTAAGCAAACAAATATTCAATCATTCATGTTTCAGAAAAAGAGAGGAGAAAGGTATAGAAAACATATTCAATAAAATAATATCTAAAGCCTTCCCAAATCTTGGAAAAGAAATTGATATCCAGGTTCAGGAAGCTCAAAAAACCTCAAGTCAATTCAAACCAAACAGGTCCTCTCCAAAACACATTATATCAAATTGTCAAAAGTCAAAGACAAAGAAACAATTCTAAAAACAGCAAGAGAAAAGCATCAAATCAAATATACAGCAATCTCCAATAGATTAACAGGGAATTTCTCAGCAGAAACTTTTCAGACCAGGACAGAGTGGGATGATATATTAAAAGTACTGAAAGAAAAAAACGGTCAGCCCAGAATATTATAGCCAGCAAAACTATCCTTCAGAAATGAAGGAGAAAAAAATCATTCACAGGCAAGCAAAAACTAAGGTAATTCATCACCAATAAACCAGCCTCAAAATAAACAATAAGAGAGAAAGTAAGGAACAAATGATATACAAAACAACTAGAAAACAATCAATAAAGTGACAGGAGTAAGTCCTCACCTATCAATAATAAACTTGAATGTAACCAGATTAAATTCCTCATTTAAAAAATATAGACTGGCTGGATATATTTTTTAAAAAACAAGACCCAACTGTATGCTGCACAAAGAAACTCACCTTGCCTATAAAGACATACAGACTGAAAGTGAAGGGATGAAAAAAGATACTCCATGCAAATAAAAACCAAAAGTGAGCCAGAGTAGCTCTGCTAATATAAAACAAAACCACAAAAGATACTGAATAGCGAAGGCAATCCTGAGCAAAAGAAACAAAGCTGGAGGAATCACACTATCAGCTTCAAAATATGCTCTAAAGCTGTAGTAACCAAAAAATCATGGTACTGGCATAAAAACAGACACAGATATGAATGGAACCGAATAGAGAATTAGAAATTAATCCACATATCTACAGCCAACTGTTTTTTGACAAAGGTGCCAAGAACCCTCATTGGGGAAATGACAGTCTCTTTAATAAATGGTGCTGGGGAAAGTGGATATCCACAAGCAGAAGAAAGAAATTACACCCCACCTCTCACCCTATACAAAAATCAACTCAAAATGAATCAAAGACCTAAATATAAGACCCAAAACTGTAAACTATTAGAGTAAAGCATATGGGAAACATTTTAGGATATTGGTCTGAGATTTTGTAAATAAGACCTCAAAGCACAGGTTTAGAAAAAAGCAAAAATAAACAAATGGGATTATATTAAACTAAAAAGCTACTGCATAGCAAAAGAATCAATCAACAGGGTGGAAAGACAACCCAGAAAATGGAAGAAAATGTTTACCAACTACTCATCTGATAGGTGATATTTTAATATCCAGATATTAATATCCATTTAATATCCAATACAAGGTACTTGATGTAATTTGGATATTTGTCCCTGCCCAAATCTCATGTTGAAATGTAATCCACAATGTTGGAGGTGGGGCCTGGTGGGAGATGATTGGATCACTGGGGCAAGTGTCTCGTGAACGGTTTAACACCATCTTCTTGATGCTGTCCTCACAATAGTGAATGAATTTACATGATATCTTATTGTTTCAAAGTGTCTGTTAGCCGGGCGTGGTGGCTCACGCCTGTAATCCTAGCACTTTGGGAGGCCGAGGTGGGAACATAACTTGAGGTCAGGAGTTCAAGACCAGCCTGGCCAACACGGCAAAACCCCATTTCTACTAAAAATACAAAAATTAGCTGGGCCCGGTGGCATGCTCCTGTAGTCCCAGCTACTCAGGAGGCTGAGGCAGGAGAACTGATTGAACCCAGGAGTCAGAGGTTCAGTGAGCCAAGATCGTGCCACTGCACTCCAGCCTAGGTGACAGAGCAAGACTCCATCTCAACAAAAAATTTTAAAAAGTGTGTGTCATGTCCCCGCCAACTCTCTCTCTCTTGCTCCTGCTTTTACCATGTGATGTGCCTGCTCCCACTTCACCTTCTGCCATGAGTAAAAGCTTCCTGAGGCCTCCCCAGAAGCCAAGCAATGTCAGTACCATGCCTGTACAGCCTGCAGAATTTTGAGCCAATTAAATCTCTTTTCTTTATAAATTACCCAGTCTCAGCTATTTATAGCAATGCAACAGCCTAATACAGATCTCAAACATCTCAATAGCAAAAAACCAACAATCCAATTTTTTAAATAGGCAAATGATCTGAATGGACATATCTCAAACGAAGACATACAAATGGCCAATAAATATATGACAAAATACCCAACATCAAGAATCACCAGGGAAATGCAAATCAAATTCACAATGAGATATCACCTTACCTCAGTTAAAATGGCTATTATTTTATTTTATTTATTTATTTATTTTGAGACAGAGTCTCGCTCTTGTTGTCCAGGCTGGAGTGCTATGGCGCAATCTCAGCTCACTGCAACCTCCGTCTCCCGAGTTCAAGTGATTCTCCTGTCTCAGCCTCCCAAGTAGCTGGGATTACAGACATGCGCCACCATGCCCAGCTAATTTTATATATTTAGTAGAAATGGGGCTTCACCATGTTGGTCAGGCTGGTCTCGAACTCCTAACCTCATGTGATCCACCTGCCTCAGCCTCCCAAAGTGCTGGGATTACAGGCATGAGCCACTGCACCCAGCCAAAATGGCTATTGTCAAAGAGACAAAAAATAAGAAATGCTGGTGAGGATGTGGAGAAAAGGGAAGTCTTATACACTGTTCATAGGAACAGAAACTAGTATAACCACGACAGAAAACAGTATGTGGGTTCCTCATATAACTACCACTAGAATTACCATATAATCCAGTAATCCCACTACTGGGCATTTATCCAAAGGAAAGGAAATCAGCACATATTTATCGCAGCACTACTCACAATAGCCAATATATGGAGTCAATCTAGGTGTCCAATAAGAGATGAATGGATAAAGGAAATTTGGTCCACAATGGAATACTATTCAGCCATAAAAAAAGAATAAAATCCTGTTATTTGTGGCAACATGGATGGAACTGGAGGACACTGTGTTAAGTGAAATAAGCCAGGAACATAAAGTTAAACACCACATGTTCTCATTCATATATGGAAGCTAAAAATAAGTTGAATTCATAGAAGTAAAAAATAGAACAGAGGATACTAGAGGCTGGGAACAATAGGGGTAAAGAAGGGATAAAGAAAGATATCTTAAAGAATACAAAATTGGCCAGGCGCAGTGGCTCATGCCTGTAATCCCAACACTTTGGGAGGCCGAGGCGGGCAGATAACAAGGTCAGGAGATCGAGACCATCCTGGCTAACACGGTGAAACCCCGTCTCTACTAAAAATACAAAAAAAGATTAGCCATACCTGGTGGCGGGCTCCTGCAGTCCCAGCTACTCGGGAGGCTGAGGCAGGAGAATGGCGTGAACCCGGGAGGCGGAGCTTGCAGTGAGCAAAAAAGAAAACAAAATTACAGCTAGAAAGGAGGAATAGGTTCTAGTGTTCTATATCACTGTAGGATGACTATAGTTAATATGTTATATAATTTCCAATAGCTAGAAGAAGAATATTAAACATTCCTAACTTAAAGAAATGATAAATGTTTGAGATGATGCTAATTACTTGATCTGATCACTATACATTACATGTAGTACAATATCAATGTGTACCCCATAAATATACAATTATTATGTATTAATTTAAAAAAACAAAATAGGCTGGGCACAGTGGCTCATGCCTGTAATCCCAACACTTTAGGAGAGCAAGGCAGGTGGATCACTTGAGCCCAGGAGTTTAAGACCAGCCTGGGCAACATAGAAAGACTTCATCTTAACAACAACAACAAAAAAATTAGCCAGTATGGTGGTGCATGCCTATGGTCCCAGATATTCACGAGGCTGAAGTGGGAGGGTAATTTAAGCCTGAGAGGTCAAGGCTGCACTGAACTATGATCAGGCCACTGCACTCCAACTTGGATGACAGAGTGAGACTCTTGTCTCATAATAAATTTAAATAAATAAAATCTTTTTAAATATGCAGTTGTTCAAAAATATGAATAAAACCACATAAAAAGTGCATTTTACAAAAGACTATGAAACATACCAAATTCTTAATAGTAGTTTTTATGGCAGGGACTAGAGGGTTGTGCAAGTGAGGCACTTAGGACACAAAATTTAAGGAGCCAATTGCTCATCTCCTGCAAATGCAAGGTTAGCCTCCTTAAATTTTGTGCCCAAAATAATATCCTGGATACCCAGATAAAGTTGCATTGCTGGGACGACATTGATGGTAATAGCAAACAATCAGGAATGAGCCGTCGCTTCTCTAACCTCCTGCCTTCCAATCTCCCTCTACTGCTCCTGGCAGATCCTAACAGGAAACTAGCCAAGAACAAATAGTTGGCAGAATCCCAGACCCAGTATTACCAATTATAGAAGGTCAACTTCGAGGTGGAAAACAATGGCTTAATAATTGGCACACCAATCAACAAAAACTTCCCTAGGAATAATATAACCATTTTTCTTTTAATCAAACTGCATGTAAAAATAAATTCTGACAAAGAGCAGAGTCTCAACTCCCAGCTAGAAGAAGGCATGGAGCAAAGACAGGTGTACTATTGTGGGTTTCAATGCAGTGAAAGGACTTGCCTTGAGTTGGAAATAGAGCCTGCCTGAAATTGTTTTTACTCAATATATGATTTTCAATATATGATTTCATGGACCTGGAATGATGAACCTTCTAAAGAAATAACTCAGTGATAATATAGGTAACATAAGGTTGTATTTGACAGCATGAATAGTGAAGCCAAAATTTATTTAGCCAAACTACATAAAAGACATTCTCAAGAAACTCACTAGAAGAGACACAATTCACATTCAAATTACCTACTTTCAAATCCTTGCTCCACCATATAAGGGCCTAGTCACTTTAGACAAGCTACCTAAATTCTTTGTGCTTTAGTTTTCTCATCTATAAGGCTAACATAACAATAGTGACTACATGATTGTGCTACTGTGAAAATTAGTTAATCCACATGCAGTGATTAAAGAAGTGCATGGAACGTGATAAATGCTTAATAAATCTTGGCCACTATTTCTGGCTATTGATTAAATTTCTTCCTTTAGTTTAAAGAAATCTCGTTAGTTCAAAAAAGCATAAATGTGTCTTGAGATAACACTTTATTATTTGTTATTTATACTACGGTGTAAAGAAAAGAATGAGGGTAGATTTAGAAGAGAATATAAGGAATCAATAGTGAAGATTTAGGAAAACATGAGAGTACTAAGTTTGTAAAAAAAATAAATGCTAGGATATACTGCAATGGCCAAGTGTGGTGGCTCACGCCTGTAATTCTAACACTTTGGGAGGCCGAGACACACAGATCACTTGGAGACAGGAGTTTGAGACCAGCCTGGTCAACATGGTGAAACCCTGTCTCTATTAAAAATGCAAAAATTAGCTGGGGGTCGTGGCACACGCCTGTAATCCTAGCTATTTGGGAGGCTGAAACAGGAGAATCACTTGAACTTGGGAGGTGGAGGCTACAGTGAGCCAAGATCACGCCACTGAACTCCAGCCTGGGTGACAGAGCAAGAAAGAGAAGAGAAGAGAAGAGAGAGAAGGAAGGAAGGGAGGGAGGGAGGGGAGGGAAGGAGGGAGGGAAGGAAGGGAGGGAGGGAGGGAGGGAAGGAAGGGAGGGAGGGAGGGAGGGAGGGAGGGGAGGGAGGGATGGAGGGAGGGAAGGAAGGGAGGGAGGGAGGGAGGGGAGGGAGGGATGGAGGGAGGGAAGGAAGGAAGGAGAGAGAAAGAGAAAAACAGAAAGAGGGAGAGAGAAAAAGAAAAGAGGAGGAAGGAAGGAAGGAAAGAAAGAAGGAAGGAAGGGGAAGGGAAGGGAAGGAAGCAGGAAAGAAAGAAGAAGGAGGAGGAGGAGAAGGAGAAGAGGAGGAAGAAGGAAGGAAGGAAGGAAGGGAGGGAGGGAAAGAGAGAAAGAGAGAAAGAAAGAAAAGAGGGAGGGAAGGAAGGGAGGGAGGGAAGGAAGGAGAGACAGAAAGAGAGAAAAAGAGAAAGAAAGAGGGAGAGAGAAAAAGAAAAGAGGAGGAAGGAAGGAAGGGGAAGGGACGGGAAGGGAGGAAAGGGAAGGAAGGAGGGAAGGAAGGAAGGAGAAAAGAAACAAAGAAAGAGAAAGAGAGAAAGAGAGAGAGAAAGAAAAAGAAAGAAAGAAAAAGAGAACAGGAAGAAAGAAAAGAAAAAATAAGAAGGAGGAGGAGAAGGAGAAGGAGGAGGAAGAAGGAAGGAAGGGAGGGAAAGAGAGAGAGAAAGAAAGAAAGAAAGAAAAAGAAAGAATATACTGTAAGATCTACAATATTTTGCTCATAATTATATTCCTTGCATAGTGTCTAACACATAAGAAGTCTCACTAATTATTTGTGGAATGAATTACTTGAATAAATTTAGTAATTAAGGAGTGTTGAAAGTAAACTTAATGTAATTGACATTTCTGCCTCAGTTCAATCTAGAAGGAGGCTGTACAATGCTTGAAGTGAGTTGATTGGCCTAAATATGGAACAGAAGGATGTAATATTCTTCTTTCTCTTCCACTAAACAAAATAATTGTTGTTTGGGAGGAGTTGAATAGTTACCTAGAGGTATGCAAAGGATACAAAGAGTAAATAAAAGACGTTCTCAAGAAATTCACTAGAAGAGACACAATTCACATGCAAGAAATAATTGACATTATCATCAGAAAGCAGCGTATAGCAAAGAACTATATTGTCTGGAATAAACAGTAAATGCCATAGCAGTTTAGAGATAGAACAGACAAATCATTGACCTTATAGAGGCTACAAGAATTCATCTCTCCTGCTCCACACAACACTCCCCAGTAGCAATGGCTCCTAAGGTCCTGGAGTAACATAAATTAAGTCAGAGATAATTTGACTGGCAGATTCTAAGATTTTATTGGTAACATATCATAATTCATTTACATTATGGAGATCAAAGAGGATCTCACCCTGACATAGAGAGAAGCTTTTATGAAGATCTTCTAAGTCTCCATATTACAATAACGTTATAAGTTTTCATCCATTCCTCCCCTGTCTCAATATACATCTATATCCATTTAACAAGGAAAGAGGAGGAGAGGGAGGAGGAAAAGGCGTTTTGTCAGGAAAGCTTGCTATCTTTGTCCTAAAATGTTTCTAACTCTATCAATGTTTTATCTTATTCTTTGATCTATCAAATAGGCCACAATGACACTCCTTGATCCCAGAAGACAAGCCTCAAAAATCTTAAATATATATACAGTGAAAGAAATCAAGGCGGGTGCTGTGGCTCACGCCTGTAATCCTAGCACTTTGGGAGGCCAAGGTGGGAACATCACTTCAGATCAGGAGTTCGAGACCAGCCTGGGCAACACGGTGAAACCCCATCTCTACTAAAATACAAAAAATTAGCCAGGTGTGGCAGCATGCACCTGTATTCCCAGCTACTCGGGAGGCTGAGGCAGGAGAATTGCTTGAACTCGGGAGGCGGACGTTGCAGTGAGCCAAGATCACGCCACTGCATTCCAGCCTGGACAACAAAGTCAGACTCCGTCTCCAGAAAAAAAAAAAAGAAATCAGTCTTCACCATTCCCACATTAGCCTTGTTTTCTGAAGTAGTTGTAATTGATCCTCAGAAAAAGAGTCTCCAGAACTCAGCTAACTGGTTTTCAAATAGTAAAATGTTTTCAAGCTATGCTTTACAACTGTTTAGTGGATTGTGATATCAATTATTTTAATCATGTGATATATTTGTATATAAGTATACATATGTTGAGTCATGACACAAAATGCATTCTTACTATGGATCACAAGTCAAAATGTTTGAAAAACACTAGTCTAATCTGTTAACAGGGAAGAGATCAACAAAGGAAATTCACCATATTGACACTCAGACATACAAAGCTCTATTAACATTATTTTCAGCAAAAGAGAGAAGATAAGTGATCTGATTTGTCTGACATCCTTATAATTAATGTGTTAATTATTAATAGGATAGCACGACTTGCTTCCTCTCATGGAAGGATCTGAAGAAAACTTCACACATACGTTTTGGGTTCACTCTCCTTGACCACTTACAATGTAATGGCTGTTATTTCCCCAGGTCTGTAAATAAAGGCATATGCCTAGGAGTGCTGAAAAATTCATGTGTCTATATATATAATATAAGGGTGTAAAAGTTATATGTCTATGTATAGAATACATAAGTGCAAAATGGCATTTTTTTGTTAATATGGGCATTACTGGACCTGTCCGTAATAATTTAGTTTGTTAAGGAGACTTTATCAGATAGAACACATGTAGCATAGCCCATTACCTTGTAGGGTATGGGAAAGAATGCCCTAAAGAAACAAGCTACAAGTTATGATAAGCTGTCTGTAAGCACTGGATAAAAGCCTACAACTGGGTGGCCATTAGGACAGCTGACAAGGAAGACAGACCAGTGTATGTGTGAAATGGCTTCCTTGCTCATTCTTATCCTGCTGTTTCTTCCTTATGCACCATAGAAAGGTCAGCCCAACTGGTGCCAAACAGCCTTGAATATTAATCCAGCAAATTGCTTTTGTCACCATAAATGCTCATTATTTTATCATTTCTTTTTCTTCCCTCCTTTAGATGATGTGCATTACATGTTATATGTTATATATGCTAAACTAACAAATTTATAATATTGGTTGTTTGCTACACTTTGTGTATAAAGCTATTCAAATAACATCTTCCTAAGAAAATCATTTTATCTCATCTGCACAAACTCTCAATCTAAAAGAAACAGAAAGGCTAAGGAAAGCATACACAAATTCCCACAGAGCAAAATAAATTTGTTTCACTTTAGTCTAGCTCTTTATCCCCAAACATGGTCATTATACTACTTAGAACTGACATAAACAGGAGAAATAAATGCATAAAGGAGGGGAGGCTGGGTAGAAGTACTTATTTAGTGCCATTTTTATAGCTCTTAGCAATTTTACAAAAGCACTTAAATATACATTATAACATTTAATCCAGATTACATTGTGATGCAGTAAACAATATTACTTATCCTCATTTTTCAAGTAAAGAATTGAGGCTCAGAAAGGTAAAAATAAAGCCAAGACTCAAACAGAGTCCATCTTTTTCTTCCATATACCACACTGCCCCTCTACTGACCCAAGATGATTGGGGGTTCTTCAAATGGGATGAGTTGAAACTCTGAAAACAAACAAATAAAAAAAACATGTAGGGTGGCATATAATCCCAACCCCTTTTGACCTTACCTATAATTGTAATTCTATACAATGCTGCATAGGTATCATAAATATCTGCTCTTGTCACAGCTCTCTGCTACCAATAATTATCATGGCTCACAGCCATCAAAAGCAGTAGCACTAACTGTCCAGAACTGAGCAAATACTCCAACTGTACCCATCCTCTCATGGCAAAACTAATTTCTCTATTTGAACCTAACAATTAATTAGACATAAATTTCTAAATGCAGGGTCAAAATCAGGAAGTACTGTCATGTTTATTCTATGTGTAAAATATAACTACAAGGTAACCAATGAACCCAAGTAAGAGTAGTCCTAGGACATTTGCTCATTTACATGGGTGTGTTTAGTGGGAAAATCTGTGTCAATGCGAAAAAACAAAAATAGCTTCCCCAGCAACTCAATCTTTTTTTATTATTATTATTATACTTTAAGTTTTAGGGTACATGTGCACAACGTGCAGGTTAGTTACATATGTATACATGTGCCATGTTGGTGTGCTGCACCTATTAACTCGTTATTTAACCCCCAGCAACTCAATCTTTCCTGATCTCCTATATCTAAGAAAATGATAGAAAAGATTTTAAACTATTAAAAAGGGAAGATCACTTTGATGAAGTTAGCATTTTATTTAAATGTGTGTGTGTATTATATATATATCTCACTGGCTGCCTTGCACATTTGCTATATATACATATACAGCAAATATATATAATATAAATAAAAATATATATATATATAGCAAATGTGCAAGGCAGTGCCTGCCACAACCACCACAAAAAAAGTGATAGTGGTAGAGCTTCAGAGACCCTGTGGTCCAGTCCACTGGGAAATGGGCAATAACTGCTCTTTATATCTTGTCTTGATGCTCTACTTTTTATCACTGTCATGCTTTCTTCCCCATAACATCAGCCTATAAATCTGTCTCAGAACTAAAAGTTTCTAATTGAGATCTCTCATATCCACATAGTATCACAGAAAAAACAACTCTGAATCACCCCTTGCCCTGATTTAATAATAGATAACATCCCATAAATTGAACACTGTAATAAAAGTATGACAGAGTCTTCTTAGAGCATTGTTCTGCTCAGTGGAGTAATGGCACAAGGACTCCTCGGATGAGCTTGCCACTGTTTTAATAAAAAATTTTAAGGGGTTATAAAAAGTCTATGAGAATTTTACCTTATGGTTAAGCTAATTAAGATTATATAAATTTGGAGGTAGGCAGATCACAAGGTCAGGAGATCGAGACCATCCTGGTTAACATGGTGAAACCCCGTCTCTATTAAAAAATGCAAAAAATTAGCCAGGCGTCATGGCAGGTGCCTGTAGTCCCAGCTACTTGGGAGGCTGAGGCAGGAGAATGGCGTGAACCCGGGAGGCAGAGCTTGCAGTGAGCCGAGATAGCGCCACTGCACTCCAGCCTGGGTGACAGAGTGAGACTCTGTCTCAAAAAAAAAAAAAAAAAAAAAAAAAAGATTATATAAATTTGAGTTCCAAGATGGCTGAATAGGAACAGCTCCAGTCTACAGCTCCCAGTGTTAGCAACACAGAAGACGGGTGATTTCTGCATTTCCAAATGAGGTACCAGGTTCATCTCACTGGGGCTTGTCAGACAGTGGGGGCAGGACAGTGGGTGCAGCCCACCAAGTGTAAGCCGAAGCAAGACGAGGCATCACCTCACCGGGGAAGCACAAGGGGTCAGGGAATTCCCTTTCCTAGCCAAGGGAAGCTGTGACAGACAGCAAGTGGAAAATCGGGTCACTCCCACCCTAATACTGTGCTTTTTGAATGGTCTTAGCAAACGGCACACCAGGAGATTATATCCCATGCCTGGCTCGGAGGGTCCTATGCCCACATAGCCTCGCTCATTGCTAGCACAGCAGTCTGAGATTGAACTGCAAGGTGGCAGTGAGGCTGGAGGATGGGCGCCTGCCATTGCTGAGGCTTGAGTAGGCAAACAAAGCCACTGGGAAGCTCGAACTGGGTGGAGCCCACTGCAGCTTAAGGAGGCCTCCCTGCCTCTGTAGACTCCACCTCTAGAGGCAGGTTATAGCTGAACAAAAGGCAGCAGAAACCTCTGCAGACTTAAATGTCCCTGTCTGACAGCTTTGAAGAGAGTAGTGGTTCTCCCAGCACGGAGTTTGAGATCTGAGAAAGGACAGACAGCCTCCTCAAGTGGGTCCCTGACCCACAAGTAGCATAACTGGGAGGCACCCCTAAGTAGGGGCAGACTGACACCCCACACAGCCGGGTAGCCCTCTGAGATGAAGCTTCCAGAGGAGCAATCAGGAAGCAACCTTTGCTGTTCATTAATATTTGCTGTTCTGCAGCCTCCGCTGCTGATACCCAGGCAAACAGGGTCGGGAGTGGACCTCCAGCAAACTCCAACAGACCTGCAGCTGAGCGTCCTGACTGTTAGAAGGAAAATTAACAAACAGAAAGGACATCCACACCAATACCTCATCTGGACGTCACCATCATCAAAGACCAAAGGTAGGTAAAACCAAAAAGATGGGGAAAAAAGAGAGCAGAAAAGCTGAAAATTCTAAAAATCAGAGTGCCTCTCTCCCTCCAAAGGAAGGCAGCTCCTCGCCAGCAACAGAACGAAGCTGGATGGAGAATGACTTTGATGAGTTGAGAAAAGAGGGCTTCACATGATCAAATTTCTCCGAGCTAAAGGAGGAAGTTTGAACCCATTGCAAACAAGCTAAAAACTTGAAAAAAGATTAGACAAATGGCTACCTAGAAAAACCAGTGTAGAGAAGATGTTAAATGACACGATGGAGCTGAAAACCATGGCACGAGAACTACGCAACAGATGCACAAGCTTCAGTAGCCGATCAATCAACTGGAAGAAAGGGTATCAGCGATGGAAGATCAAATGAATGAAATGAAGCGAAAAGAGAAGTTTAGAGAAAAAAGAGTAAAAAGAAACGAACAAAGCCTCCAAGAAATATGGGACTATGTGAAAAGACCAAATCTACATCTGATTGGTGTACCTGAAAGTGACGGGGAGAATGGAACCAAGTTGGAAAACACACTTCAGGATGTTATCCAGGAGAACTTCCCCAACCTAGTAAGGCAGGCCAACATTCAAATTCAGGAAATACAGAGAACACCACAAAGATACCCCTCTAGAATAGCAACTCCAAGACACATAATTGTCAGATTCACCAAAGTTGACATGAAGGAAAAAATATTAAGGGCAGTCAGAGGGAAAGGTTGGGTTACCCACAAAGGGAAGCCCATCAGACTAGCAGCAGATATCTCGCCAGAAACTCTACAAGCCAGAAGAGAGTAGGGGCCAATATTCAACAATCTTAAAGAAAAGAATTTTCAACCCAGAATTTCATATCCAGCCAAACTAAGCTTCATAAGTGAAGGAGAAATAAAATCCTTTACAGACAAGCAAATGCTGAGAGATTTTGTCATCACCAGGCCTGCCCAACAAGAGCTCCTGAAAGAAGCACTGAACATGGAAAGGAACAACCGGTACCAGCCACTACAAAAACATGCCAAATTGTAAAGACCATTGATGCTAGAAAGAAACTGCATCAATTAATGAGCAAAATAACCAGCTAACATCATAATGACAGACTCAAATTCACAAATAATAATATTAACCTTAAATGTAAATGGGCTAAATGCTCCAATTAAAAGACACAGACTGGCAAATTGGATAAAGAGTCAAGACCCATCAGTGTGCTGTATTCAGGAGACCCATCTCACATGCAGAGATACACATAGGATCAAAATAAAGGGATGGAGGAAGATCTACCAAGAAAATGGAAAACAAAAAAAGGCAGGGGTTGCAAATCTAGTCTCTGATAAAACTGACTTTAAACCAACAAAGATCAAAAGAGACAAACAAGGCCATAACATAACAGTAAAGGGATCAATTCAACAAGAAGAGCTAACTATCCTAAATATATATGCACCCAATACAGGAGCACCCAGATTCATAAAGCAAGTCCTTAGAGACCTAAAAAGAGACTGAGACTCCCACACAATAATAATGGGAGACTTTAACATCCCACTGGCAACATTAGACAGATCAACAAGACAGAAAGTTAACAAGGATATCCAGGAATTGAACTCAGCTCTGCACCAAGCAGACCTAATAGACATCTATAGAACTCTCCACCCCAAATCAACAGAATATACATTCTTCTCAGCATCACATCACACTTATTCTAAAATTGACCGCATAGTTGGAAGTAAAACACTCCTTAGCAAATGTAAAAGAACAGAAGTGTTAACAAACTGTCTCTTAGACCACAGTGCAATCAAACTAGAACTCAGGATTCAGAAACTCACTCAAAACCGCTCAACTACATGGAAACTGAACAACCTGCTCCTGAATGACTACTGGGTACATAAAGAAATGAAGGCAGAAATAAAGATGTTCTTTGAAACCAATGAGAACAGACACAACATACCAGAATCTCTGGGACACATTTAAAGCAGTGTGTAGAGGGAAATTTATAGCACTAAATGCCCACAGAGAAAGCAGGAAAGATCTAAAATTGACACCCTAACATCACAATTAAAAGAACTAGAGAAGCAAGAGCAAACACATTCAAAAGCTAGCAGAAGGCAAGAAATAACTAAGATCAGAGCAGAACTGAAGGAGATAGAGACATAAAAAACCCTTCGAAAAATCAATGAATCCAGAAGTTGGTTTTTGAAAAGATCAACAAAACTGATAGGCCACTAGCAAGACCAATAAAGAAGAAAAGAGAGAAGAATCAAATAGATGCAATAAAAAATGATAAAGGGGATATCACCACCAATCCCACAGAAATACAAACTACGAACAGAGAATACTACAAACACCTCTATGCAAATAAACTAGAAAATCTAGAAGAAATGCATAAATTCCTGGACACATACACCAGCCCAAGACTAAACCAAGAAGAAGTTGAATCCCTGAATAGATCAATAACAGGCTCTGAAATTGAGGCAATAATTAAGAGCCTAACAACCAAAAAAAGTCCAGAACCAGACGGATTCACAGCCGAATTCTACCAGAGGTACAAAGAGGAGCTGGTACCATTCCTTCTGAAACTATTCCAATCAATACAAAAAGAGGGAATCCTCCCTAACTCATTTTATGAGGCCAGCATCATCCTTATACCAAAGCCGGGCAGAGACACAACAAAAAAAGAGAATTTTACACCAATATCCTTGATGAACATTGATGCAAAAATCCTCAATAAAATACTGGCAAACAGAATCCAGCAGAACATCAAAAAGCTTATCCACCATGATCAAGTGGGCTTCATCCCTGGGATGCAAGGCTGGTTCAACATATGCAAATCAATAACTGTAATCCAGCATATAAACAGAACCAAAGACAAAAACTACATGATTATCTCAATAGATGCAGAAAAGGCCTTTGACAAAATTCAACAGCCCTTCATGCTAAAAACTCTCAATAAATTAGGTATTGATGGGATGTATCTCAAAATAATAAGAATTATTTATGACAAACCCACAGCCAATATCATACTGAATGGGCAAAAACCAGAAGCATTCCCTTTGAAAACTGGCACAAGATAGGGATGCCCTCTCTCACCACTCCTATTCAACATAGTGTTGGAAGTTCTGGCCAGGGCAATTAGGCAGGAGAAAGAAATAAAGGGTATTCAATTAGGAAAAGAGGAGATCAAATTGTCCCTGTTTGCAGATGACATGATTGTATATTTAGAAAACTGCATCATCTCAGCCCAAAATCTCCTTAAGCTGATAAGCAACTTCAGCAAAGTCTCAGGATACAAAATCAATGTGCAAAAATCACAAGCATTCTTATACACCAATAACAGACAAACAGAGAGCCAAATCATGAGTGAACTCCCATTTACAATTATTTCAAAAGAATAAAATACCTAGGAATCCAACTTACAAGGGATGTGAAGGACCTCTTCAAGGAGAACTACAAACCACTGCTCAACGAAATAAAAGAGGACACAAACAAATGGAAGAACATTCCATGCTCATGGATAGGAAGAATCAATATCGTGAAAATGGCCATATTGCCCAAGGTAATTTATAGATTCAATGCCATCCCCATCAAGCTACCAATGACTTTCTTCACAGAATTGGAAAAAACTACTTTAAAGTTCATATGGAACCAAAAAAGAGCCTGCATTGCCAAGACAATGCTAAGCATAAAGAACAAAGTTAGAGGCATCACACTACCTGACTTCAAGCTATACTACAAGGCTACAGTAACCAAAACAGCATGGTACTGGTACCAAAACAGAGATATAGATCAAGGGAACAGAACAGAGCCCTCGGAAATAATACCACACTTCTACAACCATCTGATCTTTGACAAACCTGACAAAAACAAGAAATGGGGAAAGGATTCCTTATTTAATAAATGCTGCTGGGAAAACTGGCTAGCCATATGTAGAAAGCTGAAACTGGATCCCTTCCTTACACCTTATACAAAAATTAATTCAAGATGGATTAAAGACTTAAATGTTAGACCTAAAACCATAAAAACCCTAGAAGAAAACCTAGGCAATACCATTCAGGACATAGGCATGGGCAAGGACTTCATGTCTAAAACACCAAAAGCAATGGCAACAAAAGCCAAAATTGACAAATCGGATCTCATTAAACTAAAGAGCTTCTGCACAGCAAAAGAAACTACCATCAGGGTGAACAGGCAACCTACAGAATGGGAGAAAATTTTTGCAATCTACTCATCTGACAAAGGGCTAATATGCAGAATCTACAATGAACTCAAACAAATTTACAAGAAAAAAACAACCCCATGAAAAAGTGGTCAAAGGATATAAACAGGACACTTCTCAAAAGAAGACATTTATGCAGCCAACGGACACATGAAAAAATGCTCATCATCACTGGCCATCAGAGAAATGCAAATCAAAACCACAATGAGATACCATCTCACACCAGTTACAATGGCGATCATTGAAAAGTCAGGAAACAGCAGGTGCTGGAGAGGATGTGGAGAAATAGGAACACTTTTACACTGTTGGTGGGACTGTAAACTAGTTCAACCATTGTGGAAGACACTGTGCCGATTCCTCAAAGATCTAGAACTAGAAATACCATTTGACCCAGCCATCCCATTACTGGGTATATACCCAAAGGATTACAAATCATGCTGCTATAAAGACACATGCACACGTATGTTTATTGCGGCACTATTCACAATAGCAAAGACTTGGAGCCAACCCAAATGTCCATCAATGATAGACTGGATTAAGAAAATGTGGCACATATACACCATGGAATACTATGCAGCCATAAAAAATGATGAGTTCATGTCCTTTGTAGGGACGTGGATGAAGCTGGAAACCACCATTCTCAGCAAACTATTGCAAGGACAAAAAATCAAACACCGCATGTTCTTGCTCATAGGTGGAAATTGAACAATGAGAACACTTGGACACAGGAAGGGGAACATCACACACTGGGGCATGTCGTGGGCTGGGGGGAGGGGGAAGGGATAGCATTAGGAGATATACCTAATGCTAAATGACGAGTTAATGGGTGCAGCACACCAACATGGCACATGTATACATAGGTAACGTACCTGCACGTTGTGCACATTTACCCTAGAACTTAAAGTATAATAATAAAAAAAAATTATATAAATTTGTTTACAAGGTTTCATTAAGAATTGGGTTTAACATTAATAGTGCACCAACGCAAAGGTGAAATTTGGCTTTCTCTTTTGAACAAGATTTTTGTGTAATAATTTAAAAGATAATGAAAGGGTTTTTTTGTCCCTTTGGGTTAATGGCAGGAAGAAAGGAAGAAGGGAGAGAAAAGATACAGATTCAGGTGATCTCATGCTGTCTTTATTGGGTCTTGTTTAGAAAGCTGATTCTCTCCTCTATTAGTGAATATGGGGTTTTGCCATTTAAAAAAATTTTTTTGAGTCACCACTTTGGCTAAATGAGTAACCTGTGATCTTATTTTGTGATAGCCAGTGTTTTACACTTTGATATTTGACAAACTTTCCAAAATCACATTATAAATTATGTCTCTTTCTGACCTAAATTGACCTTTTAGATATTAGGTCCCCTAAAGTCCAAAAATGGCATATTTGGTATAAAAATTATACAGGAAGCATTGTCAAATATGAAATGGTGTTTGGCTTTCTTTAGGCTGTATTTGTATAAATATATGTTATCGGTATATGTTCCAAAATTATGGGAAACTCCTATAATTCTGACATGACTTAGAATACATTATTAATAATTATAATTGTTATGTAAAATTGTTGTATGCCACAGAAGTAACCAAAATTTCTAGTCAGTTGTGGCTTTAATAGTAGTTATCCTAAGACTTTTGTCTTCCACAGACAATTGTTGTCTTGCTTTGATCCTTTTCAAAAGGCAATTTATAATCAGATATAGGACTCTGACAGTACTCATAAATGCAGGTCTCTGATAATTTTAGAAATTATGCTAATGGAATAGAAGAAAAAAACAAACTTCTAGGACTCTCATAAGGAGCTAATGTATTAAACATTGCTAATTCTTTTGTTTTTAAGAGTCAAGAAACTTTTTTCCTTTTGAGCTACTACAACTTTTAGCAATTGAGTAAAATGTAACTCCTGTGAGAAAAATTTGAAGCACATTGCTTTCTCGCTACCTGATTTCTCCAGAACTGTGTGTGAGTATTCTCAACTTATGGCAGTATAGTTATTTGGATAAGTGCATTGAGAATCTGTTTTCTTTTATAACAGAACACAATTAGAGAAAGTGGTTATTTTACCAGGACTTGGACTGGAATGGCATGCTTTCAGATTTCAACAGACTGCTTTAAGGAATCAAATTTGACTTATAAAGCCAATAAAAGACCTTCAGGAAAGCTGGCCTCATCTCTTGTCTACGCAGTCCCTGTACAGGATTCCTGATCTGTGGTAAGTAAAGCATGTCACTTTCTGACAAGCCAAGAGCCCCAAGTTATCTTGGGACCTTGAAAGGAGGAAAATTCAGGCAAAGTGAAAGAGATAAATCCATGGCTGGGCTTCAAGGGGCTTTAAAAAGTACAATCTGACATTCCTTATAGAACAAAGTTTCAGCAAAGCCAATATATAAAAGAGCCTACATGGCAAATAGTTATTCCCACTGCACTTTATGCAAATAATCAGCCAGACCACAATAAGACTAAAACTTATTTTGCAAGTAAATCTGACTTACTATGATTTATTTTTAATAAAAATGGGTACTGGAGAGAGAAAAATTATGCTTCAGAAAAAACTATAGTACAACTGTTAGTTATTCCTGAGGTTTTTTCTGCAATTTGGACTAAATCTTAAATTATTTGTGGGCTACAAGTCCCCAAACTAATGCTTTAAAATCTTTACTTTTAAAACTGGAAACTACACTCCTAATTTTAGAACTCATTATTTACCTTGTAGTACGCTGTTTGCTTAAATGCTGTACTTAAACTATAAATGAGAATACTAACACCATTGCCATGCAAACCTTGGAACCCCAGCCCAGCCTGCCGGAGTATATGCAAGACAACTACAAAGCGATTCCACTCCTCTTACCTTGGGGTTAACACCTACCGCACTATGCCCCTGGTAAGCAGGAAGAAGTTAGAGTGGCCTTCGTCCTTTATCCATCTTAATTAGCCCACACCATAAGATTAAGGCGTAACAAAACCCAAAAGGAGGGATTGAAACTGCCGCTGCAAAATTATAACCAAGACAGTGAAAGAGATCTGACCTAACCAAATCCATCTTGCTCCTGACCTCCAAGCTGTCCTTATTCATTCCTAGGCATCGACTGAACTAACTTGGGGAGGAACTTAGTTTGTAGTTTATAGTTTAAAACAAAGAGGACAACAGCCCGTTCCCCCCCCCAAAAAAGCCCCCTTCTTGCCTGGGGACTAGGCTGCCTTTGTAAGATTAATTAATTATATAAATGATTAGAAATTATGGTTTAGGAGTCATGAAGCTGGAGGCTACAAGATTCTGGCCCTCCCCAAATTGCTCCTGGGGATAACATCACTATTATAAAATCTAAGATCAGTGCCTGAGATATTTTGCAGGCCTGCACTTGATGGATCAGCTGGCACCAGCCAGATCAATAAACTGGCTCATCAGATCTTATGGCCCCCACCCAGTAACTGATTCACCACCAGAGGAAAGCTGAGACTCCTTATGATTTCATCTCTGACCCAACCATTCAGCACACCCAACTCACTGGCCCCCCACTCACTCTAAAAATTCTGATCCTGGAATGCTCAGGGAGACTGATTTGAGTAATAATAAAACGCCCACAAAAAAAAAAATAGGTAACATTTCCAAAGGATTTTAAAATTATGTTCAGTAACCCTACGGGTGTGTTCTTTTGGAAGAATGGGTGTTTTTCTTCTTTTGCTTTGATTTGTGTTTGGTTCGTTTTGATACTATTGTTTGGGATTTTTTGTAATTATAACTCATATGATAGGATTTAGTAACAAAAACAAGTTCGCAAGAATAACATAATGAGATTACATACAACATACATACATGCATGCATTTGCACATATTATATAATCAAAATCCAAATTCAAAAGAATCAGGATTGGCCGGGGACGGTGGCTCATGCCTGTAAATCCCAGCATTTGGAAAGCTGAGGTGGGCAGATCACTTAACACCAGGAGTGAGACCAGCCTGACCAACATGGTGAAACCTCGTCTCTATTAAACACAAAATTAGCCAGGCGTGGTGGCAAATGCCTATAATCCCAGCTACTTGGGAGGCTGAGGCAGGAGAATCGCTTGAACCTGGGAAGCGGAGGTTTCAGTAAGCCAAGATAGTGCCATTGCACTCCAGCCTAGGCAACAAGAGTGAAACTCCCTCTCGAAGGAAAAAGAAAAAAAAAGAATCGGGATCTAAAAGAAAAGATATCAAAGAAACATCAGAGTTGGGTATACTTGTCACTGCAATTAATATACGCTTTATCTTTTTTTACCATTTTTTTATCATATTAGTGATCATTTATCTTATAATACCATTTAACCTTCAAGAGATAGAAGTACTTGTATTTGAAAACAGTTTTAATTATGCATTCCAAACAAATCTTCTATTTTAATCATTCAAAATGTAAAGTGAATATTTATTCTAATGCATAAAGTTGAAATTGTATATATTGGGTTTCACATTGGCTTTGCTCAAAACTAACATGGGTCATTTTTAAATTCTATAATTATGACCAAGTGATGTTTTGCAAATAAAGTTGACTGGGTATCCATCAATATTCAATGTTAAAAGGCTGGAAACACCACATAACTGTCTTAATCTACAATCTCATATTTCTCATCTCAGGTGGCCCAGTAATGCATTTCAGATGCAAGAAGGACTTCAACAACTGTAGTGTCTGGTTCATATTGATAGTATTCCTCATAAGAAAAGTTAAAAATGACAACCTAAGTTGGTGTAAAAAGGCACAACCTAATGGTCTGAGATAGTGTTCTTTCTTTCTGACCTCAATCTATCATCCAACAACATAATGTTACCATAAGTGAACCAAGACTGGGATTTACACATATTGAAAATTGCTTAGCAGTTCTAGAACAGCACATGCCATAATAACGTGCATTAAACAGCACATGCCATAATAACGTGCATTAAAACTTTTCTTATTTTGAAAGCTCAATTTACAGTTATTCTCACCAGGCTTAGGTAAAGTAAAATCTATCTATCCATACCTTATTAACTGAAAGTCTCAAAAACAACCTCTCATTTCCCTTCCTGGAAAAATCCAGAGATTGATAACTAATTCTTTTTTGCATTTGTTGTCTCTCATTTCCCTTCCTGGAAAAATCCAGGAAAAATCCAGGAAGGGAAATGAGAGACAACAAATGCAAAAAAGAATTAGTTATCAATCTCTCCTTTGGGGAAGGTCCTCAGTGGTCTAGAAGAGTCTGGTTTTTATGCTTTAAATTATGCTTACCCAGTGGCTTACAGGAAAGTGCAAAAGGAAGCAGTAAATCAGAATGAGAGGAAGACTCTCAAGAGAAGAATGGAAAATTCCTAATTCCTCAAATGTTTCCTACTTCTGGTCAACGTCAGATCACACAAAGTTACTTTACATTGGAAAGGGAGGAGAGCTAGTGCTGGAGAAAAAAAAAGAAAAGGAGGAGAGTAACTCCAAAAGAGAATACCCGTACTCCTCCAATTGCCCAATTGTCCAACTCCACTTAAGCTTGTGGCAAATGCAAAGTCCACTAGGCTAGCAATGGAGCAACAGTCCTACTGGGGCCCTGACTTGTGCCCACCCTTGACTCAGAGGCCACAACTATGTGCCTCCCATTCACCTGGACCTGGGCTGACACGTTTTAAGTAACAGCCTCAGTTATTCAAATGAGAAAAATCTGGCATTGATGCCTGAATCACAGACACCAGATAAATGACAGACGCCTTTTCTCTCTGCCCTACAGGTGTGGCATACACCAAAATAATTTCATGAAAGCCTTTCAACCTTTTTTTTTTTCAGTAAGACATAATCATAAATGTAACAAACAGTTCTAATCAAATAGATTGGCGCCTAAACTTTTAATTCAAATAAGAAATTCAACAGGTGTTTTTCTTCTCTGCATGTGAGAGGTAAGGGAACTACCAATAATTCCCTTCTCACTTAATGTCTGTTAAGCTTTTCAACTTCCAAGTATTTTTATCTTTCAGAAAAAAAGAATGTTGATTTAAATATTATTTTCAGAACAACAAATTATTATGTAAGATGAGCAAAAGATTGCAATTTTTTTAGAGGTTACAGGTTACCTTCCCAGAACATGGCAACAATGCATAAAATTCAGGCATCTTACAAGACTCCTTTGTTAAAAATAAAATTTCCAAGAGTGGTTTTATGACAAAAATAAAATCGTGCCCATGTTTCTACAGATATAGAGGAAGAGGGAATACTTTATCTTTCTTATCATGCTGCGATTTTCATCAGCAGTTAGATGGCCCTACAGTTTTATTGCTAGTACCAGAATTTCATAAATTAGCATCAAGAGAAAAATAAAGGCTAGGCTGAAAAGCTCAAAACTCACAAAACAGAAAAGGGAAAGGGCTAAATAAGATTATGAATACATGAAAATTGGGAAAATCGGGCATGAAATGTTTTCCAACCTCATCTGACAACTCAGTAACATTACAGTTAGAAAAGTAATTATAATTGCTCATATAAAGGGTGCAGGATTACATGGGGGAATCATGATAATCTGCATGGATATTTTATGTTCCAGAAGTCTAACTTAGCCAAAAAAAAGTAAAGTTAACACATTAATTCTAGATATTTCTCTCATTTAAAAAGTTGGCAAAACTAAATATGCACTCATGTGAAACACAAATGAATTTTTAATTCCTTAAAGGAATTCAGCATTATATAAAAGGAATTTGAGAACTAGTATGCAATTCTGAGGATCAAGGCCCTTTCTAGAAGCATAAAATATTCAATTAACTATCTTGTAGAATTTTTAATTGTGACATTGAAATGCTAAGCACAGCATTAAAGTCTATTATTCTTTATGAATTAGTATTTTCCAGGACTGTACACACTGTCAGTTCTATAACTGCACTTTAGGGTGCAATTTAAGGTTTCGGTTTCATTCTCAACTCATGTTAAAAGGTAATGTTTAATTCCAATTAAGCTACTTTTCATATAATAACCAATAAAGCATCATTTCAAACAAAGAAAATATTATATTTCCTTAATTTAAAAGGAAGATTATTTTTAATATATCAGGACAACATCTTACATGATTTCAAAATCAATAAAATGTTCCAAATTACCAATGCTATGCTATAATACATTTTTTTTCAAGATGTGCTTTTTGGCTCATTTCTTTCCTTCACACACTCAAAAAAACAGGTCCTCCACCCCACTTCCAGGGAACAAGGTAGCTCTGCACAATTGTGCCATCGACATAGAATGGAGGAAGCCTGAAACAGAATGTTGACCACCACCAAGGACCTCAATGAAAAGAAGTAACCCAGGCTTTGAAGTCAAAAGGAGGTAATCTATATCAAATCAAATCTAAGGTAAATCTAAATCAAAAAGAGGTAATATTAGCACCATTAATTTACAAACTCTATAATTTGGGGCAAGTTTACTTAACTCTTTTAAGCCTCAGTTTCCTTGTCTATAAAATAAAAATAATGATAATATCTATTTCATAGGGATGCTATGAGAATTATGAGTTAATGCAGGTATAACATTGAACTCGGGGCCTGGTACCTAGAGAGTGATCATTAGATGTTTAATTTTTCTTACATTAAAATTCTGATCAATCATTTGGGCATTTCTATGTTCAGTGTAATTCCAGGATAATAAACAGGTTTGAACATATCTATAGCTCCAATCAATTGGCAGCAGCTGCCTAGAGCAATCAATTCAGAATAACCAATGAAGTATCATTTGAAACCAAGAAAATATTATATTTGCTCAATAAAAGTGGAGACGTATTTTTAATATATCAGAACAACTTCTTACAAAATTTCTAAAATCAGTTAGATTTTCCAAATCTGAATGTGGGCTCAGGGGAAAAGAGTTATTAATTAGTATTCCTTACTGTGGGCACGAAATAGTGTAATAACATGTTTTGCATCCCTGGTAAAGGTATGTATTTGTTGCCATGTTAAGTAATATTTTCTGTGTAAAGAAATCGTTTGTTTTACAGTTAGTTTAGCCTTTGTGTGAACAGGAAAATCCACTCACAGATATGAAAGGGCAACTGTGTGAGCAAATCTACAGGAAGTTAATAAATCAGTTTTGGTCCAGGATACCCTAATTTAAACTGCCAATGCAATACCGCCAAGAAGGTTCAAGTGACTGACGGATCATCACAATAAATGTTTACATTTTAAAATAAATAAATTATATATAAACATTAGGTCTAATATTTTTGCATATCGAAAAACGTGTAGATTCCTTTTTGCAGTGTATGAGGAATGCTGAAGATCACATGCATTAAGACAGTTTTTGAAAAGTAGTGATTTTTTTTAAGAAATGAAATAAACATTCAAAAGAGATCAGTCACAAGCTCTACATCCTACCACATTGCTGTCAACTTCCCTAGTTTAAAAACAGGTATGATTTTAGCAAGCAATGCAGAAGAGAATATAATTTTTAAAATAATTTTAAAACAGCTCATCTGCTAAATTCGTATTACATAAATTTAGTAGATTTATAAAAGATGTTTTTCAACAATTCAAACTGAGTGTTATTCAATATTTATCCTCTGCTACAGAGAATGTATCAAAGTTTGGATTTGCTACCACTAAAGTAGCATAGTTAATTACAGCATCCACTAAGATATGAAAAATTTAGTCATGTTTCCCAAAATATTAACATAGCCAACATGTTTAATTTACAAACTTAAAGTTATTGCTAATTCTGTCGCCACATGTAGTGTAATTATAGGGCTTTTATTGCAACACAATGCTACTGCCCACAGTTTGGCTAATATGCATTTTCTACTTAATTCTCTTTATGCTGTAACACATATTCCTTGGTAGATAAGCAGAATATTACACTATTACCTATAAATATATATTTCCTTCAGGAATGGCCCTATGAAGAATTTAGTGTAAAACAAGTGGTCTAATGCAATTTGTATGCAATGCTTTTCACTAGATTAGTATTTTGAAGAAAAAAGAAACCTTTGTATTTTAATATTAGAATAGGGTGTCTCTAGGCTGGGCACGGTGGCTCACGCCTGTAATCCCAGCACTTTGGGAAGCCAAGGCCGGCAGATCACCTGAGGTCAGGAGTTCGAGACCAGCCTGGACAAATGGTGAAACCCCCGTCTCTACTAAAAAATATAAAAATTAGCCAGGCATGGTGGTGGGTGCCTGTAATCCCAGTTACTCGGCAGGCTGAGGCATGAGAATCGATTGAACCCAGGAGGTGGAGGTTGCAGTGAGCCAAGGTCATGCCACTGCACTCCAGCCTGAGCAAGAGTGAGACTCTGTCTCAAAAAAAGAGAACAAGGTGTCTCTAAAAATCATAGAATGTTAAAGACTGAAGACTGCTTAAAGCAGTAGCTACCAAGGTTTAACCAGTAAGGACCTCTTTTTTAATTTTTATTTAAAATGACTTATGCTTTCCTATATCGAGTGGAGAAAAAAAAAAACTAATACACTGTTGGTGGGAATGGGAATGTAAATTAGTACAGCCATTGCGAAAAACATTATGGAGAGTTCTCAAAAATCTAAAAATAGAACTACCATACAACCCAGCAATTCCACTACTGAGTATTTATCCAAAGAAAAGGAAATCAGTTTATTGAAGAGATACCTGCACCCCTATGTTTATTGCAGCTCTAATCACAATAGCCAAGATATGGAATCAACCCAAATGTCCATCAACAGATGAATGGATAAAGAAAATGTGGTATGTATACACAATGGCATACTATTCAGTCATTAACAAAAAAGAGAGAACTCTTGTCATTTGCAACAACATGGATGAGCCTAGAGAACATTATGTTACATGAAATAAGTCAGGCACAGAAAGATAAATACCACAAGTTCTCACTCATATATGGGAGCTAAAAAGAAAAAAGAGGAGCTCACAGAAGTAGAGAGTAGAATAGAGGCTTTTAGGGTTTAAGTAGGGGAGTGGGAAGAGGAGGATAGGGTGAGGCTGGTTAATGATACAAAATTACAGCTAGATAGGCCAGGTGTGGTGGCTCAGGCCTGTAATCCCAGCACTTTGGGAGGCCGAGGCAGGCGAACCACTTGAGGTCAGGAGTTCAACACCAGCCTGGCCAACATGGTAAAACCACGACTCTACTAAAAAAAAAAAAAAAATACAAAAATTAGCCGGGCATGGTGGTGCACGACTGTAGTCCCAGCTACTCGGCAGGCTGAAGCAGGAAGATTGCTTGAACCCAGGGAAGCAGAGGTTGTGGTGAGCCAAGATAGCGCCACTGCACTCCAGCCTGGGCAACAGAGTGAGACTCCGTCTCAAAAAAATAAAATAAAATTACAGTTAGGTAGAATAAGTTTCAGTGTTCTGTAGCACTGAAGAGAGAATATTGTTAACAAGTTAGTGTATATTTTCAAAAAGCTAAAAGAGAGGATTTTGAATGTTCACAACACAAATAAATGATAAATGTTTAGGGTAATGGATATGTTGACTGCCCTGATTTGATCCTTGCATATTGCATACATGTATCAAAATATCACTCTGTAGCCTATAAATATATAGAATTTTTATGCATAAACTATATATATATATTCCTATATTTTAGGAACATATATAAATATATATTATTTTTATATATTATAAATAAATTATAAAAAAATCTTTCCTGTATACAAAAATGCATTTAGAAAGATAATGATTAATTTTTCCATTCGATATATGCAGACATAAACGCCCATTTTCCAGTGGGCTTTAGGAATACTGAATAGTCCAGGCACAGTGGCTCATGCCTGTAATGCCAGCACTTTGGGAAGCCAAGGTAGGAGGATTGCTTGAGGCCAAGAGTTTGAGTCCAGCCTGATCAATATAGTAAGAACTTGTCTACAAAAAATAAAAAATTAGCTGGGTGTGGTGGTGCCCACTTGTAGTCCTAACTACTTGAGAGGCTTAGACAGAAGGATTGCTTGAGCCCAGGAGGTCGAGGCTGCAGTGAGCTGTGATCACACCACTACACTCCAGTTTGTCCAACAGAGTGAAATCCTGTCCCCTCTCTTCTGAAAAAAAAATAAGAAAAAAGAAAAGAAATACTGAACATAGCTCATGGGCCAGTGCGAGCATGGTGCACTGATAGAGTGTGATTTCTGGAGCCAAGTGCCTAGATTTAATCCTAGATCTACCACTTACTAGTTGTGTGATCTGTGCTTGTTTCCTTAACAATAAATATCATGAGAATAATAAGAATAACTACTTCCTTGGAGTAAATACTAATATTTATGTCTAAAGCTCTTAAAACAATGCCTGGCAGATAGTAACTGCTCATTAACTGGGAATTATTATATGAATATTACCACAGCAGGCCCTGAAGCAGCAACCATCTTTGGAACTCATCTAGTCTATGTCCACCTAATTCAAGTGTCCATTTCTAAAACAGTCTTAACTAATGGCTATCCATTTCTCTCTTGAACATAACCAAACAACAGGGAATGTATCAGTTATCTACTGGCACAGTAATATTGCATAAAAACACCTCAAAACACAGTGACTTCAAACCATAAGCATTTATTTAGCTTATAATAAGTAAACTGGGCTTGCCTTGGGCAGTTCTGGGCTTAGTTGTACTCAACTCAAATGTCCAGAGGTCAGCAGGCCCTCAGATGATTTAAGAAGGCTTCAACTGGGATGATGAGGGTGACATTCTGCCCTATGTACAGTACATCTCATCGTTCAATCATATTGCCCAAGAATATTCACGTGGTGCTGGCAAAGGTGCAAGAGAAAGCAAGCACCAATGTGCAAGCTTACTTCAATCCTCTCCTTGTGTCACATCTGCTAATATCCCATTGGCCAAGCAATTCACATAGTTCAGCTCAGAGATAAGGGGCAGGACAGACCACCCTGCCCTCAGCAGGAAGCACTACAAAGTTACATGGAAAAGGACATGGATGCAGGGAGTGGTAAAAGAGTTAGGTCATCCATGCCATCATACACAGAGAGTGGACTAAATCAAAAGGCAGTCCTTTACAATTATTAGACAGATATGCTTGGGGCTAAGGCAAACCATCCCTCTCTTAAACTTCTGTGGTTCCTTCCAGTTAATTCTCTGGAGTCATGGCTGTGTAAGTCTAATCATTCTTCTTTATGACATTAAGTGCCATTAAAATATTTAATTAGGTTCCTCATAAATCCTATCTTCTGCAAGCTAAAAGAAAAATCAATCCCTTCTATTGTACTTCATATAACTTGAGAAATGATGTTGCTTTTACTGTCAATGTTTCCCTTAAATCATGGTACTTTATACATGTCAGATGAGTTCTGATGTTACCTACATTATTCTGGGTACTGTACATCTATTATAGCATTAAAAAAATAGTATAGGCTTTTTTGCTGCCCTATCACATTGTAAACTCACACTGAGCTTGCAGATAAAAGGCCCAAGTGTTTTGCATGAAGTATTATTGAAGTAAACGCCTCTGACTATAATTTCTCATAGAATGACCCAATAATACACTTTCCTGAATATATGCTTTAGTTCATAATGAATCAGTATGACTTTGCCATGTTTTTTGTTGCTATTTTATAAATGAATTGATCAGTCTATCCCAAATGCTAGTCCCTAGTCAATTGCCTTAATGATACATTCTGGTCCTGTAAAACCAGCTTTATTAGGACTTCCTGCATTAAAGAATGGATTTGCACTTACTGTGCTTCATCAGAGGTGGTTTATGTAATCTTATAAACTTAAGAGTTGGAAGGGCAATTTGAGATCATCCCATTTCCAGCCTCCTACCCAATATGGATAATGTTGAGTAGTCCTAACAGGTGAATCAGGTCAATGTCCGAAGAACGCTAGTGTAATGCTCCATTTGTGGTAATCCATTTCCTGGTTACAGGGACACTAGAACAAGTTTGCAGGTGGGTATCCTTACCTAGTTCCTTATATTTCTAAAGGCTTTTTAATTTCAAAGTGCTTTTTATCGATTATCTAATTTTATCTCCTTTAATCCACATATTCACTGATTTCCAAAATTAATAGGGCAAAAATCTTTGATTTAGCAATTAGAAGCATTTGAAAATTCTAATACCTCTATGAGAATAAAAATATTGATTTATCTTTACATTAGGATTTAAATTATTCATAGCAGATTCTTCCTCCAATGGATTTTTATAGGGTGGTGTGGACCCACTGGGATACTTGAAGAGGAACAAATTTGTTTCAAATAAACCTTACACACTTCAAAACTTTGGCTAGGTGGGAAACTAGTGATAGATTAGAAGAGTAGTAGATTAATGTCGGAGAGACTTAACTGTCCATTGAATAAAACTGCACAATAGAAATGAGTTAAAAATTACCACAAGCAACTATTTTTGTTGCTATAGGATAACATGGTGAACAACCAATTAAATGACACTGAAATTGAAACTGTCAGCTCTTAGCACTTATTTCCTTTGGCCACGATAATGGAAGAAATGAGAGTACATGCTGGGGCAAAGAATCAAATCACTGATAATGAAAATAATAACACTTTTGAAGAAAAATAGATGCAACCACTAAGTTAATGAAAATAGGAAGAAAGTATTCAAACTTTGCTTTATCCCAAATTAAATCACTCATTTCCAGGTTTTGAGTGTTCTCTCTACAGCAAGGAACTATGATGGAAGTTCTCTCTCTTTCAGTTTGGGTTTGCTCTTCTCATTCTGTTGTGTGAAGGATGAGAATAAGAACTTTCAGAAGTATGTAACACTCTCAGCATGTGAAAAATCCCAAAGAAGGAAAAATTGTATGTTTTGGATTAAATTATTAAGCTGTATTCTCTCCTTCACATTCCAAGTGTAACACACATACACACACACACACACACTTCCCAGAAAGACGTAGGGGAAAGTTTTATTTCCCCTACTAGATTTGCAATGCAGTTGAACTACTTTTAATTTTCAAATGATAATCCAACAAAATGATTGCTTAAACAAACCTAAAGTGCACGTTTCCTGTCTCAAAGAATCTTCTTATGCTGCTTTTCCAGACAAACTGTCTTTTCAGGACTCTAGTTGACACTGGGATCCATCCAATGTAGTCCTACCACCTACTGACAACCCACTTACCATGTTTCATTGTGAATTATTTGTCTACATGTCTATCTCTTCTACCAGACTGTGAACTCCAGAGGGCAAGAATTACTTTTTGTTCAATTTTTATCTCCAGTGCCTAGCATAGGTTCTTATACATGGCATTTTTTTGAATAAGCAAATAAATGGAAGCATTTTGCAGCACCCTGCATCATCCTCCTCCTTTCACTTCACCTCCAGCAGCCACTCAGGTTGTCTCCTACCAACAATTGGATAGGTAAAAGTATGACTTAGAGGCTGGGTGCAGTGGCTCACGCCTGTAATCCCAGGCCTTTGGGAGGCTGAGATGGGAGGATCACTTGAGCCTAGGCATTCAAGACCAACCTCGTCAACACAGCGAGACCCCATCTCTTAAAAAAAGAAAAAGAAAAAAAGTATGACTTGGGAGAAAGGGACAAGATGGCTGACTAGACACAGCTGGAAGCACCTCTTCCATGGAGAGGAACCAAAATATCGAGTAAACCTGCACACCTCAATCAGATTTTTTGAGGGAAAATATTAAGTCAACAGAGAGGTGACACAGACACTTTGGTTGAAGAGGGAGGAAACAGGGCAGCCTGCTTGCAGTCCCTGAGTGCCAGGACCAGCCCAAGGACCTGGACCAGACCTAAGGAAGGAGTGAGTGAAGGAACCCTGGACCACTGCATTCCCACCATGGTCCTCTGAGATCCTAGCTACAGGAGTTCCCATGACCCTCATAGACCTCTGGACTGGCAGGGGAAGCTGCACAGAGAACAAATAGAGGCACAGCTTGAACCCATGCAGAGCCCAGAAGGCTTCACTGTGCTGTACAGTTGCACCAAATATAGTCATAGGAGCCCATCTGCCAAGGTTCTCCTTCTTGCAGTGAGAGGTTGCAGCAACTGCTGTCTGCTCAACTGAGGGGAAGCAGGGCCGGGGTACATTCACATGCTCAAGACAGGCCCTATTGCCATTGCTGCAGGATTGAGGTGCATCTGATCCATGTGCCTTCTTGCCTGCTGGCCCCTATCAAGGCCACCTACCTGGCCATTTCTGCAGGAGGGTACCCACAACACAGCCTTCACTGCCCCACCTGAGAGTTGTATTGGCAGCCTGGGGGCAGTTCAGCACCCCATCACAGCTGGTGCTTGACCCTGAGGGACTAACAGAAAAATCTGTGGACCAGATCCCAACTCTTCAGGACTCGAGCACACTGCCCTGGGGTATCGAGCAGAGATTCGTGGTCTGATCTCAAGTGGGGGAGAAGCTCCCACTGTCAGAACACAGAGAAGAGTGTGGCATAGGTTCATGTGCCAGCACAGAGGTTGGGTGAACCTCCTTTAGTAAAACTGGACCAGGAGGGCATGCATGGCCTGATAGCCACGGCTTCTTCCCCAGGGAGCCTCACAGCCTGGAATGCCTGGAACAGCTCAGCAATCTTGGCACAAATGGCTTCACACTTCAGTCAGATTTTCTGAGGAAAAATACTAAAAGTCAACAGAGAGGTAACACAGACACTGTGGTTGAAGAGGTGTCTCTGGCATTCACCCTGGCAGGAGGCCTTAGCCATTTGGGCCTCCTGCCAGGGTGAATGCCAGCAACCAGCTGGGTCAGGGGTGCATGAGCTGGGCAAGACCCACAACCACCTGATGGTCTGAAAACCCCAGGCCACAGGCACCATACCAGTTGTATATCGGCAGTGCCACTGCCCTGCCTGGGAATCCTCCACCCTTGATCTACTGCACCACCAGGACATCTGAACCCCACAACCCACTCTGACTTTGGCAAGCACAGAGGACCAGCAGGTTCCCAGATAATTGCGGTCACCTGGTGATCTTACCCTCAGCAGGAACCACCCCTGAGGGAGTGGGGATTGCAGCCCACCAAAGCCCCTTTTGAGACAAAGGAAATATGGACACAGCACACACAGCTGAAGAGGGTACCACCAAGGCCCAGGAACAGACTTGGAGAGGTAGTCCTCTCTTCCTCCTGACCCACATCCTCTCCCCAGTGCACTGTTGCAGACATACTGAAATACAATAGGGATGAGTGCAAGCAGGGGACACGCTTTTCAAATTTATCTGGCACCTCTGCCCCCACTGAAGACAAACGGAGCTGAATAAGAGCTTATATGCCAACTCCATCTTTTAAGCATCATCTACTAGACCGCAGCCTGAATTATACCACCAAACAAAAATATACTGCTACAACAAGCAATGCCTGTAAAATCTACCACAGGAGTCTATCTGAAACCAAGGAACCCATACAGAGCCTTGGCTTTCTGAAGCACCCAGAAACAAAGCCAATCAATTATACTCAACATAGACCACAGTCATACCCTCAAGGGAAACATAATAAGAACTCAAGAAAGCCTCATCCAAATCACAGCAAATTCAAAAAGAAAAAGAAGCATCAGTCCCTCAAATGAGGAGGAATAAGTGCAAGAACTACAACAATACAAAAAGCAAGAGTGTTTATTTACCTCCAAAGGATCACACTAGCTCCCTAGCAACAGATCTTAATCAGACTGAAATGTTTGAAATGACAGATATAGAATTCAGAATCTGGATGGCAAGGAAACTCAATGAGATCCAAGAGAAAGTTGAAATCTAATCCAATGAAGCCAGAAAAACAATCCAAGATTTAACAGATGAGATGGCTATATTAAGAAAGAATCAAACAGAACTTTTGGAATTGAAAAATTCACTACAAGAATTACAAAATACAATTGGAAGCCTTAACAACAGACTAGACAAAAGCAGAAGAAAGAGCTTCAAAGCATGAAGACTGGTCCTTTGAATCAATCCAGTCAGAAAAAAAAAAATTAAGAGTTTTTTTTTAAATGAACAAAGCCTCCAAAAAATATGGGATTATGTAAAGTGACCAAACCTATGACTCATTAGCATTCCTGACAGAGAAGAGGAGAAGGTAAGCAATTCAGAAAACATATTTCAGGATATAATCCAGGAAAGTTTCCCCAGTCTCACCAGAGACATTAATATGCAGATACGAGAAATCCAGGGAATGCCTGCAACATACTACAGAAAATGACCATCACCAAGGCACACAGTCATCAGACTTTCCAAGCTCAACAAAAAGGAAAACATCTCAAAGGAAGCTAGAGAAAAGAGCCATATTAGCTATAAAGGGAATTCAGTCAGACTAATGGTGGGCTTCTCAGCAGAAATCTTACAAGCCAGAAGACATTGAGGGCCTATTTTTAGCATTCTTAAAGAAAATAAATTCCGACAAAAAATTTCACATCCTTCCAAGCTAAGCTTTATTAACAAAGGAAAAACAAAGTCTTTCCCAAAAAAGTAATCACTAAGGGAATTTGTCACCACCAGAACGGCCTTACAAGAGATGCTTAAGGGAGTTCTAACCATGGAAATGAAAGAACAATACTTGCTACCACTAAAGCACATGTAACTACATAGCCTGCAGGGCCTATAAGCAACTACACAGTCAAGAATACAAAACAACTAGCTAGAAACACCACGACAGGAATAAAACCTCACATGTAAATATTAACCTTGAATGTTAATAGCCTAAGTACTCCACTTAAAGTACATAGAGTGGCAAATTGGATTAAAAAACAAGACCCAGCTTTCTGCTGTCCTCAAGACCCATATCACATGTAATGACACCTATGGGATCAGATAAAGGGATAGAGAAAGATCTGTCATGAAAATGAAAAACAAAAAAGGGCAGAGATTGCTATTATTGTATCAGATAAAACAGACTTTAAACCAACAACAGTAAAAAAGGACAAAAAAGGGCATTATATAATGATAAATTATTCAATTCAACAAGAAGATTTAACTATTTTAAATATATATGCACCCAACAATAGAGCACCCAGATTTATAAAACAATTACTAATAGAGCTACAAAACAGACTTAGACAACTACACAATAATAATGGGGGAACTTCAACACCCCACTGAGAACATTAGGCACATCACTGAGGCAGAAACTAACAAATTTAATACTTAAATTCAACACTTGACTGATTGGACCTAATAGGTACCTACAGAACTCCACCCAACAGCCAGAAATATGCATTCTTCTCTTCTGCACACAGAACATACTCTAAGATTGACCACCTACTCAGTCATAAAGTAAGTCTAATAAATTCAAAAATACTAAAAGCATAATAAGCATTTTCTTGGACCACAGTGGAATACAAATATAAATCAATACCAAGAGGAACTCTCATAACCACACAAATACATAGAAACTGAACAACTTGCTCCTGAATGACTTTTGGGTAAATAATAAAATTAAGGCAGAAATCAAAAAATTCTTTGAAACAAATGAAAATAGAGACACAATATAGCAGAACCTCTGGGATGTGGCAACAGCCATGTTAAGAGGAAAGTTTATAATGCTGAACACCTATATCAAGAAGATAGACAGATCTCAAGTTAACAGCCTAATGTCTCACCTAAAGGAACCAGAAAAACAAGAATGCACTAATGAAAAATGAAAACTATGGGCCAGTATCCTTGATACATATAGATGCAAAATCAACAAAACCCTAGCAAACCAAATCCAGCAGCACATCAAAAAGATAATCCACCATGATCAAATGGGCATTATTCCTGAGACGCAAGGATGGTTCAACTTATACAAATCAACAAAAGTGTCATCACATAAACAGAATTAAAAACAAAAACCACAAGATTATCTCAATAGATGCAGAAAAAGCACTCAATAAAATCCAACATCCTTAATGATAAAAAAAAAATCTAGGCATCAACAATCTAGGCATCAAAGGAATACACCTCAAAATAAAAATTTCCATCTATGACAAACTTTTAACCAATATTATACTGAATGCTCAAAAGTTGAAAGCATTGGCCAGGCACAGTGGCTCACGCCTGTAATACCAGCACTTTGGGAGGCTGAGGTGGGTGGATCACCAGAGGTCAGGAGTTCAAGACCAGCCTAGCCAACATGGTGAAACCCCATCTCTACTAAAAACACATAAAATTGGCTAGGCATGGTGGTGGTGCCTGCAGTCCCAGCTACTCAGGAGGCTGAGGCAGGAGAATCACTTGAACCCAGGAGGCGGAGGTTGCAGTGAGCCAAAGTCACATCATTGCCTTCTAGCCTGGGCAACAAGAGCAAAAGTCCAACTCAAAAAAAAATAAATAAATAAACACATGGACCAACAGAACAGAATAAAGAACGTAGAAATAAAGCTACATACCTACAACCAATTGTTCTTTGAGAAAGCCAACAAAAATAGACAATGGTGAAAAGATCTCCTATTCAATAAATGGTGCTGGGAAAACTGGCTAACTATATGCAGAAGAATGAAACTTGACCCCCACCACTCACCATTTATAAAAACTAACTCAAGATGGATTAAACACTTAAATGTAAAACTTCAAACTACAAAAATAAAGAAAACCTAGGAAATACTCTTCTGGGCATTGGTTTACAGAAATAATTTATGACTAAGTCCTTAAAAGCTAATGCAACAAAACAAAAATCGACAATTAAGACCTAATTAAACTAAATAACTTCTGCACAGCAAAAGAAACAATCAATGGAGTAAACGGACAACCTACAGAATGGAAGAAAATATGTGCAAACTATGCATCTGACAAAGAACTAATATCCAGAATCTATAAGAAACTTAAATCAACAAGAAAAACAAACAACCCCAACCCCATTAAAAAGTGGGTAAAGAACATGAATAGACGTTTCTCAAGAGAAAACACGCAAGTGGCCAAGAAATATGAAAAAAAAAAAGCTCAACATCACTAATAATCAGAGAAATGCAAATCAAAACCACAATGAGATACCATCTCACACCAGTCAGAATGGCTACTATGAAAAAGTAAAAAAAAATAGCAGATATTGGTGAGATTGCCGAGTAAGGAAACACTCATACACTGTTGGTGGGATTGTAAATTAGCTCAGCACATGTGGGAAGCAGTTTGGAGAGTTCTCAAATAACTAAAAACAGAATTGCCATTCGACCCAGCAATCCCATTACTGAGAAAAATAAATCATTCTACCAAAACATCACCTGTATTAACATGTTTATCACAGCACAATTTACAATTGCAAAGACATGGAATCAATACAGGTGCCCATCAATACCGGATTAGATAAAGAAAATGTGACACATATATACCATGGAATACTACACAGCCATAAAAAAGAACAAAGTTATGCACTTTGCAGCAACATGGAGGCAGCTACAGGCCATTATCTTAAGCGAATTAACACAGAAACAGAAAACCAAATATCACATGTTCTCCCTTATAAGTGAGACCTAAACATTACATAGGCATGGACATAAAAATGAGAACAATAGGCCCTGGGGACTCTTAAAAGGGGGAGAGGGACATGGGGAATGGTTGAAAACTACCTATTGGATACTATGCTCACTGTTTGGGTGATTCAATTGAAGCTCAAACCTCAGCATCATGCAATATATCCATGTAACAAACCTCCACGTGTACCCACTAAATGTTTAAAAAAAAAAAGTCTGACTTGGTATTCTCTCTTTTTAAGATTACTTCTCCTTCTTGTACTATTTCTCCCTAACTCCCAGCACCTAATTTGTATTCCACTATTGACTGCACCTTGATGTCCTTTAAGATGCTCACTAAGAATAGCAGAAAGTATTAAACATAAAATATCTACCACAAGATCCCTGACAAATAGTTGACAAGTCTCCGCTCAAATACTTGAACTTCTAGTTATGGCAGAATTCCTTTAAAGAAAAACATCCATTTACAGATAACTTTTTAACCAAAATATACCTTTCTGTCTCTCTAACATGCTCATGCTTCTAAATCGGCCTCTGGGGTGTCCTGGAATATAATTCTTCTACGTGAAATCTTTTAGCTATTTAAAGATAGAATCAAGTCCATCCAAGTTCCTCTGTTCCATTTTATGCATTTTCTATTCTCAACTACAACTCATGTGATACGGCTTCAATTCACTCTTCTCTGAATATACTCCAGTAGATCAGTCATTTTCAAAATGTGACACCCAGAATTAAACACAATCCACCACATATGTTTTACAGGGAAGAGAGGATATCACTTCCTTTGTGATATGATCAATGTTTGCATTATGAGTTTAAGGGATTTTTGTCAGGGGGTGTTTTGTTTGTTTTTGCAACCACATCACACTGTCACCTATTTTAAGTTTACAGTCAACAGTACCCCTAAGATGTTACCACATGTGCTACATTATACATTATGTACGGGTTTGTTGATGGTTGTTGTTTAGTCACCTAAAAAAAAAGAAAAAGAAAGAAAAGAAAAAAGCAGCATTTTAACTCTAGTGGTCAAAAAATTTCATTCTCTTAAATTTAGCCTTCTATTCCTGTTCCAGCTAATCAGGATCACTTAGATTTTAATGCTATCATCTGACATATTAGCTATGTCTCCCAGCTTCATCATTTGCCAATTTAATGAGTATGTCATTTTAACAAAATAATTTTAAAATGTTGAACCCAACTTTTCAAAGACACATTACTAGAGATATACCTTAGGCACTATTTGAACACTGCCTTCAAACTAGGTACAAATCCAGTTCCTGCATTTTTAATGTACTATGCCTTGAAAGCATGTTTATATTTTAGTGTGAAAGCTTTAAAAGATCAAAAGCCTGCAAGGCCAATAGAAATTAATTTCTAAAGATGAAATTTTTGAGTTGTGAGAGAAAGTGTTCTGCCAGGAGAGTTCTTCTATTGTAGGTGTCTGTCTGTTCTGTCTATATAGCCAGTATAAGCCTATACTGGCTAATCACATCCTTACCTAGGTTTTTAATTCCTTCTTTCCACAATGGTGATTGAATTGTGCTGAAAATTTATTAAAAGTATTGCCTTGAGTGAAATTGATTTGGAGAGATATGACCTGCTGATTTCTTTTAAAAATAAATTCTAATATATATCATTTCTCATGCAAATATCCGTGGTGAACAGCTCCATGTAAACAGTCCCAAAGGGTTCCAGGTAATCATGAGCACTGTAACAATACAATATTAAAATGATTTCCTCATGTAAAATCTAGAAGAAGTCAGAGCTTCCAGATATTAGGCTTGATTTTTAGCATGCACAAGTTACTATGATCATCTTCATTTCAGATTCAGCAATTTTATTTCCATTTTTACAACTCTCCTATGTCATTGAATCTTTCCTGGAATCTACAGCCCTGACTCAGTGAAAACAAAGTGAATCACAAGCTATAGTTGTTTTATTTTTAGTACACAGCACAATCCTGAGAGAGTTGAAGATGTTCAGAGACAAAAACAACCACCACCACCTCATGTAAAGCCAAAATAACACTCCCTTGTACCTTAAAGTGAGGATCTCCTGTTGCCTGAATCTTAATAGATGTCAACAGAGACGGGGCAGCCATAACACTTTCAGGAGAAACTGTGCACTCTCTCTGTACTTTTCTGGCGCCTTTTTCAGTTTCAGAGAAAAAGCACAAATGGCAAAGGAGGAATACCACATTCACGAGCCAGGTTAAGCGTCTACCACACAACTTTATTACTATTACACACAGGCTGTGTATGGAATGCATGAGTAAAATGGAAAACAGGGGTGGTACCTTTCCAGCCAAAAGAAGCCCTTTTTTATCAGAGATGAAAAAGTCTGCTAAAATTATGCTGAATTACAAGCATGTGAAAAAATGGGTTCCAAACACCACTCTAAAGCTATTTTTAAGCAAAGTGGTAACTACTCATTTGAATAATAAAATGTTTGCCAATATAATTAATTCTACTTTTCCTGCTATTTTCTTTTAAAAGTTTTATATTTAACCCAGAATGCTATAAGAATTCAATATAAACTAAATCTGAACTTAGAATATTATACCATTCAAGTGTTTCTTTTCCTCCACATGAATTTTAATTTAATGAAATCACATAACACCAGGCCTTATTATTTATTTATTTATTTATTTAAGAGACAGGGTCTCACTCTGTCATCCAGGCTGGAGTACGTTGGCATGATCATAGCTCACTGCAACTTTGAGCTCCTGGGTTCAAACACTCCTCCCATCTCAGCCTTCAGAGTAGATAGTCCTGTAGTAGGACAACAGGCACATGCTATGCCCAACTAATTTTTTTTTTTTAATTTTTGTAGAGACAGGGCCTCACTCTGTTGTCCAAGCTGATCTTGAACTCTTGACCTCAAGTGATCCTCCTGCCTTAGCCTCCCAAAGTGCTGGGATTACAGGTATGAGCCACTGCACCTGGCCAGGCCTTATTTTTATAATACACTGAGTGTTTTTGTGTAAGTATGCCAAGGTAACTATAGTTCAGTAAAAAAACACTGTTTTTTTCTTTACCTTTGGAAAGTAAGTGACTACATAGCCTAATCTGTGATGGGGATTGACCACAGCAAGGGCAACTGCCACCAGAGAGTGATACCACCTCAGGACATCATGGGATAAAAAATATCACTCCGTAGAAGTAACTTCAGCATAACTCATATAAAACAAACAGAGACAGAGTTTAGGTGTCACCCAGGCTGGGATGCAGTGGCACAATCATAGCTCACAGCAACCTCAAACTCCCGGGCTCAAGGGATCCTCCCGCCTCAGTCTCCCAAGTAGCTAGGATTATAGGTGTGTGCCACTATGTTCAGCTAATTTTTTTGTTTGTTTGTTTGTTTTTTGTAGAAACAGGGTCTTGTTATATGGCCCAGGCTGGTTTCAAACTCCTGGCCTCAAGCCGTCCTTCAGTCTCAACCTCCCAAAATGTTGGGATTACAGGCATGAGCCTCCATGCACAGCCCACTGAATGATCTATTTTTAATTTAAATGTCACACTATAGCAGTGGCATTTGCTGAGCTTCCTGATGGATTCATGGCCCAAGTGTAAGATACAGTCAAACAGAGAATTTTTAAGTTGTATTTATTATATAATTGTAGAAATACGATATTTTGGGGTATTTTTACTTGTGTCATTGTACCTTGCTATCAAAGTGTGGTTTGTAGATCAGTCTCATTGACCTCACTTAGAAGCTTGTTGAAAATGCAGAACCCAGGCCCCATGCCAACTCTGCATTTTAAATACAACCCTGGTTGATTCATATGCATATTAAAGTTTGAAAAACATTATTATAGTACACTTTTAAAGTATCTTCTAGCTCTGATCCTCCACAGCCAGAATCCTGTACTCCCATTTAAATAACTAAAACACATTAATAATAGATGTTTTATTGAATCCTGCATTCCTTTTAAATTAACTGGAATAAAAAATTGTATGAACTTGTCAAATAATGAACAAATAACTGACTATGGTGGCAAGAATGAGGGTTACATAAAAATTGTCTTTGGCCAGGGAAAACAAGTAACATCATTCATTCTTTCAGTATGCTAACTGCTCATGAAATTGCAAATGATGCTACTAAATAAGACAAAATGACACAGCTATACAGAAATCAAAGAAGCACATCTAAGACAAAGGCAAGAAGAAAACTGTAATGCCAAATGCAAAATTTCATTTGAAATAGGAAACACAATATAGACTTGTTGTGCAGAAGAGTGTATGGACATGACAGTGTAATAGAGAATCATGAGGCAGGTCCTTCTCTTTTTTCTGTCACCCTTCCTGTATGTTGTGGGGAGAAGCCCTATGTCCTATCCCTGGGCAAAACTGCTCCCAAACAACCTCAAGCAATTAACCACTTCAACATTTTGTTGCTTTTTTTTTTTTCTTCTGGCTTTAATTTTTTTTAACTTTTATTTTAAGTTCAGGGGTACATCTGCAGGTTTGTTGCATAGGTAAACCTGTGTTATGGGGGTTTGTTGTACAGATTATTTCATCACCCAGATACTAAGCCTAGTACTCATTAGTTATTTTCCCTGATCCTCTCCCTCCTCCTAACCTCCACCCTCTGATAGGCCCCAGTGTGTGTTGTTCCCCTCTATGTGTCCATGTGGTCTCATCATTTAGCTCCCACTTATAAGTGAGAATAGGAAGTATTTGATTTTTCTGTTCCTACATTAGTTTGCCAAGGATAATGGCCTCCAGCTCCATCCATGTCCCTGCAAAGGACACAATCTTGTTCCTTTTTATGGCTGCATAGTATTCCATCATGTAAATGTACCACATTACAATGTCTAACATTGATGGGAATTTAGATTGATTCCGTGTCTTTGCTATTGTGAATAGTGCTGCAATGAACATACACGTGCATGTGTCTTTCTAACAGGATGATTTATGTTTTGGGGGGTATATACCTAGTAATGGCATTGCTGGATCAAACAGTATTTCTGTCTTTATGTCTTTGAGGAATTGCCACACTGTCTTCCATAATGGTTGAACTAATTTATACTCACACCAACAGTATATAAGCATTCCTTTTTCTCCACAACCTCACCAGCTGCTGTTATTTTCTTTTTTTTTATTATACTTTTAAGTTTTAGGGTACATGTGCACAATGTGCAGGTTTGTTACGTATGTATACACGTGCCGTGTTGGTGTGCTGCACCCATTAACTCGTCATTTAATATTAGGTATATCTCCTAATGCTATCCCTCCCCGCCCCCCGCTCCCCACAACAGGCCCCGGTGTGTGATGTTCCCCTTCCTGTGTCCATGTGTTCTCATAGCCATTCTGACTGGTGTGAGATGGTATCCCACTGTGGTTTTGATTTGCATTTCTCCAATGATCAGTGATGTTGAGCTTTTTTTCATATGTTTTTTTGGCCACATATATGTCTTCTTTTGAAACATGCCTGTTCAAGTTGTTGACAAAAAGTCAAACTCTAAAATATTTGGAGAGATTTATTCTGAGCCAAATATGAGTGACCCTGGCCCATGACACAGCCTTCAGGAGGGCCTGAGAACATGTGCCCAAAGTGGTCAGGGTACAGCTTGGTTTTATACATTTTAGGGAGGCATGAGACATCAGTCAAATACATTTACAACTCAAAGTGGGGAGGGCTTTCAAGCTATAGGTAAATTTAAACATTTTTCTGGTTGACAATTGGTTGAGTTTATCTAAAGATCTGGGATCATAGAAAGGAAATGTTCAGGTTAAGATAAAAGACTGTGGAGACCAAGGTTCTTTTGAAGTCTTATAGTGGCTGCCTTTAGAGACAATAGATGACAAATGTTTCCTATTCAGATCTTTAAAAGGTGCTAGAGTTTTAGTTAATCTCTTTAGGATTGGGAGGGCCTGGGAGAAAAAGATCTAGCTGTGTTAATAGAGATTCTTTACAGATGCAAATTTCCCCCAACAAAGGACAGCTTTGCAGGCCCATTTAAAGATACAGCAAAGAAACATGTTTTGGGGTAAAATATTTTATTTTCTTCTTCGTCTCATAAGGTTATGCCAAAGTCAGGTTGGAAAGTAAGTCACAATATATGGGGTTAAATAAAACCCATCTGATGAGAATTTATGATTTGTAGGGCACGACTCCCCAGATTCCTTAGATAGAAATTTGGGCAAGATAAAAAAATCAGAGTTTAGTGCTCAAAGTCCATTGCCCACTTTTAACGGGGTTTGTATCTTTTCCTGTAAATTTGTTTAAGTTTTTTTATGAATGCTGGATATTAGACCTTTGTCGGATGCATAATTTGCAAACATTTTCTCCCCTTCCATAGGTTGTTTATTCTGTTCATAGTTTCGTTTGCTGTGCAGAAGAAACGCTTTCGTTTAATTAGATCCCATTTTTCAATTTTCACTTCTGTTGCACTGGCTTTTGTAGTCTTCATCATGAAATCTTTGCCTGTGCCTATGTCCTGAATGGTGTTGCCTAGGTTTTCTTCTAGAGTTTTTGTAGTTTTGGGTTTTATATTTAAGTATTTATTCCATCTTGAGTTAATTTTTGTATATCATGTAAGGAAGGGGTCCAGTTTCAATCTTCTACATATGGCTAGCCAGTTATCCTAGCACCATTTATTGAATAGGGAATCTTTTCCACATTGCTTGTTTTTGTCAGGTTTGTCGAAGATCAGATAGTTGTAGGTGTATGGCCTTATTTCTAGGTTCTGTATTCTATTCCGTTGGTCTATGTGTCTATTTTTGTACCAGTGGTGTTTTGGTTACTGTAGCCTTACAGTATAGTTTGAAGTTGGGTAGTGTGATGCCTCTAGCTTTGTTCTTTTTGCTTAGGATTGCCTTGGCTATTCAAGCTCTTTTTTGTTCCATATGAATTTTAAAATAGTTTTCTCTAGTTCTGTGAAGAATGTCAATGGTAGTTTCACAGGAATAGCATTGACTCTGTAAATTGCTTTGGGCAGTATGGTGATTTTAATGATATTGATTCTTCCTACCCATAAGCATGGAATGTTTTTTAATTTCTTTGTGTCATATCTGATTTCTTTGAGCAGTGCTTTGTAGTTCTCCTTCTGGAGACCTTTTGCCTCCCTAGTTAGCTGTATTCCTAGGTATTTTATTCTTTTTTTGGCAATTGTGAATGGGAGTTCGTTCCTGATTTGGCTCTCAGCTTGACTGTTGTTGGTATATAGGAATGCTAGTTATTATTGCACATTGATTTTGTATCCTGAGACTTTACTGAAGTAATTTATGAGCTGAAGGAGCTTTGGGGCTGAGACTATGGGGTTTTCTAGATATAGAATCATGTCATTTGCAAACAAGGATAGTTTGACTTCCTCTCTTCCTATTTGGATGCCTTTTACTTCTTCCTCTTGCCTGATTGCCCTGGCCAGGATTTCTAATACTATATTGAATAGGAGTGGTGAGAGAGGGCATTGTTGTCTTGTGCCAGTTTTCAAGGGGAATGCTTCCAGCTCTTTCCCATTCAGTGTGATGTTTGCTATGTGTTTATCGTAGATGGCTCTTATTATTTTGAGGTATGTTCCTTCAATACCTAGTAACTAGAGTTTTTAATGTGAATGGATGTTGAATTTTATCAAAAGCCTTTTCTGCATCTATTGAGATAAACTTGTGGTTTTCATCTTTAGTTCTGTTTATGTGATGACACATTTATTGATTTGTGTATGTTGAACCAACCTTGCATCCCAGGAATAAAGCCTACTTGACTGTGTTTATAAGCTTTTTGATGTGCTGCTGGATTTGATTTGCCAGTATTTTGCAGAGGATTTTGCATTGATTTTCATCAAGGATATTGGGCCAGGTCCAGTGGCTAATGGCTATAATCCCAGCACTTTGGGAGGCTGAGGGAGGTGGATCACTTAAGCTCAGGAGTTCAAGACCAGGCTGGGCAACATGGCAAGACCTTGTCTCTACCAAAAATACAAAAAATTAGCTGAGTAAGGTGACGCATGCCTGTGGTCCCAGCTACTTGGGAGGCTGAGTTGGGAGGATCACTTGAGCTCAGGAGTCAGAGGTTGCAGTAAGCCAAGATCACACTCCAGTGTGGGTGACAGAGTGAGACCCCATGTCAAAAAAGAAAAAAAAAAAGAAAAAAGGATATTGGCCTGAAGTTCTTTGTTGTTGTTGCTGTATCCTTGCCAGGTTTTGGTATCAGGATGATGCTGGCCTCATATAATGAGTTAGGGAGGAGTCCCTCCTCCTCAATTTTTTGGAATAGTTTCAGTAGGAATGGTACCAGCTTTTCTTTGTACATCTGGTAGAATTTAGCTATAAATCTGTCTGGTCCTGGTTTTTTTTCAGTTGGTAGGCTATTGCCAGAGTGATTTTTAACAGCTTTATTGAGGTATCATTGATATAACAACAACAACAAAAAAATCACATATGTATACAATTTGATGAGTTTAGACATATGCATACACCCATGATACCATCACCACAATCAAAGTAGTAAACATATCCCTCACCTCCTAAAGTTTCCTTGTGTCTGTTTGCATGGTTTATTTTGTTTCATTTTATAGTAAGAACACTTGGCAAGAGATCACCCTCTTAACCCATTTTTAAATGAACAATGCTGCATTGTTAACTAAAGAAACCATGTTGGGCCAGCCAAAGTGGCTCACGCCTGTAATCCCAACACTTTGGGAGGCCAAGACGGGAGGATCGCTTGAGCCCAGGAGTTTGAGACTAGTCTAGGCAACATATCTAGACCCTGTCTCTACAACAACAAAAAATGTTCTTAATTAACTGGGAATGATGGTGCACACTTTTATTTACAGCTACTTGAGAGGCTGTTGCAAGCAGATCACTTGTGCCCAGAGTTAGAGACTGCAGTGAGCTATGATCGCTCCACTGTACTCCAGCTTGGGAGACAGAGTGAGATCTTGTCTCTAAAAAAGTAAAATAAAATAACAAAATAAAATTTAAATGAAGGAAGAAAAAAAGAAAGCATGCTGTATAGCAGATCTCTAGAATTTATTCATCTAGCATAACTGAAACTTTAAGCCAATGGAGCAACAACTCCCCATTTCCCCTCCAGCACCCCAGCCCTTAGCAACCATCTTTTAAATGGAAAAATTAGTCATTTCCCACATTAAAACCCTTCAGTGTCACAGGATTAAGACCAAACCCCTTAGCAAGTACAGATGCTTTTCAACTTACAATAGAGATAGGTCTCCATAAACCCATCATAAGCTGAAAATATCATTGTTGAAAATGAAAATGCATTTAATATACCTAACCTACTGAACATCATAGCTCAGCCTAGCCTGCTGTAAGCATGCTCAGAACACTTACATTAGTCTACATTTAGGCAAAGTCATCTAACACAATCCCTATTTTAAAATAAAGTGTTGAATATCTCATGTAATGTATTGAATATTGTACTGAAAGTGAAAAACGGAATTGTTGTATGGGTACTTTCAGTCTGATTTCTGCTGAACACCTATCACTTTTGCACCATCATAAAGCCAAAAACAATTGTTAAGCCAAACTATTGTAAAACGGGTACCATTTGTACACAGATCCCTTCATAAGCTGCTTATGACTTTCCAGGCTTACATCTCTCCACGTCCACATGACCTACCATATAGCCATTCCACACTGCCAACTCATACTGCTAAACCTTTGGACTTCCTTCCCCCTTCCTAGAATGGTCCACTCTGTCCCTTTTAGCTTCTGGATGCTCATCCTCCAAGTCTCAGGTTTCAGTTACCCTACATAGATGAGACTGGGCATGTTCAGGTTCGTATGGCTGTAGACATCAGTTACTCTACATAGAATTACTCTTTTCTCTGTTCTATCACTGTAGTAGCGCTTAATACATTGTACTCTAATTGATTAACATCTCTGAATCTTCAGCTCGATTACACCCTTAGTCATCTTTTTAACCCCATTACTTGGTACACTGCTGCCAAGCACTTATCATCACTCTGTTTTTCTCTTGGAGACAGAGTCTTATTCTGTCACCCAGGCTGAAGTGTAGTGTCATGATCATGGCTCACTGCAGCCTCAATCTCCCAAGCCCAAGTGATCCTCCTACTTCAGCCTCCCAAGTAGCTGAGACAACAGGCATGTGCCACCCTGCCCAGCTAGGTTTTGGTTTTGCTTTTGCCTTTGCTTTCACTTTTTAGTGACTGGGTCTCTCTATGTTCAGTGTTGGGTCTCTCTAGGCTGGTCTCAAACTCCTGAACTCAAGCAATCCTCATGCCTCAGCCTCCCAAAGTTCTGGGATTACAGGCATGAGCCACTGTGCCCAGCCAATTTACTGCTATTCTCACTAGATGTGTGTTTCTATTCCTGGGTTCTCTATTTTTGTATTAGTTTCTGGATTAGCTGGACTTCATCTGACTAGAGTTTTAAAAAAAAAAATTCTTTTTTTTTTAATTGTAGCTCTGAGGCATTTTATTATAAAAACTTAGTACTCATATATATAAACTAATATGAACTTAAAATTCATCATACATTTACTTCATTTTTTAGCTTGACCTTCTAGTAAATCTTTAGCTTCATTGATTTTGGCTGCTATATAAGGAGATCCTCCTTTGTCAGGATGATTTGAAAGCATAATTCGTCAGTGAGCATCTCTTATTTTCCCTTTATTGGCAGTAGGGCTTACACCTAGTATTAATGCTGCTTCCCGTTTTGTCATTTTGGGTTCAAACCCACCTCTATAATAGCCACCACTGAAGGCAGATTTTGGTAGGCTTTGAAAAACTTGTTTTACTTGAGGCTCCATATGCTTCATGGCTTGCAAAACATAACGGCCTGCAAATCCTGCAGCAGCAATGGTCAGTCCAACTGCTACCACTGTACTGGCCATGGCTTCGGCTGGGCTCCCTTGCTTCCACCAGGAGCACAGCTCATCCCAGCTCAGAGGGTGTGGCTAACACCTGCACGCCTCTACCAGAGAGCAACGCAACCCCTAAAAAAAAATTCTTAAATGTTTATCCCCTGAATACTTTATATTTGAATTATAACATAGATGAATATAATATTTTGTCCAAGAATGTGGTGGACACCTCTATTTCTTCCAGTGCTAAATGTTTCTGTAAAAAGTCTGACACAAGCTTGAATTTCCCCTTGTTAAGTAACTTGCTTTTTCTACTTGATGTCTGAAGAATTCTTTTTTGTTGTTAAAATCTTGATGCTTGGTAACATACAGGGCACTTCTCAATGTTGGTAATTCAGTATCAATTTTTCCTATTAGACGTGTGTGCTTTATTATGAAAGAGATTTTCCACTATTATATCTCTGAATACTTTTTCTCACCATCTGTTGTCTACTTCAGAGATGCCTATTGTTTTGTCAGTCATCCATGTCTACAGCCTCTTCCTAATTGCCTTCATCTCCATCTTGCTTCTCATTCACTGTAACTTATGCCTTTTTTCCATCACATTAATTTAAATTTTAACTATGTCTCTTCTGCTTTTTATTCTTTTAATATATTTATTAGATTTAAAATTCTGCTTTACATCTGAGTTTCCTTGACCTTGCACTTCCCTTTTAATTTCATTCTGTTGTTTTATATTCTTGTCTTTTAAACTTTCATTTCACTGAATTTCTATTTGTGAAAAATTCTTCTACAGCAAGAGACATTAACAAGGAAACAGTTTCTGTTACAGAAATTATTATTTTTCTTTTCCTTTTTTTTTTTTTTGTTGACAAGGCTGGAGTACAGTGGCGCGATCTCAGCTCACTGCAACCTCTGCCTCCTGGGTTCAAGGGATTCTCCTGCCTCAGCCTCCCAAGTAGCTGGGATTACAGGCACCCACCACAATGCCCGTCTAATTTTTTGTATTTTTAGTAGAGACAGGGTTTCATCATGTTGGCCAGGCTGGTCTCAAACTCCTGACCTCAGGTGATCCACCCGCCTCAGCCTCCCAAAGTGCTGGGATTCTGGGATTACAGGCATGAGCCACCACACCCAGCTTTCTTTTTTCTTTTTTCCTTTTTTTTTTTTTTTTTTGTTTAGGCAGGGTCCCACTATGTCACCCAGGCTGAAGTCTAGTAGCATGATCGCAGCTCACTGTAGCCTCCAACTCCTGGGCTCAAGTGATCCTCCTACCTCAGCCTCCCGAGTAGCTGGAACTACAGGCATGCACCACCACCTCCAGCTAATTTTTGTACTTTTTGGTACAGATGGGGTTTTGCAATGTTGTCCAGACTGATCTCAAACCCCTGAGCTCAAGGTATCCTCCCACCTCGACCTCCCAATGTGCTGAGATCACAGGCATAAGCCACTGCGCCCGGCCAGAAATTATGATTTCTTATAGATGATTTCATCATTTCTCTTTCACATGTATGTTTCTCTCAGTCTCTCTCTGACTCTGTCTCTTTACATTTGTCTTTTTCTGTAGTATTTTTGCAGAGTTTTATGCCATTTCCTTTCATCTTGCATATGCTTATATAGGCAACACTGTACAGACATTATTTGCTCTAATATAGTGTGTTTTGCAATCATTTTTACTTGTTTATACACAGTCTTTCATAAAGGTCATGCCAGAAGATTTAACTCTGCTAATGTCTGTAAGAAGAAAATAAAAAATAATCCTTTTAAACATGACACAGTGCTACACATATTACACTGATTTACTGTAATTTATTTATGGTGGGCACTAAGATGTAGTGGTTAGGAGAGCCGGCTCTGGGACAAACTGTGTAGGTTTAAACCTGTATATCTTGGACTACTAAATCATTTAATCTATCTAAGCCTCAGTTTCCCAGTCTCTAAATTGGGACTAATAAGAACACCCAATCTCATTGTTAGGGGGAACAAATGAAACAAAGCATGAAAAACACGTAGGAGGCACTTCATATTTGTTAAATTAATAAATGAATACATATTCTCCAAATAAAACTTTTAAACATTACAATATATTTTCAGTTTCAGTTTGAATAGCTTGATTCTAAATTTGGCTAAATTTATGAATCAGTGCCTTTATTAGTTTTTGATACAAGTGCAGCTGTCTCATGCAAAGATGTACGTTTTAAACAGCAGCAATATTTTTGCTTGATGCCATTGAGAAATTCAAAGAGGCGGCTTGCCATCTAGTGGAAACCTGTTAAATTCCAATGCTTCTTCTGAGTCTGGCAAATTCATAGATTAAGGTAAATTGTTCATTTTAATATGTTCTAGAGAAACTTCCTTTATATACCTTGTTTGTGCACATTTATAGGAGGGAAATGCCCTGTGGTAGAACAAAATAATAATACTACTAACAGTAATAATAATCAACTTGAACTGTCCTCTGATCGAATGGGATTGGCTTTACAAGATAACATATATTTCATAGCATTCTCAAGTCAGACTTGAAACAAAATTCCAGAAATTAATTAGCAAGAGAAAAGGCATACTTGTTTAAGAGATGTCAGAATTTCTTTCACAGTGCTCATGTAGAAAGGCCATGAATGGCCGGGCACGGTGGCTCATACCTGTAATCCCAGCACTTTGGGAGGCCGAGGTGGGCAGATCACGAGGTCATGAGATCAAGACCACCCTGGCCAATATGGTGAAACCCCGTCTCCACTAAAAATACAAAAATTAGCTGGGCGTGGTGGCGCATGCCTGTAGACCCGGCTACTCGGGAGGCTGAGGCAGGAGAATCACTTGAACCCAAGAGGTGGAGGTTGCAGTGGGCCAAGATCGCGCCACTGCACTCCAGCCTGGCAACAGAGTGAGACTCCGTCTCAAAAAAAATAAAAGAAAGAAAAAAAAGAAAGGCCACGAATATAAATGGCCTCATGCTCCCAGGTCTGTTTCTGATTTTAAGGCCCAATTTCTTTGTTTCCATGAGTAACTTCCTTTTCTTCTCCCTACATTTATCTTTTTTTTTAATATAAAAGCCTGATCAGAAACTTCCAACCTATTTCGTCCTCCTAAAGCATTTCCTTTTACTATCAAAAGATATCCTAAACAATGTTCTTTTTTCTTAACAGATTGGCAGGTTTAATAAGTATTTCTGGGTTAAATATTATTCCTTTAATCACCACAGAGCTAAAACCCTGAAGTAGCCAAGTCTTATGAAACTACCCCATATCTCAAGAAACAAATTACACTGGCAGGGTCGTGAGCTGTGGCAATGATGTACAATTCTTGGGTCAAAAAGGTAACCAATCTACATGTTGAGTAAGGTCCTCTCTCTAAAAAGGTTCAAACTTGACAAAGTTATGGATGATAATTCTTAAAAGAGGTAAGTAAGTGGATTCCATAAAATTATTTGAGAGGTTAATGGTTTTAAAATATAATGAAGCAAGAGCTATGGTTAGGAGGGAAAAAAATGTATTGGTGAGACCAGGGAGAGAAACACATTTGGGCAAAGCATGTATTAGACGATGGTTCTAAGAACCTTCTGTCTTTTCAAAGCAACTTTTGAGTAGGGCTATTTTTGACTTTCATCTACATACTGAGCTGATCCATCCATAAACCAAGCTTGAGTTTTTTTCTTTGTGCTTTGGGTAGAATCCTCCATAGAACCACAGGCATGAGATGAATGAAAGGGCACTGTTAAAACAGTGATAGGTGCCATGGGGGTCTGTAATACCTACTCGTGAAGCTTGTTTGAGCCATCTGGTTATGATTATACTTGCTCCTAAATGTACCAACTCCATCTTGCAATGTACTGTTGCTTGGGCTATCTGACCTTTCTATTTGGTAAGTCTGATAGGACCCAGCTCATGATGGGAATTTATATAATATATACATGGTTACTTGATACTCCATGGTCAGGCATCCTGTCTCCACCAGGGTTCAGGAGCACATCAAAAGGTATATCATTCTCTACCAAAAATGGCATTGCCTTGCTCCAAAAACCAAGGGACTAACATTATAATTTGCCCACTGGGACTTGCAACAAACTCCACATAGAATCTTGTCTTATCACTTACACCTTTATGATCATAAATTCTGCTAAATTGTATGACCCAAGTGACAGGGCTGCTTGCACCCCAGCCTGGATCTGTTGCTATTTCCTACTCCTGATCTGATTTAAAGTTGGCAGCATTTTATGTCATCCAGTATGTTGGCTGGAGAAGTATCCCTAGGTGTAGAAATGTGCTGCCTCCAGAACTCAGAGGCCCATCAGGGATTGTGCTTCTTTTTTAATGTAGGAGATACGAGATGCAATAATTTGTCTTTTATGTTAGAGGATATATACAGGCACAGCCCTGATCAATAAACCCCTAAAGTATTTACAGATGTAGCAAGCACTTATATCTTCATAGGGTTTGTCTCTCACACACTACAGCATATCCTGCCATTGCCTCCACTGTGCTAGCCCTCTCCTGCAAATCCAACTCAATCAAAATAATGTCATCAAAGTAATTGATCAGTGTAATGCCAAATGTCAAGAGGGTCCAGATCTCTTCAAACTGTATTATGACAGAGGACAAGAGGACTAAAAACAGCCCTGGGACAAACCTATAAACAAATATTATTGTCCATTCCATATGAATATAAACTGTTTCTTATTCTCTTATCTAATTGGAAAAGAACACATTTTCTGACCTTATCCTTAGCCCAGTGAGACTGATTTTGGATTTTTATCCTCCAGCACTGCAATAAAACAGATTTGTGTGGTTTTAAACTATGATGCTTGTGGTAATTTGTTACAGGAGCCATAGGAAATTGTTACAGCTAGAAATCTAGTTGATGTATGTCCCTGCCTACCACATGATGTTAAGCCATGAAGTCTCAGTCTTGGGTCTCATAGGAGATACATAAACTCCACTACAACACCTGTATAAAGAAGCCACTTTATTGGAAGAAAGAAAAGGAAGCTGGCAGGAACTAGAATTTCGTGAGATTAAACATTTAACATACTGTGTAAGTCATAAGCGAACAGTTTTTCATTCATCAGTAGGGGGCACTAGTGAACATCTGGAAATAGAGACAATATTGGTCTTGGGCAGTGGTAGCCAGACTTAAATGTAAAGAACTCCAAATGAAACCAGCTTAAACCTTAGATTCTAAGAGACTATTGGCTGACATCCAGAAATATCACCTACTGATAAGATCATCTAAAGATCCTTTACCTTATGCTTCATGGAACACCAAATCAGGAAAAACTGCTGTCAAAGACTTCTATAATCACGGGAATTGAGTATTCTACAAGACTACAATAGTACAGGTTCATCAATGGAGTTCCTCAAGGTTCATATTCTACTATGCCCTATATATTTAGGGTATGTTGGTCCAAAAGGTAAAACTCAACCAAGAATCACAGATATTGGATGTTAGTAACCAAGTTTAATGAAACCTTGGTTGGTTGAGATGAACTAGCATCATAAAGTTGGCAAATGTAGAATGAGAAGAGAACCCAAAAAATCCTGCTTCCAAGATAACAAAAGCTCATGTTCCTGCCATGTGTTCCTTTTGAATGGATGTGACATATGGAAGACCTTAGCTTTTTCCACTGTTTCCCATCTTTCCCATCTTTAAGAGCCTCAGAAAAATAGTTCTGGCTCTGAGGAAGTCATCCTAACAAAATGAATGTAAGGCTAACTATAGGAACCCCAAACTCCTAGAAGAGTTTTGAGCTTTTTGTTGCTTATCGATAAACTCATTCCTGCAGAGGGAAAAAAAATTCAAAATTGTTTCATCACAGGCAGAGTTTCTCTCTCACTGCCTCTCTCCTAAAACAGATGCAAAAATATGAGAAATTACTATTGGTTCAACTACCAGTTTAAAAAATTACACATTCATCTCTAGATTATGTTGATAAGAATAAAATTAATCTTTATATTTATGCTTTCAACCAAAACATAACCACTATTGAATCTTGGACATTAGTATGGCCTTGGCTTCTATTTTCCAAAGGAAGAAAAACATCTGCAGGAAAAAAAAATTTCCAAAGTACAGCTGGAATAAATTTTACATTTTTCTAATTCTGTTATCAACTCTCAGGTTTAGATAATCATAAACAAAACCCAAGAAAGTACTTCTATAAAAACTCCTCTTTAAGATGACTCAGGTAAAAAAATAATAATAAATGGGGGAGGCAGAGGAATGTTTTAGTTTTTATTTAAAAAATAAAACACTATATTATGACAGAATATTTTTTATTTTTTTAATAATAATTATTTTTTTTTTTTTGAGACAGAGTCTCGCTCTGTCACCCAGGCTGGAGTACAGTGGCACAATCTCAGCTCACTACAAGCTCCGCCTCCTGGGTTCACGCCATTCTCCTGCCTCAGCCTCCTGAGTAGCTGGGACTACACGTGCCTGCCACCATGCCCGGCTAATTTTTTGTATTTTTAGCAGAGACAGGGTTTCACCACGTTAGCCAGGATGGTCTCGATCTCCTGACCTCATGATCCGCCCTCCTCAGCCTCCCAAAGTGCTGGGATTACAGGCATGAGCCATCGTGCCCGGCCGAATATTTTTTATTTAAAAAAGAGATTTTTTTATTAAAAAAATAAACAGCAAAAGATACATTGTATTTAAATTTTAAAGAAAAACCTGCACAAAAGCACTGAAATGGCTGAGTAGAACTGTGCTCAACAACTGATTGGTCACACATAGATATGACTGTCATTAATATTCTAACCGTATCTATTAAACAGACAGAAACCATTCCCAAAAAAAAGACATTTCTCTTATTTTTAAAGACTTCCAAAGGAAAAAAAAATCTATATTTTTTTCCATCTGTTAAGAGCCCTCTTTTTTAATAAGAGTATCCACTTTTTATACCACTAGGAAAGAGTATACTAACCTGCCTTAGTTCATTCCCAGAGTATGGGTCTCAGCAGGAAACAGGAGACTGAGCTGAGGTTTGGAGATAACTTAATAAATAAACTATCTACAGATGTGTGAATACGGTTAAGAGATGCTACAGGGATGCTGAGCACTTTGGAACTGTTACCACCCCTCGGCCTGAAGTGATAAGCTGGAGCTGGAGTGCATTAGTCCATTCTCACACTCTACAAAGAAATGCCTGAGACTGGGTAATATATAAAGAAAGGAGGTTTAGGGCACAGCAGCTCACATTTGTAATCCCAGAACTTTAGGAGGCCAAGGCAGGTGGATCACTTGTGGCCAGGAGTTCGAGACCAGCCTAGCCAACATGGTGAAACACCATCTCTACTAAAAATACAAAAAAAAAAAAAAAATTAGTTGGGCGTGGTGGCACACGCCTGTAATCCAGCTACTTGGGAGGCTGAGGCAGGAGAACTATTTGAACCTAGGAAGCAGAGGTTGCTGTGAGCCAAGATCCTGCCACTGCACTCCAGCCTGGGTGACAGAGGGAGATTCTGTCTCAAAAAAAAAAAAAAAAAAAAAAAAAAAAAAGAAGGAGAGAAGGAAGGAAGGGAGGGAGGGAGGGAGGAAGGGGGGAGGGAAAGAGAGAGAAAGAAAGAGAGAAAGAAAGAAAGAAAGAAAGAAAGAAAGAAAGAAAGAAAGAGAGAGAAAGGAAGAAAGTATCGGAGGAACCAGCCCCCAATATTTCAACATAGGTTCTTTTCTATTTTCGCTAAGTGTCGGCCGGTCTGAGAAATAAAGAGAAAGAGTACAAGAGAGAAATTTTACAGCTGGGCCACCAGGAGAGACATAACATATTGGCAGCTTCCGTGATGCCCACCTGAGCTGCAAAACCAGCACGTTTTTATTAGCAATTTTCAAAGGGGAGGGAGTGTACGAATAGGGTGTGGGTCACAGAGATCACATGCTTCAAAGGCAATAAAATATCACAAGGGCAGAGTCAGAGTGAGATCACAAGGCCAGGGCAAAACTAGAATTACTGATGAAGGTCCATGTCCTGCTGGGCACACATTGTCACTGATAAACATCTTAACAGGAAACAGGGTTCAAGAGCAGACAACCGGTCTGACTAGAACTTCGCCAGGCTGGAATTTCCCAATCCTAGCAAGCCTGGGGGCGCCACAGGAGACCAGGGCATATTTCATCCCTTATGTACAACTGCATAAGACAGACACTCCCAGAGCGGCCTTTTAGAGACCTCCCCCTGGGAATGCATTCTTTTCCCAGGGCTGTTCCTTGCTGAGAAAAAGAATTCAGCAATATTTCTCCTATTCGCTTTTGCAAGAAGAGAAATATGACTCTGTTCTGCCCGGCCCTGCAGGCAGTCAGGCCTTATGGTTATCTCCTTGTTCCCTGAAAATCACTGTTATCCTCTTCTTTTAGGATGCCCAGATTTCATGTTGTTCAAACACACATATTTTACAAACAATTTGTACAGATAACACAATCATCACAGGATCCTGAGGCGACATACATCCTCAGCTTACGAAGATGACAGGATTAAGAGATTAAAGACAGGCATAGGAAATTATAAAAGTATCAATTTGGGGAACTAATAAATGTCCATGAAATCTTCACAATTTATGTTCTTCTGCCATAGCTTCAGCCTGTCCCTCCGTCCGGGGTCCCTGACTTCCCGCAACAAGGAAGGAAGGAAAGAAGGAAGGAAGGAAGGAAGGAACGGAGGGAGGGAGGGAGCGAGGGGTTTAATTGACTCAAAGTTCTGCATGGCTGAGGAGGCCTCAGGAAACTTATAATCATGGCAGAAGGGGAAGGGGGCACATCTTACAGGGCAGCAGGTGAGACAGAAGTGAGAGCACAGGAATAAACCACCATTTACAAAACCATCACATCTCGTGAGAATTCACTCACTATCACAAGAACAGCATGGGGGAAACCGCCCCCATAATCCAATCACTTCCTTCCCTCAACATATGGGGATTACAGGTCCCTCCCTCCACACATGGGGATTACAATTGGAGATGAGATTTCAGTGGGGACACAGAGCCAAACCATATCATGGAGTGATGGGGAAGTTAGGGGAGTGGAAGCCAGTAGTTGCACAGCTGCAGCCCCAGCCAGAACACAGCTCCAAGGCAGGGATGGAAAAAAGAAAGAAATGCCCTGATCTCTCCTCTCTACCTCCCCACTTCCTCCATCCCCTCGCTGGTGTTTCTTACTGCCTGAACCAACAGGAACTCGACTAGAAGAGTATAAGAAAGTACAATGCAGTACAAGAAAGTCTACATAACACAGTTTATTGGGGTCCATCACTAGGAGAAAAAGGAGAGCAGGGAATGGTGGGAAATAAATCTGGAGTAGAGGAGGTGGGGAAGCAGAATTATCAGCCCAGCATTCAAGTATCTTATCCATTAATAACCAGTAAAACAACCCATGTCCCATTTCTCTAAGAACCTTCTAAGAGATGTCCCTGGAGAGTGTCATTCCCAAGTTCAATGGTGTTGGCCAGACATGATGCGCACGTCTCCACATTGAATTGCTACCTCTCACCAGAGCAGAAACAAGTTAAATCTCTAACAGAACACTATGATATCCTTATATTATTTTAGTCAATTATCAGAATTGTCCTACCTACTCTGCTTCATTCAAGCAACAAGTTACAACTTTTCTCTGAATGTCTACATTACTTTGAATATTAAGTTTTGTGGGGGTTTTTTTGTTTTCTGTTGTTTTTGTTTTGAGATGGAGTCTCACTCTGTCACCCAGGCTGGAGTGCAGTGGTGCAATCTCGACTCACTGCAGCCTCTGCCGCTCAAGTTCCAGCGATTCTCCTGCCTCAGCCTCCCAAGTAGCTGGGATTACAGGCATGCACCACCACACCCAGCTAATTTTTGTATTTTTAGTAGAGATGGGGTTTCACCATGTTGGCCAGGCTGATCTCGAACCCCTGACCTCAGGTGATCCACCCACCTCAGCCTCCCAAAGTGCTGGGATTACAGGCATGAGCCACTGTGCCCAGCTGAATATTAAGTTTTAACTAGATACTTTGTTGCAAGTCATAGTATTCTATGGCAAAGTAGTTATATCAGTTTTTGGAAAACCACTTAAATATTTTAGGATGATAACTAAATCCAACTCACATATGTGACATCATGTTAACCAGAGATAAATGTATATGGGTGCTACAAAAACTATAGTATAAATTAAAAATATAAACAGTTTTGGCAGGGCGCAGTGGCTCACGCCTGTAATCCCAGCACTCTGGGAGGCCGAGGCAGGTGTTTCACCTGAAGTCAGGAGTTCGAGACCAGCCTGGCCATCATGGTGAAACCCCATCTCTACTAAAGATACAAAAATTAGCCAGGCATGGTGGCACACACCTGTAATCCCAGCTACTTGGGACTTGAACCCAGGAGCCAGAGATTGCAGTGAGCTGAGAGAGTGCCCCTGCATTCCAGCCTGGGTGACAGAGCAAGAATCCATCTCAAAAAAATAAAAATAAAAAATAAAAATAAAGCAGTTTCTAAAAATCACTTTGACCAAATATAAATATCTCATATCACTTAAAAGAGCAAAGGAAAATGAAAAGAGCTATTTGATAGGAAAATAATCCAAATATACTTTAAGGTATACACATTATGCAAAAATAAGTTTTTCTTTCTATATATAAAAGATGGCCAAAAAATTAAAGTCATTGCCATTTAAGCTACATGACACATTTGGATTATTTTACTCTGCATATAACAATCACTGAAATTGTACATCCTGTATCATACTTTTATTGACACATTAACAACTCAAGTTATCTTTAATTTTTCAGGTACAAAGTATCTCATGGACTTAGGGTCCTAGGAAAGGGACATGATGGAATTATTTACTTTTGGAATGCTCCATATGAGAGCTCTATTGTAGAAAGTGTAGCATAATGGTTAAGAGCATGAGCCCTAGAGCTACATGCCCAGCTGTATCAGCTGTGTGATTTTTTTCAAGCATACTTAACTTCCCCATGACTCAGTTTCTTCATCTGTAAAATGGATAAATAGTTGTTTCATAAAAAGTTGTCTGGATTAAATAAGTCAATTCAAATAAAATGCTTTCAGAAGTGTCTTGAATAAACACAGAACACATAGTACCCATTGTTATAGTTAACCTATCCCTCATGCCTAAGATTACTCCCTGGAAGCAAATTAAGTGATTTTGAGGGGACAGGATCTCTTGTGCCATACTTTCATTCTTTCACCCTATAAATTACCCTTACTCTCAATACAATCATTGATTTCAAAGGAGATCATAAATAACGGCACACAGAAAAACTTATTGTATCGGGAACTGCATAAACAGACATTTTTTAAAGAAAAAACTTTAAACTCACAAGGCTTTATTCTTTCCTGCAAGGATACAGAGACAGAATGGTGGCTCCACAAAAGCATCAGTGACCCTGGCTCATTCTATCTTCTCCATCATCCATAGTAAGTGGCTTTCATTCTCAAAGCCATCTCATGAACCAGGAAGACTGCTGAGCTCTAGCTATCACATTCCAGATAGCAGAAAAGGCAAATAAGTCCTCTCTCAATCAAACCTGCTCCCATTAAGAACCTTCCTAGAAGTCCCACACAATACTTTCACTGAACTTAGTTGGTCACATCTCCCTGCAAATAAAATTGAAAAATGTAATTTTTTTAGCTGGGTGTGTTGCTGCTCTGAAAAGTACTGGAGTTCTATTTCCTTGCTGCAATAATTAAGAGTGTGAAATCTAGTCTCTATAATCAGAAAGACAAGTGGACAGCAAAAAATAGTTCTCAAAAATATATTAATGGGCCAGGCATGGTGGCTCAAGCTTGTAATCCCAGCACTTTGGGAGGCCGATGAGGGCAGATCACCTGAGGTCAGGAGTTTAACACCAGCCCGGCCAACATGGCAAACCCCATCTCTACTAAAAATACAAAACTTAGCTGGGTGTGGTAGCGCAAGCCCGTAAGTCTGGCTACTCTGGAGGCTGAGGTAGAAGAATCGCTTGAACCCTGGAGGCAGAGGTTGCGGTGAGCTGAGCTCACACCACTGCACTCCAGCCTGGGTGACAAAATGAGACTCTGTCTTAAAAAAAAAAAGAAAATAAATATATATATGTATATATGATAACTCTATCTAGATAATTAAGAGTTGACTACAATAATGCTACCTAGCATTCAATTTGCTTATTTGGTGTTTGGACATATAACAAAGGTGAAAAGGTAGAGTAAAATACAGAGTTAAAAACAAGAACATTTTTATCTTAATTTCATGCATATTTTAGGCAAAGAAGATTTTCTGTCCTGAAAAAGTCAAAACTGTCTTTTTGACAGTCCATGAACAAAATGAACCTAAAAAAAACAGATTCACCCTTTAGAAAATCATAGAATTACAGTTGAAAAGGCACTCCGGGTTACTTGATTCACACAACCTTTTTGGTATTTTACACCCATGATACCACTTTCTCTAAATGATCACCTGGTCTGTATTTAAACCTATGTGAGAATGTAATATTTCTTATGGTAATGTACTCTAACCTTAGAAAATTCTGACCTCCTGATAACAGTGATTGGTCAAAAGTGTGGGCATATGATACAAGGCTAATCGAAATCCTGCCCTGAGATTTTTCACACTGGGAAACTAAAAGAGAAAAATCTTTTTTTTTGGCTATGGACAGTCATAGAGTGTATGTGTAGAAGTGGCTAGCAGCCATGTTCCTCACAATATGGAGAAATCTTGTATGTGATAAGGGAGAATGAAACTGAAACAAGATATGGAGAAAGAGAGAAAGACATGGAAGACAGAGTAAAAGAAGAAGATGACAGTGTTCAGGTCTGATACAATAGTCTCTGAATTCCCTAAAATGTCTCTGGTTCTTTTTTTTTTTTTTTTTTTGAGACAGAGTCTCACTCTGTCGCCCAGGCTGGAGTGCAGTGGCATGATCTCGGCTTACTGCAAGCTCTGCCTCCCGGGGTTCACGCCATTCTCCTGCCTCAGCCTCCTGAGTAGCTGGGACTACAGGCGCCCACCACCACGCCTGGCTAATTTTTTTGTATTTTTAGTAGAGACGGGGTTTCACCATGTTAGCCAGGATGGTCTCGATCTCCTGACCTCATGATCCGCCTGCCTCGGCCTCCCAAAGTGCTAGGATTACAGGCATGAGCCACCACGCCCGGCGTGTCTCTGGTTCTTTAAGCAATTTATTTTATGCTGTGACCTACCTCAGTCCTTTCAACAAATCTCCTTTTCTACATAAACTAATCTGAGTTAGATTCACCACCAAGGGCAGTTCTTGGCTGTAAACTTTCAGACTTTTAAAATGTATCAGAAATAAATTTGGATAAGTGGAATTACAGTATAACTACTGTTCTTTAATGTATTTTGCTTCTTTAAAATAATCATAGGCCTCTTTCTGTGGCAACGCTTCTGCATCTCTCTGATCAGCTTTAATGCCTACCAAAGCACTCATTTGAATAAGGTACTATTTTTTATTTAACCAATGACTTACTAATAAACATTTAATGTTTCATTTCATTAGCATAAACAATACCACATTTATACTTGTACATATATTATGTATTTGTGCAATTATTTAGAATAAATCTGTAAAAGTAGAATTGTTTAATCAAATAAGATACACGTTTAAATTTTGATAGTTATTATCAAATTTTGAGGGTAGTAAAAGACTAGATTCCAGAAACACAAAATTGAATAGTGTAGCTAAAAAGAGGGTGAAAGAATGCTAGGGAGGCAATCATCAAATTACTATTATATACTCACATTTATTATTGACCAAATGAACTACCAGTCAAAACCCTGATGTCTTTTTCACAAAGGAAATAAGGCCATGACCTCCAATTATCTTTATCAAAAGAAGCCTAAATTGTCTACCTTGTTTTCAGGTTACCATTAGTGGAGGTGAAGAACACAGATACATTGATCCAGAGCCCTAATTAAGAATTTAAGAGGCTAGGTGTGTTGGCTCACACCTGTAATCCGAACACTTTGGGAGGCTGAGGCATGCGGATTGCTTAAGACCAGCCTGAATAATATGGAGAAACCCTGTCTCCACAAAAAATACAAAAATTAGCCAAGCATGGTGGCATGCACCTGTAGTCCCAGCTACTTGGGAGGCTGAGATGGGAGGATCACTTGAGCCCAGAAGGCCAAGGCTGTGGTGAGTCATGATAATGCCACTGCACTGCAGTCAGGGTGACAGAGTGGGAACCTGTCTTAAAAAAAAAAAAAAGTTAAGAATTGGGCCAGGCGCAGTGGCTCACACCTGTAATCCCAGCACTTTGGGAGGCTAAGTCGGGTGGATCATTTGAGGTCAGGAATTTGAGACCAGCCTGACCAACATGGTGAAACCCCATCTCTACTAAAAATACAAAAAAGTTAGCCAGGCACGCTGGTGCATGCCTGTAGTCCCAGCTATTTAAAAGGCTGAGGCAGGAGAATTGCTTGAACCCATGGGGCTGAGGTTGCAGTGAGCCAAGATTGTGCCACTGCACTCCAGCCTGGGCAACAGACCGAGACTCCATCCACCCCCCCACCACCCAAAAAAAATAGAATTAAAGAGACCTAAATAAATGTGGGCATATATGATGTCTACCGATTACACACAATACTGTTAACATGTCAGTTCTCCTCACATTGGTCTATAGATTGAATGAGATCAAGATAATGAATACATCCATCACCCCCAAAAGTTTTCTCATGCCTCTTTTTAATCTTTCTTTTTTTCTTCCTCCTCTTCTCTTTTCTTCTCTCCCCTTCTGTGTTAGTCAGCTTGGCTGCCATAACAAAACACCATAGACTGGGTGGCTTAAACAATAGAAATCTATTTTCTCACAATTCTAGAGGCTAAATGTCCCAGATAGAGGTGCTGGCCAATTCAGTTCCCAGTAAAGGCTCTCTGCCTGGCTTGCTGAGGTCCACATTCTTGCCATATCCCCGATGGCCTTTCCTCTGTGGTACACAGACAGAGAGAATAGTAAGTGACAGAGCCTAAGTGTGGCAACTAGGACATCTGTGCAAGAAAGGGGGTGGGGGTGGGGGCGGCAACAGCAGGATGGTTAGGCAATAGCAGGGATGTGGATCATATAAACAAATATATTAAAGATGATGGAATCCATTTTTGTCACTGATGGGAAGAAGGGTTACAAATATGAAGAGGAAGAAAACTAGAATGAACCCTGTGGTACTAAATAAGAATGAAGGCTTTGAGGTAAACTTATGGATTTCAAGTAGATACAAAGATAAATATAGATATGAATGCATATATATTGTGTATAAGTGTGTGTATGTGCACGAAAGAGCCTGGGGGCAGTGACCCCAGTTTGATGAACAATGGGATATTACACAGTTTCAAACTATCTCCCCACAAAATACTTATTTATTACAAAGAGGAAAAGAATAACATTACATTGTTGAATCCTAGTGGCTACCACCTTAATCAAGTGACCAAAGTAAGCATCAGTAAGAGAATATAGAAATATCATGTGACAACTGATAGGATACAATGAGAAAACACAGAATTACTTCTGTGATATTCATGCCAAGGTTGCATAGCTTGAATCTAATCATGAGGAAACAAATCCAGACTGAGGGATAAGTACTTAATAACTGGCCTGTAAATCTTCAAGGATGACAAGGGTGCTCACCTTGGCAGCACAAATGGCAGCATATATACTAAAACTGGAACAATACAGAGAAGATTAGCATGGCCCCTGAACAAGGATGACATACGAATTTGTGAAGTGTTTCATACTTTTTTTAAAAAGTGTCCAGGCCATGAAAGTCAAGAAAAATCTAAAAAAGAGATATGACAGCTACATATACCACATGATTTTGAACCAGATTTTTTGCTATAAATGGTATTATTGAGACAATTGGCAAAATTTGATTCGGATCTGGAGACTGGAGGCAGTTAATGCATCAATGTAAATTTCCTGATTTTCATGGTTATTTTGCAGTAAAAGGAGAATGTCCTCATTTGTAGGAAATATACAGTAAAGTATTTAAGGAATGACCCATTCAAATAGTTGTTGTTTTTTTTAAGGGTCTTCTACTATACTTGCAACTTTTCTATAAGCTTGAAATTATTTTAAAATTTAAAAAGGGGTCTGGCACGGTGGCTCACACCTATAATCCCAGCACTCTGGGAAGCCAAGGCAGGTGGATCATCTGAGGTCAGGAGTTTGAGACCAGCCTGGCCAACATGGTGAAACCCTGTCTCTAGTGAAAATACAAAAATTAGCTGGGCGTGGTGGCATGCACCTCTAATCCCAGCTACTTGGGAGGCTGAGGCAGGAGAATCACTTAAACCCGGGAGACAGAGTTTGCAGTGAGCTGAGATCCTACCACTGCACTCCAGCCTGGGCAACAGAGCAAGACTCCATCTCAAAATAAATAAATAAATATTAATTAGTAACTTAATTTTAAAAATTAAAAAGGAGTGGGAGGTCCAGGTGAGCCCAGAAAAACAAATTTGAAACAAAACAAGCAAAACAAGCTAGATTGCTTTACTATAACAAAATAACAGGAACTTTCATTTTTCTACTTTCCACTTTTTGCATTTCTTTGTGGTAAATCACTCCATATTCTGCCAGGGATATCCATGTGCCTTGAGAACATTTAAGTGTATTATAGCAGTTATGCAAATGAAAGGAAAAGTTCATATCCACCTTCAGGGAGTCAAAATAGGATCTTAAAGCAAGTCTTGAAAGCTAGGCTTAGTATTTTCTAAATTGATTTACTTCCAAGAACATGTCAGGAAAAAGTCTAGAGGACTTAGACCATAGGGCAGAGAGAGCATGCAGGATGCACTCCTTTTGACTAAAATGGCTAGGCCCTGAGGCTTGCTATATAAGGCACAAAATAGCAGTTCTCAAAGTGTGGCCTAGAGACCTCCTGAGGATCCTCAAGACCTTTTCAGGAGATCTGTGAGGTCAAAACTATTTTCATAATGTACTAAAACATTTTGTGCTTTTTTCACGCTCACGCTGTCATGAGTAGACAGTGGAGTTTTCCAGGGGCTACATTATATATGAAATTCCAACTAACTGAATACAGAAGCAAATATGAGTTACTATTTAAGCTATCTTCTACTTAGCCAGACATTAAAGGGAATTGCAAAAATATAAAATAATGCCATTTTTTTCATCAATGGTGTTATATTTTGAAAAATATAGTTATATTTCATAAAATATGGTATGTATTATAATATTATTAAAATTTCTGCTTTAATTTCTTATATGGTAAATATTGATAACTATAACCCAAACAAATCAAATTTATTTAGGGTCCTCGAAAATTTTTATGAGTATAAAGGAGTCATGAAACCAAGTGGGTTAAGAATTGCTAACACAGAAGCAGAAAGTCAATCCCTTCCAGGTTAAAGTGTTATAAAAGAAAAAAAAAGAAGAAAAAGCTAAAGCCAAGAAGTCAGTTACTTGGATTCTCATCTCTCTCTCTCCCTATGCCCCCGTACTTCTGTTCAAACCTTGAGTGAGTTTAGAAACATCCAGATAGGTATGGGAAACTCAAGAATATTGAGACTAACATATATTAGAAGAAGGCTGAAAACAAGAATTCTCACATTTTTTTTTTTTTTGCGCCATGGACCACCTTTGGAAGTCTGATAAAAACATATAGATCCATTCTTAGAATGTTTTTATATTCATAAAAGAAAATACACGGAAGTCCAAAAAAAAATATGTTGAGATACATTTCTATTCATATGCCCCCAAAAAAGTCCTGCATATGACTACTTCCAAAATGGCACCAAAAAAATGATGCAATAGCAACTGCAGGCGGCTGTGGATAAATAAGCTTGGAACAACACCCCTGGAACACACCTCTTCCCTATGGCCAGTCCTTTTCAAAATGCACAGGATCCACCTATGTCCCATGGAATGGATACAGAAGTGTAAGAGACTTGGGATTTAAAAAAAAAAAAAAAAGAAGAAGCCATGATGTGGGGATACTTCGACACCTCCAAATAGCTTGGACCATGTACTCTAACAGCCGACTTCAGCATGTCACCACCTGCAGACTTCAGCATATCAGACTTTAGCATATCAGCACCCCCAGTGGGGGATGCTGATAATGGGAGACACTATGCATGTGTGGGGACAGGGGGCATATGGGTAATCTCTGTACTTTCCTCTCAATTTTGCTGTGAACCTAAAACTGCTTTAAAAAAAAATTTTTTTTTAATGTTCAGCGTTGCTCCTGTTGCTCATCCCTGAGTCTATCTAGACATTTGGAATCACAAGACTAGAATAGGTGAATAGGTCTCACTATATAGGTTCTCAAAGCAATCCACAAGTCCAGAGGCTTGTCTTCATTGACCACTCCCATATAATAGCTCAAGTGGAAGAGAATGAGATCTTTATGGGCATGTGCAATCATCATCTTGGATAAGATGCTCCATATTCCAGATAAGAACCAACATTCATGGGCATAACTTCCTGGTCCCCACAAAAGACATTGAGTTATTTAGGAAAGCCCAAAGTTTTGGCTTCACACCAGGAATTTGTAGTTCTTCACAACTAGTCAAGGTAAATTTATCAATCAGGATTATTTTTACTATAAACAACATTGCTAGTTACACAGTTCACATTCTGCCATTTACAGGTTTCTAGGGAAATATAATTAGAAAGTTAATCCAAGGTAAATTTTGTCCACACAGAAAGAGAAAGGGTTTTGCTAACCTTTACACATTCTTTCTATGTACCTTTTCCCAACATTGCATTAAACACCCTTGAAGCCACTAAAAAAGGTGAAAACTCACATCAAGACCAAAAACTAAGACTAATAGATATTTCAATGCTGGATCTGGGATAAACAATACTTAGTATAAGACAGATGGAATTTTTCTGTGAAAAGCACTTACACTCTGCTTCATGAAACACAGATTGCCTGAAAAGGAGTTAGAAAATAATGCATACTTCACTATCTGTTTCTGAAGTCAGGGATATGGTATCTCCATCAACTAGAAATTTAGAATGCTATTCTTCTTTTTAAAAAGGGCCAGTCCATGAGTTGACTGTGTCTCTCCTCCATAATGTTGAGAGACAATTCTCCAGTGATCTTTTGTGTTTCTGTATGTCTCATGAAGAGGCACTGACAGCTTTTGTTCCAGACTATCTTTTCAAGGATGTTTGTATGGAAAACAATCTTAGAAGATAAAAAGTTGAGTCTCCCTCTAAAGCAGAGCGTATATTTGTTTCCTGACCATGATAGTAAATGTGTCTCTAATGAAATATTTTTGTGAAAACTGACCTAATCGAAAAGAGATATCATAGATCTCACTTTTAGGAGCAAGTAAGCTAATAAATAAGCTGATTTGTTTTGCAAATCCCAGAAAGTTTCAGGAATTGGAGGCTCCAGATACATCTGAAGGCAAAGTGTAGAGTTGAGCTTAAAACAGAAGAAATGGTTGAAAGTCTGTATTTAAAAAAAAAAAAATCATTTCTCAGTCCTCTTTCCTTAGCCCAAAATTTGGGGACACCTTTTGCAGCTGATTAATTAAGAGGTGATTAATTGAAAGTCTTTATACTAAAAGGTGACACCCCTAACCCTCTTCCCCAGTTTGTCTCACAGAACACCAGTTAACAGATTTATACTCTGTTTGCCTCTCCTGGTCCTTTCTCTGCCATTCTCTCCCTGGCTCTGAGAAATTGACTTCTGTGGACTGTATCAGCTAGGCTCCCTTAGCCTCTGGCTTGCATTTGGACTCAGCCAATGAGAGCCACCAGCATAAGATTGCAGGGTAAAAGGAGAGATGGGTTGAGCTTTTATTCTCTTTCTCCCCTTCCCTTGCAATTTTTGGCAGTGACTGCACTTCTCTACTTTCAGATACAGCAACTGTTGGACGCCCTCTCACACACAACTACAGATCATTCCAAGTTCCAGTATACTGTTAGGCCTAGGAGAGGTAATGGCTTTCAGCTGTTTTTAGTCCTGGAGTGTTTACCACCTCTTGATTGTTCCTGTTTGTGAAGGTTTAGTAATGTTTCCCTCATTAAACTCTTTTCAAGGAATCCTTTCATTGCTCTTTGCAATTTCCCCTTTGAGTGATCCATCTGTTTCTTTTTTTCTTTTTTCTTTTTTTTTTTTTTTTGAGATGGAGATTTGCTCGTTGTCCAGGCTGGAGTGCAATGGCATGATCTCGGCTCACCACATCCTGTGCCTCCCAGGTTCAAGCAATTCTCCTGCCTCAGCCTCCCGAGTAGCTGGGATTACAGGCATATGCCACCACGCCCAGCTAATTTTGTATTTTTAGTAGAGATGGGGTTTCACCGTTTTGCCCAGGCTGATCTTGAACTCCTGACCTCAGGTGATCTGCCCACCTCAGTCTCCCAAAGTGCTGGGATTACAGGCGTGAGCCACTGTGCCCGGCCAGATCCATCTGTTTCTTATAGGCCCACAAAGTCACATACCCTCTGGCAATTTTGCAGGATGCTTCTACTGGACCACCTGAACAAGCCCAAGAGAAAGGCCTACAGAGGTTTATTTCTAATCAAAAGGGAAAAGCATGAACAAATGCCCATAGGCATGAAGCAGTTAATTGTGTTCCAGGAACTAAGTGCTACTAGGTGTTACATGTGAGGTGGGGAGTGAATGGAGAGTAGGCCCAGAAGAGACAAATGCCAACTCAAAAGAGCATCTTGTAACTCATATCAAGGATCTTGGAGTTTACACCGTAGGCTCTGCAGAGGCACTGAAGGATTTCAAGTTTCAGTTTCAATCAATGCTGGAATAAAAATGAAGGAAAATGTAGGCAAGGCTAGAAGATGGAAGACATAAAGACATGACAGAGACAAACAACTGCAATGGTTTCAGTGAGAAATATTGAAGGCCATGATTCAGACTGTGGTGAAGGAATGGAGGAAATGGACAAAAAATTAGCAGCTATTGGGAGGCAGAATAGGTGAATGAGGGAATAGGGGGGAAACAGTCCCGATTGGCTCTTGGGCCTCTTACTTAGCAATGGATAAACAGCCTTTCACTGAGATAAAGTGTAGAAGATGACAGAATTTAAGAATGAGATTCACTGGCGGAAGGAAGGGGGTGAGGCGGGAACAATGATAAAGAGTTCTATTCTGAAAATGCTGAGCTGGAAATAGCTGTGGGAAATGTGGGTGAAATTGTCCCTGAGGTGCAAGGAAAGAGCTTCCCTTCAACCCACTGGTCAGTGTAGAGGGCATTGAACTCTGAGTTTTCCCCTCCCCCAATGAGGGAAACAAAATACAAATCCACAGCAAAAGAAAAACGTAAACAAACAAACAAACAAAAACAGAGCAAATCTGCCTTTGATCTTAGCATGGTAGTGGGCAACAGCCAAAACCAGAATAAAAGGCTCCCTGTGTAGATACCCATTTGACCACAAGATGGCATCAGAGCTAAGCTGCAGGAGAGCCCTAGTCAGAACCTACCTCAGTGCATCAAAGCCATCGCTTAACTGTTTGTTTTTGTTAGCAAGGAAGGGCTGTTCACTGGCAAAAAAAAAAAAAAAAAATTACTGAAAAGAGACATTTAGAATATTCTAAAACAAATTATACAGACTATACAGTATGCTCTAGGAGCTGGTAATATGGCACGTGATGAGCTGACTAGAGAGTCAAGCAGGTGCCTGTTTAAATTGGACATCAAGGGCTGTGGGATAGCAGGTGTCACATAAGCAGACAACTTCAACATAAACCACAAGGTTGGCCAGTGCGGTGGCTCACACCTGTAACCCCAGCACTTTGGGAGGCTGAGGCAGGCAGATCACTTGAGGTGAGGAGTTCGAGACCAGCCTGGCCAACATGGTGAAACCCTGTCTCTACTAAAAATACAAAAAAAAAAAAATTAGCCAGGTGTGGTGGAGGGCACCTGTAATCCCAGCTACTCGGGAGGCTCAGGCAGGAGAATCACTTGAACCCGGGAGGCAGAAGTTCCAATGACCTGAGATCATGCCACTGCACTCCAGCCTGGGTAAGAGTGAGACTCTGTCTCAAAAATAAAAAAAATAAAACTACAAAGTATGAAAGGTGATCCAGAAGTTAGGTCAATTGGCATAACAATCAGAAACAAGAACAAAAACACTAGCAGGTTTATGTATCACCAGGCATGACCTCAGGCCTCACCCCAGGTGGTTGTTGAAGAGGCCCAGATATTATCCCCAGGTCAAATATTAGATTAGACATGGGCATTCTGCCCTCTTGGCCTATAATAAATACCCCCACAAACACTGCAGTTGAGTCACTCACTGTGAAGCTAGATGAGTTAGCAAGAAAAAAACCATGTCAGTGTTAGCATCTCATTCCTTCTTCCCCAAAATTATATGTCCTAGGAGTCATCTCAGCATGGAGAGGAGATGGAAGCAGCAGGAGTAGAGAGAGACTTACAGTATTTCCCCCAAGATTGGGAAGGGGATATAATATTGAGATTTCTTTGAGAGGCAGGAATCTGCAGGGGCAGAGTAGGCCAATATATTTTCAAAGTAGCCACTACTTAGAGAGAGAGAGAGAGATTTGACATACCACACTCAAAAGTAGGAACTGGGAAAATCAAGCCATCTCCTATGTATCTCCTAATAATTTGAGACTCTTTAATAAAAGAATTCCATTTCTTTGAATTCAAGCTAGCTTCAGTATGCCTTTTGTACCTATTAGTATGAACTTAAATGGGAAAACACAATACACTTTATAAAGTCACATGATATAAATCATAGATGCCCCCACCTCCCCAGCCCACTTCACTTTTAGTTGTAACCAAAATACTAGTTATAATAGGCATTACAGACATAGTTACTATTAATACCACCAGGCCTCCCATATCACCCCAACCTCAGCTCACATGTAATTGAACTATAAATAACTATTTCATCAACTTTCAAGCTGTCTAGGAATGGGCCATATCTCTGAATCATTTATACTCTAATATGTCACATGGCTATCTCTAAACCTTCCAGTTCTATTTGATTAATTATTACTGTCTTCAAGCCCCTCAAGACCTCTTGTCTCTTGATCCTTCTGTAATAATATTCCTAATAGCCTTCTCTTGCCTTTATTTTTATTACCATTCATCCAAAAATTTTTTTAAAAAGTCTATCATTTGAACCACTCACCTAACTATATTTTTATAACTCCTCTGTATTCTTTTCATTCTGCTATATCCATTCCAAAATAACTCTAGGCCTGGATTAATATTTTCCCTTACAAAATTTATTAGAAATAAAAACAATCAATCCTGTAAACTGGTGCAACTACAAATCCCAACTCCAACTTTAGCTCGATTCTCAATATACTATAGCAATCTTTCTGTTTCTCTCAAGACAGTTCTCTCCCATTTTCTAACAACAGCTGTTCCAAAATTTAAATACTCTTTTCACCAAGCAATCATTGTGAGGATTAAACATTTCAATATCTGCTAACTTAATTTTAGCCAATGATCTCTCTTCCTTACATCAGTGACAAAAATATAGGCCATGGAGAAGAGTTTAACATGAAGACGATCCTTACCTAAAAAACTCATGTGTAGGCCGGGCGCAGTGGCTCAAGCCTGTAATCCCAGCACTTTGGGAGGCCAAGGAGGGCGAATCACGAGGTCAGGAGTTTGAGACCAGCCTGGCCAAAATGATGAAACCCGTTTCTACTAAAAATATAAGAAATTAGCCAGGCACAGTGGCAGGTGCCTATAATCCCAGCTAATCAGGAGACTGAGGCAGGATAATCACTGGAACCTGGGAGGTGGAGGTTGCAGTGAGCTGAGATCGTGCCACTGCACTCTAGCCCTGGTGACAGAGTGAGACTCCATCTCAAACAAATAAACAAACAAACAAAACTCATGTGCATCTCTACCAATAGTTCCTCCCAGCTAGTCATTCTAAAAGAAATCTCCCTCCATTTGTAAAGGCTGGCCGAGCACAGTGGCTCACTCCTGTAATCCCAGCACTTTGGGAGGCTGAGGCAGACGGATCACTAGGTCAGGCGTTCGAGACCAGCCTGACCAACGTGGTGAAACCCCGTCTCTACTAAAAATACGAAAAATTAGCCTGGTGTGGTGGCAGGCACCTGTAATCCCAGCTACGCAGGAGGCTAAGGCAGAAGAATCACTTGAACCCAGGAGGCGGAGGTTGCAGTGAGCTGAGACCATGCCACTGCACTCTAGCCTAGGCAACAGAGCGAGACTCTGTCTCAAAAAAAAAAAAAAAAAAAAAAAAAAAAGGCTAACAATTCATTAATCTTTGCTCAAAGAAAAAAAATAATCTCAGCACAAATATTTCCTTAGTCCCAGCTGGTCTAACCTCTTTCTCTCTCCTTCCTTTTACGTATTTCTTGGGGAACAAATATCTTTGTGTTTGTCTCCAGGCACTCACCTCTTGATTATACTCTGATACCATAACCAAGCTTCTGCCCTACAAACCTGTTGTCCCCAAGGCCCCATGATTGCTAAATCCAAAGAGTATACTTTAACCTTTATTACATTTGCCTTTTGGGTAGCATTTGACATTAGAGAAAAAATAATGTTTCTAAATTGCATATCTGTAATAATAATAACAACAACTACCATATACTAAGTACCTAACATGTGCTAAGTGTTTTATACATGTTGCCTTATTTAAGCCTCACAATGATTCCATCTCATTTAATGAGAAAATGGAGGTAAAGTAACTAGCCAATAGATATACAGAGAGTAAGAGAAAGAACTCAGATTTGGAATCCCTTAATGACTCCGTCTCAAATGACTCTAAAATCCATTCCCTTAATGACTACGCTATTTTCAGACCTATGTAGCATGCTGCCTACTGGTCGGTCCCTCTTGGATTACAAAGTAAATTCAAAATGATCAAGCCTAAAACTAAACATATCTTCTCAACCCCCGACAAACCCTTCTTCCAGTATTATCTACTTCTCTAAATGGTACCATTATCCACCAAAATGCCCAAATCAGAAACAAGAAGGCTTTCTTTAAAAATTTCTCTCTTCCAAGTCCTACATCAAATTGATCATTTAATTCCGTCAACTCATTCCCTTAACTTCTCTCCAATCTGCCCATCCCCACTTTCAGAGTTTGGGTTAGGCCCTCATCATGTCTCACCATAACAACTACAAAAATTTCTGAGACAGAATTCTCATCTAGAATGCCATCCACTTCTAATCAATTCTCCACACACTGTCAAAGTGATCATTCTAAAACTCAAATGTTGGTGAGAATGTGAACAACCTGGATCACTCACATACTGCTGCTGGTAGGAATGCAAAATGGTACAGCCACTCTGGAAAATAATTTAACAGTTTTTTTAAAACACTAAATACTTCTCACGTTACCCAGAAATTGCCATCCTGGGCATTTATCCCAGAGAAGTGAAACTTAAGTCCACATAAAATCTTATGATTTTTCATAACAGTTATATTTGTAATAGCAAAAAAAAAACTGGAAATAATCAAAATGCCCATCAATAGATGAATGGTTAAACAAATTGTGGGTATATCTGTCAATAAAAGGAAACTATCAAAACTATTGATACACACAACTTGGATACAAGGGCATTATACTAAGTGGGGGGAAAAAGCGCCAATCTCAAAAGGTTACAGGTATAATGATTTTGCTTATACAACTTTCTTTAAATGGCAATATTAGAGATAAAAAAAAAAATGATTAGGGCTGGGCATGGTGGTTCATGCCTGCAATTCCAGCACTTTGTAAGGCCAAGGTGGGGGAGACTTGAGGCCAGAAGTCTGAGACCAGCCTGGGCAACATGGCAAAACCCTGTCTCTACTAAAAATACAAAAATTAGCTGGGCATGGTGGTGCACACCTGTAGTACCAGCTACTTGAGTGGCTGAAGCACGAGAATCACTTGAACCCAGGAGGCGGAGGTTGTAGTGAGTCAAGATAGCTCTGGAGAATAGCCAAAGGTCTACAGCAACCAAGAAAATGCTGAACCAAGAAAGTGGGCAGACCACTTGAGGCTGGGAGTTCCAGACCAGCCCGGACAACATGGCAAAACTCTGTCTCTACCAAAATAAAATACAAAAACTAGCCAGGCACTGTGGCACATGTCTATCATCCCAGTTACTTAGGAAGCTGAGGTCGGGGGGTTAACTTATACTGCGAGGTCAAGGCTGCAGTGATCCATGATTGTGCCAACGCACTCCAGCCTGGGTGACAGAGTGAGACTGTGTCTCAAAAAAAAAAAAAAAAAAAAAGGAGCAACTTACTATCTAAAGCAATCTGCAGATTCCATCAAAATATCAATGACATTCTTCACAGAAATAGAAAAAAAATCCTAAAATTTGTATAGAACCACAAAAAACAAAGCAATCCTGAGCACAAAGTTGGAGGTTTCACACTACCAGACTGTAAAATATACTACAAAGCTGTAATAACCAAAACAGCATGGTACTGGCATAAAAACAGACACATAGACCAATGGAACAGAATAGAGAACCCAGAAATTAATTCACATATCTACAATCTACAATCAACTAATCTTTGACACAGATGCCAAGAACACTCATTGGGAGAAAGGATGGTCTCTTCAATATATGGTCTTGGGAAAACTGCATCTCCATATGCAGAAGAATAAAACTAGACTTCATCTCTCACCCTATACAAAAATCTACTCAAAATGGATCAAATACATAAATGGAAGACCTGAAAATATAAAACTACTAGAAGAAAACATAGGTGAACTGCTTCAGAATATTGGTCTGGGAAAATTTTATAAGCCCTCAAAAGTACAGGCAATAAAAGCAAAAATAAATACATGAGATTATATATAACTAAAAAGCAATCAACAGAATGAAAAGACAAACCAGAAAATGAGAGAAAATATTTGCAAATAACTCATGTGACAAGTGATTAATATCCAGAATATACAAGGAACTCAAACACCTCAATAGCACAAAAATACAATCTGATTTTCAAATGAGTAAATGATCTGAACAGACATTTCTTAAAAGATATATAAAAATGGCAGGCTGGGCACGGTGGCTCACACCTGTAATCCAGCACTTTGGGAGGCCAAGGCAGGTGGATCACTTGAAGCCAGGAGTTCAAAACCAGCCTGGCCAACATGGTGAAACCCAGTCTCTTCTAGGAAAAAATACAAAAATTAGCCGAGCATAGTGACACTCACCTGTAGTCCCAGCCACTTGGGAGGCTGAGGCAGGATAATTGTTTGAACCTGGGAGGTGGAGGCTGCAGTGTGCTGAGATTGTGCAACTGCACTCCAGCCTGGGCAACAGAGCAAGAGCAAGAGTGAGAGAGAAAGAGAGAGAGAGAGAGAGAGAGAGAGAGAGCGCGCCAAGAAACACATGACAAAATGCCCAACATCACTAATCATCAGGGAAATGCAAATAAAAAGCACAATGAGGTTTTATTTCACCCCAGTTAGAACGGCTATCATCAAAAAGACAAAAAAAAGCAGATTCTGGCATGGATGTGGAGGAAAGGGAACTCTTAAAACACTGTTTGTGGAAATGTAAACCAGTAGAGCCACTATTGAAAATACGATGGAGGTTCCTAAAACAACTACAAACAGAAGTACCATATAATCCAGCAGTCCCACTATTGGGCATTTATCCAAATGAAAGGAAATTAGTATATCTAAGAGACAACTGTACTTGCATGTTTGTTACAGCATTATTCACAATAGCCAAGATTTAGAATCCACCTGGGGTTCAACAACAAATGAATGGATAAAGAAAATGTGGTATATACAAATGGAATACTATTAAACTATAAAAAAAGAATGAAATCTTGTCATTTGCAACAACATAGATGGAGCTGGAGGACATTATGTTAAGAAAAATAAGCCAGGAACAAAACATTAAACATCACACGTTCTCACTTATATGTGGAAGCTAAAAAATTTCATCTCATAGAAGTAAAAAGTAGAATACAGGATACTAGAGGCTGGGAATGATAGGGAGAAGGGAGGGATAAGGAGAGATTTGTTAAAGGTTATAAAATTACAGCTAGATAAGAATAAGAAGTTCTAGTTTTCTATATCACTGTAGGATGACAATAGTTACTAAGAATATAATTTCAGGCCACACATGGTGGCTCACACTTGTAATCCCAGCACTCTGGGAGGCTGAGGAGGGTGGATCGCTGGAGCCTGGAAATTAGAGACCAGCCTAGGCAACATGATGAAATCCCATCTCTACCAAAAAATACAAAATTTACCTGGGCATGATGGTATGTGCCTGTTGTCCCAGCTAATCCTGAGGCTGAGATGGAAGGATCCTTTGAGCCTGGGAGGCAGAGACTGTAGTGAGCCAAGATTGTGCTACCACACTCTAGCTTGGGCGACAGAGACCCTGTCTCAAAAAGAAAAAAGAAAAAAGAAAAAAAAATAAATATAATTTCAAACAGCAAAAAAAAGACACTGAATGTTTCCAACACCAGAAGAAGATAAATGTTTGAGATCATGGATATGCTAATTAACCAGATCTGATCACCAAGCATTACATGTATAAAAACATCACCATGTACCCCATGAACATGTACAATAACTATTTGTCAATTAAAAAATTTAAAAGAGGAAATGTTCTTGTACAAAAGCTTTGCAGCATTTTTGATTGCCCTTATTGACCCCCCCCATAGGAAAAGAGCCTGTTGCATGACAAGAGTGATGCCACCTTGAAGTGAAACTACCATGATGACCATGATGACTCCTGCAGCAAGGTCTTTAAGAATGCCTGTAACATGGAAAACGTCTCATAAATAAACAATCCCTGTAGCATAAATAAAGATGCTTATCTAATCTCCCCAGTAGTCACGTTTCACAAGAAAGTCTGAAGCATGACAAGCTACACAAATCTTTACCCTAAAAGCTTGCTTTACAAAGGATATTTTCTGGAGGGCAGGTAGAGGGATCCACCATCTCATGCCCACCCAAGACATTGCTTCTGTTCATAAGTCCTATTAAATGTTTCTTTCTGAAGAACGGGATTTTTCAGCTTGCTTTCTTCAGCATCTCAGCACCTTTGGCAGCAGTCTTGAAGACAGCACCCATTTCCAGTGTGGGACCTTGGTCCCTGGTTGTGGAGGGAGCACAGACCTTATGCTTAGAGAATTGTGTTTGTCTGTTCTAACTTATTTGGCAGTGTATTAGTCTGGATTCTCCAGAGAAACACAACCAACAGGAAAGAGGGAATGAGAGAGAGAGAGAGAGAAAGAGAGAGAGAATAAAAAAAAGAGAAAGAGATTGATTTACTACAAGGAATTGGCTCATTGAAGTATTGAAGGTTGAGAAACCCAAGATCTGCATCAGTAAACTAGTGACCCAGGAGAGTCAATGGTATAGTTCCAGTCCAAGTGTATTAGTCTGTTCTCACAATGCTAATAAAGATATACCCAAAACTGGGTAATTTATAAAGGAAAGGGGTTTAATTGACTCACAGGTCAGCATGGCTGGAGAGGCCTCAGGAAACTTACAATCATGGTGGAATGGGAAGCAAACACATCCTTCTTCACATGGCAGTGGCAAGGAGAAGTGCTGAGCAAAAGTGAGAAGAGCCCTTATAAAACCATTGGCTCTCATGAGAACTCACTATCACAAGAACAAGCATGGGGGTAACCGCCCCCATGATTCAATTACCTCCCATCAGGTCCCTCCCATGACATGTGGGGATTATGAGAATGACAATACAAGATGAGATTTTGATGGGGACACAGCCAAACCATATCACCAAGTACGAAGGCCTGAGAAACAGGAGAACAAATGCTGTAAGTTCAAGTCCAAGAATGAGTCCAAAGGCAGAAGACTAAAGTCCTAGCTCAAACATATTCTGGCCAAAAGAAAGAATTCTTTCTTACTCAGCCTTTTATTTTATTAAGGCCTTCAACAGACTGGATGAGGCTCATCCATGCTGAGAAGAGCAATCTGCTTTACTCAGTCCAATCCAAAAATGAATCTCATCCAAAAACACCCTCACAGACAAACTAAGAAAAAAATGTTTAGCCAAACATCTGGCAATCCATGATGCAGTCAAATCGACACATAAAATTTACCATCAGAGAGTACTACTTGAAAGAATGACAGAAGGCACCTGACTTTGTTTTACATAACTTGAAACCTATTCAGCATGAAAAAAAAACAGCTACACAAAAGACATTCCTCAAAAACATTGTAAGACAAATGGACAACATGCTGCCACCTAGGACAAAGAATTACAATTGAGGCAAATAATAGATGCAGTGAAAGCCTGCAAGGAAAAGCTGGGTAGAGTTTCTCTGGGAAATTATTCAAAAGTGTCTCCATATACTGAGGAATTTAGAAGCTATGCACGTGCCTAGGACAGGATGCATGTTCAAAAACAATCTAAAAAGACCCTAAGCTTTTACTTCTGGCTTATCTTTGGGCTCAGCACAAGCAGGGAGTGAAGGCTTAGGCAGAGTTATAAATGGCCTCGCTAAGTACTGAAAGCATGCTCTAACACACAGCCAATCTTCAAAGGTTGGAAGAGGGTTTTTTGTTGTTGTTGTTGTTGTTGTTGTTTCTTTCTTTTCTTTTATTACTTTATTCTATTCTAGGATAGCTCCTGGTGATCAGGAAAATATCTATCAAAGCACCCCTGAACACAAGCTAAAGGAATAGAGACATCAGAGACCACACAGGACAAAGAATACAGACTTTACAAAGATCATATAGAAAAGTCACTAAACAAGCAAACAACTATATTTCACAGGAAGCAATAACAACAACAACAAATCCTAAGAAGAGAGAAGAATCTGATGTCCAGAGTTAGCATATTTTAATATTCAAATGTCCAGTCTCCAGCAAAAACATTATGAAGCATGCAAAGAAACTAGAAAGTATGGTTTATTTACAGAAGAAATTAATATAAGCTCTCCCTAAAGAAGCACAAACACTGAACATATTAGACAAAAATTTAAAATCAACTGTCTTAAATATGCTCAGAGAGGTAAAGGAAACCACAAAGAGTTAAAGGAAACCAGAAGAATGATGTGTTAACAATAGAAAATATCAACAAAGATAGAAATTATGAAAAGAAACCAAGTAGAAACTGTGAAGCTGAAAAATACAATAACTGAAATGAAAATTTACTAGAGGGTTGCAATAGCAGATTTGAGCAGGCAGAATAAAGAATGAGTGAACTTACAACTGTTGACTACAATCAAAATTATCCAGACTGAGGAGTATAAAGAAAAAAGAAAGACCAGGCGCGGTGGCTCACACGTGTAATCTCAGCATTGTGGGAGGCTGAGACAGTAGAATCACTTGAGCCCAGGAGTTCAAGACCAGCTGGGGCAACATAGTAAGACTCTGTCTTTACAAAAATTAAAAAAAAAAAAGTTAGCTGGGTATAGTGGTATGTGTCTGTAGTTTGAGCTACTCGGGAGGCTGAGGTGGAAAGGCCTCTTGAGCCCAGGAGTTCATAAGGCAGTGAGTCATAATTCTGCCTGTCAGCCTGGGTGACAGAACCAGACTCTGTCTCAAAAAACAAAAAAGAAAAAAGAAAAAAAATGAAGAATAATTATTGGAGTCTTTAAAAATCTATGGGAATAATCAAGAGTACCACCATACACATTACAGGAGTCCCAGAGGAGAAGAAAAATAAAACAGTGGAAAAAGATGTTGAAGAAATAACCAAAAGCTGCCCAGATTTGGTAAAAGACAGGAACCTATGCACCCAAGAATCTCAACAAACTCCAAGAAGGATAAATATAAACAGTTCCACACTGAGACACATTATAATCAAATTGTCAAAAGACAAAGACAAAAAAAAATCTTAAAAGTAGGGAGAGGAAAGATTTGTCACATACAAGTGATTCTCAATAATAAGAACATCTGATTTCTCATCAGAAACTATGTAGGCAAGAAGGCAGTGGGATAACATAGTCAAAGTGCTGAAAGAAAAAGACTATCTACCAAGAATTCTATATTCAGCAAAGTGTCCTTCAAAAACAATGGAGAAATTAAGACATTAGCACGTAAATAAAAGCTGAAGGAGTTTGTCACAAGTAGACCTATACTATAAGAAATACTAAAGGGAGTTCTTCAGGCTTAAATGAAAGAAAACTAGATGGTAACTAAAAGCTCTAAGAAGAAATCAGGAAGTTAGATAAATATAACTACATCAGTAAATACAAAAGCCAGGATCGCTATGTTTTTGGTGTGTAGTTCCCTTTTTTTATATGATTTAAAAGACAAATGCATAAAATAATTACAAATCTATGTTAATGAACACACAATGTATATAGATGCAATCGGTAATAATAGAAACATACAGGAGAGGACTCAGCTGTTTAGGGGCAGAGTTTTTGTATGCTGTTGAAACTAAGTTGGTATCAATCCAAACTAAGGTAGTATAGATTTAGGTGGAAACAACCCAAATGTCAATGGAGGAACAGATAAATAAAATGTGGTATACACACACACACACACACACACACACACACACACAAAATATGGAATACTGTTTAGCCACAAAAAGGAATATAGTACTAATCTACAACATACAATGTTTGATATATAAACCTCAGAAAAAAACTGTGAAGGAAGCTATACATAAAAGGTCCATATTGTAATATTGTATGATTCCATTTATATGAAATATCCAAATAGGTAAATTCATAGAGACAGGAAGAAGATTGGTGGTTGCCTAGGACTGTGGGGAGGGGAGAAGAGAGAGTGACTGCTTAAGGGGTATGAGATTTCCTTTTAGGATGATAAAAAATGTTTTACAGGTGGTGGTTGCAGAACATTGTGAATGCATTAAATGTCATTGAATTGTACACTTTAAAATGGTTATTTTAAGTGAATTTTACCTTAATTTTTTAATTAAAAGCCCTGACCATGCTGAAACATGAAAATGTTCATTTTGTATTACAATCATACACCATAGGAAGTTTTCTTAAAGAGGAAACAGAAAATAACAGCACACACTGCAGAGTAATGTTAAGTAATGCTTTTAAAGCTTTTTGTTTAATTGAGTTTTGTGTATTTATTAAGTTACAATGTACAATATTTCTGTGGGTTGCAAAAAAAAAAAAAAATGGAAAGCCCCTGAAAATAAAATCCTGCTGCTACACTCTTTTAATTATTCTTCTGTGGGAGGTATGGAAACATGCAATTCTGATCTTTTCTTAAAAAAAAAAAAAAAGTCATTGAGCTGTGAGGAGTGCAGTTAGCTGACAGCTTCTGGCTGCAAAGCCTGTGAGATCTGTTAAAGCCTTTGTGCCAAGGCCATGTTCTTCCCAGGCAGCCTCCAGTCTGGCAGATACCAGGGCCTGGCCATGCCTGCCCACTACAGGACTTCTCTGATGGGCAACCCCAAATCTTCCTATTGAGTCAGCCAGGACTTTGTCAAATCTCTACTGCATTCTTAGACTGCACCTACCCAATTCCACTTTCATCAGTCTTTCCTGTCAGATCTGTATCAAGATCTGAAGATTTACCAGGTCCAGTTCTTCTTCCTCCCCCTTAGTCTTTCACAGGACCTATTTCCCAATAATCCTAATTCCAATTTGGCATCAGCTTCCTGGGTGATCTGAACTGATATATCCTCATAACACTTATCACAATTTGTAATATGATTATGGGTTTGTATATTGTCTCCATCACATAGCAATTTCCTTGGCAGCCTTTTTCACTGAAGGGTCCTCCTGTCACAAAACCTGGGTAACTTCCTCACTGACTCCCTCCTGTAGCCTATACAGGGGAGTAGTGCTTTTACTTTGTGCCTTACATAAGGGCACCCAGCTAAGAGACTGAGAGGGGGCTGAAATCCTGTTTCAGGGCTATATCTGCCAAGAGTAGAATTTCTCAACCATGGCACTGCTGATATTTTAAAATAGTTAATCCTTTGTAATGTTGGGGGGGCTGGCCACCCCACCATTACACTATGACGTTTAGTAGTATATCTGTCCTCTACCCACAAGATGCCACTGGTACCCTCCCTAATTGTGACATTTATAAATGTCTCCAGACATTGCCAATTGTCCCAAGGGGGGCAAAACTTTTCCTGCTTGAGAACCCTTGGCCTTGAGGAAACATCGTTTTTCTACTTTCTCCAAAAGTACTGCTACAACTTTTCACGGTCCTGGGAATATTCCTCCAGGCTAAGCATGCCCAGATGCCTTGGTAGCAACTCGCACACAGTGTGAAGCTTTCTGTCTCTTCCTTTCATGTCCGTTTTTTTGGACCCTACATGGGTCCGCATGTGTTCCCATGAGGTATAGGCCTAGGATGGGACAGATTATCCCAGGTGGCTGTGAACTGCAAATCCATGTCCAACCATTTTCTCATTATGGTCTCCCCTCCGAGCGGACAAAAACTTAAAGGAGGGCCAACCCTGGTCAGCACTGAAACTGCCTTTGCAAAATTATGACTGGGACAGTGAAAGAAATATAAATTAACTGACTCCATCTTGCTTCTAACCTCCAAGCTGTCCTTGTTCATTCCTGAGTGTAGGTTGAACTAACTTTCGGAGAAACTTAGTTTGTAGTTTATAGTTCGAACAACGACGGTAATAGCCCTTACCTAAAGCAGACCTCCTTCTTGCCTAGAGACTGGATTGCCTTTGTAGAACATTAGCCACAATATTAGAAATTATGGTTTAGGAGTCATGCAGCTGGAGGCTACAAGATTCTGCCCCTCCTTAAACTGCTCCCAAGATCAGTGCTTATTTTTCAGACCCAGCACTTAGGGGATCAGCTGGCACCACCCAGATCAATAAACTGGCTCATCTGATTTTGTGACTCCCCAAACCAGAAACACTCAGCGCAAGAAGACAGCTTCTACTCCCTATGATTTCATCCCTGACCAATCAGCACTCTAGTTCACTGGGTTCCCCGCACCAAATTATTCTCAAAAACTCTGATCCCCAAAAGCTCAGGGAAGACTGATTTGAGTTATAATAAAACACTAGTCTCCCGCACAGCCGGCTCTGCGTCAATTACTCTTTCTCCATTGCAATTTACTTGTATTGATCAATCAGCTCTGTCTAGGCAGCACGCAAGGTGAACCCCTTGGGCGGTTACAGCATGTTGCCATTTAAGGGACAGAGGTACTGTCCCTTGGCCTCTAGGCTTTCTCATCACACTTTCTTATCCACAAACTGTTTAATCCAATTTTGCTTGGAAAATTACTAGTCATCTTATGTAAATTCCTGTGGCCATTCACATTGGGACATACTACATACTACTTCCTTCTTACATGAGAAGTGGCTAATTTAAAAAAAGTGTGCATTTCTGAGTGCCTGCTGTTAATACTTCAGGGTTCCTATTTTGTCTAAATGTGTGAGCCACGGCCATCTTCATCAGGCACAGAAACGTCCTATACCTCAATTTCAGGTGCTTTAAAATCTGAATGACCATCCCTTCAAACTTCCTCTATCAAAGTATATTTCATACATGCCATTTAACCTGTTTTAAGGTGGGTTTTTCCCAAAAAAGTAGTGCAAATCCATGTCCAACCATTTTCTCATTATGGTGTACAAGAAAGAAACTTCATTTTATCCAGGTAAGTTTGCTTCCTTTCCCCCTACCTCCAACTGTTTTTCCTTATTTGCATTCACGTGGATGTTTTAAATTTATATTTTGGATTTTGATTATTCAGTGTGTACAAAATTTAGTACATGCAGGATTTAGAAGGGACTGCAAAAGTCACTTTAAAAAAAAATTACCACCTTTTCAGTAAAGCCTCTTAATGGGGAAATGTGGTATGTGACTAGAAGTTGACTAATTTTCTTAGATGGAAGTATAAAATAAAAAGAAGCTCTGTTGTCACAAATGCGGATGGGGGGAAGAGGACAGACTTCATGCAGGACTGGAGTTGGACAGGGTTCAGGGCTGAGAACACACCTTACTACCCTGGCTTCCCCTTCTCTACTTTCAAGACTGAACCAATGTGCCCTATACAAGGCGAAGAATACACCCGGTCACTCCGCGGTGGTTAGAGTGGAGATTCACTGGGTGCAGTCTAAAGCGGGACGCAGTCTGGGGGCCACCGTCACAAGCTGCTTACAGCAACCTAGAGTTGTCGAGATTAATGTTTCTGGAATGTGAAGTGACTTAAAAAAAAATTAATCACTTCCTGGCTCGGTGCGGTTGCCTGTAATCCTGGCACTTTGGGAGGCCGAGATGGAGGATCGCTTGAACCCAGGAGTTCCAGACTAGGCTGGGCAACATGGTGAGACCTCCTCTCTACAAAATAAAAATAAGCCAAGCATGGTCGCGCGCGCCTGTAGTTCCAGCTACTCGGAGGCTGAGGTGGGAAGATCCCTTGGAGTTCCAGACTGCAGTGAGCCGTTATTGCGCCACTGCACTCAGGCCTAGGCGACAGAGCGAAACCCTGTCCCCCACGCCCAAAAAATCGTATTTCCTGAGGGAACAGTTCCAACTAAACATCCCACTTTGTGCGTAACTTTACATTCAATCCATCATCACCTCAAGAACAAAATGTTCTTTCTCCGCCTCAAACATGGAGGACAGAAAAACAGAAGTTCTCTCAAACCCACCAAGCACGCTGTTTTCCTGAGACGGAAAAGAAGGATAACAGCCGCTACGGCGCACAGCCTGTAGGGGAGGACGGCAACCAGGAAAGGCCAAACTTAGCCGCAGTAGTGCCGGGGCGTGCTCGCGGCCCACGGCGTCCCACGTCGTCCCACGTCAGCCTTGTCCCGGCAGAGCTTCACGAGAGGAAAGGCGGGATTCAGGGTGGGCGCGTGCCCTACGAAGACGAAACGAACTTTGAAGACAACTAGAGGAGCTCGCCCCCTGCCTGTGACAGCTTAGGGTCGCCTACTTTTTGTGGACACACTGCCGTCCACGGAGTGCAGAGGCCGCCTGCAGTTTTCTTGCGTCCCTGTGAGACGCACGGTGGCGCAATTCCCGAGCGTGCCAATCCCGGGCTGGCTGGAGGGCGGGCTCTTCAAATTTGAATTGCGGAAGTGTTTTGTGTGTTAGAGAACGTCGCGGAGGAGGTAAGCGTCGCTTGGCGCCTGGCCGCCGCGGGCAGGATACACCGTGGGCCTGAGGCGCGAGCCCGGCGGCGTGCGGCCCTCTCTCCGCGCGGAGCCGAGCCGGAACTGCGGCAGTCTCTCCCTGCCAGGCTCTTCATCCAAGGTACGTCCTCCCCGCGCCCTCCGCTAACCTCCTACCGCGGGTCCCCGCAGATGGTGGGCGTCTGCCCTTTAAGCATCTCGGCTCACGCGGTTTTATTTATTTTTTTTGTAGATTTCTGGCTTTGGTACGGATTTTATACTTCGCACTCGATGTTTACTTGTTGCGTGTCTACTGTACTTAAGAGAGTAGAACACGATTGCTCAAATTTATTTCGATGGTGAGCGTTCTAGGTCTTTGTTCTAAAATAAATTTTTTTTTTTTTTTTTTAGAATACCAAGTGGGAAAATTGTATTCCTCAGTACCCAACTCTTCCCCTTGGGACCCCAGGACCCACAGGGCTATAGAAGCAGTTGATCATTCAGCTTATGTTTTCTTCTGGTTAAATTGCATGCTTGTTGCAAACATCTTTAGATGTTAATAAAATTATTTAGAAAATGGTCGGGCGCGGTGGCACACGCCTGTGATCCCACACTTTGGGAGGCCGAGGCGGGTGGATCTTTTGAGCTCAGGAGTTCAAGAAAATGGTAGGCCACTTCATCCTGGCCTTCAAAGATAAACACTGTTTACAATTTGGTTCACCGCTTCCAGAGTTTTTCTCTATGCCTGTATGTGTTTTATTTATTTACTTAAAAATTTTTTTAAACAAATGCAATTCTATGTTGTTACTTTCTTTTTCAATTTAATGTTTCTTGGATACTTTTCCATATAAGTACATATATATCTTTTTATTGAATACATAGAGTAAATTGTATGGATGTGGCGGGATTTATTTTGTCCTTTATTGGTAGACATCTGGGTTGTTTCATTTCATTTTATGCTGCAGTGAACTTCCCTGTGTAGTGGGTGTGTAGACTGTTGCCTGTTGGTAAATAACTGAAGCTATGGAGTCGGGTAGAATCGGTTCCTCTTTCTCACTTATTGTCAAGTGACCTTGGGCAGCTTACTTAACCACCTTATACCTTAATTTCTCTTTTTTCAAATTGGGAGTAATAACAGTACTTAACTCTTTAGAGTTGCTGTTAGATTATATAGTGGCTGGCATGTAAATATTCAGTAAATATCGGCAATTATGGTACATATATATTTGCATTCTTACGCAGATGTTTCTATAGGAAAAAACAAGTTAGAAGTGGAATTTCCGTGTCAATAGTATGCATACTTGCATTTTGAAATTAATATTTACCAATGTGATATGAAAAAGAAATCTCACTGTTTTAGTTTGCATCTCCATTTATTAGTAAAATCAGGTGTCACAACTCGTTTATTGGCCTTTTGTATTCTATTAATCACCTTTCATGTCCCATGACCATTTTCTGTTTTGTATATTTTTTAAAGTTGATTTATTAGGTCTCTTTGAATGTTATTTAAATTAGCCCTTTGTCATATGTGCTGAGTATTTTTTTCAAGTGTATCATTTGCCTGTTAACTTAAAATTCTATTTTCCCCCTAATTCTATGTCCCAGTTTTGGTTAGTGTGCTCTGGGATTTTTGACCCATTCCATAGTAATAGTTATTACTACTACCACTACAGTAAATTCTTACAAGAACTTTCCATGTTTTTTGGGAGGAGGAGGAGGAGTAGTTACATTCAGGATCATATACATAATTGTTTAGCTTCAGTTCTGTATTTATATATGTCACTTGTAACTGACTGGGATACGTTCTGAGAAATACATTCTCAGGTAATTTTTGTCATTGTGCCAATATCATAGAGTGTACTTATAAAAACCCAGGCTATATATTATAACCTATTCTGGGCTTCAAACCTGTACAGCATGTTACTTTACTGAATACTGTTGGCAGTTGTAACACAATGATAAGTATTTGTGTATCTAAACATACCAAAATATAGAAAAGGTACAGTAAAAATAAGTTTAAAAAAAAGGTACACCAAAATAATCTTATGGGACCACTGTGTATGTGGTTTGATGTCATTATGCAGTGCATGACTGTACTATAAATGCTTATGGCCAGCCCTTTTTTTTTTTTTTTTTTTTTGAGGCAGAGTCTTGATGTCTCGCCCATGCTGGAGTGCAGTGGCGCGATGTCGGCTCACTGCAAGCTCCGCCTCCCGGGTTCACTCCATTCTCCTGCCTCAGCCTCCCAAGTAGCTGGGAATACAGGCGCGTGTCACCACGCCCGGCTAATTTTTTGTATTTTTAGTAGAGACCGGTTTTCACCGTGTTAGACAGGATGGTCTCCATCTCCTGACCTCGTGATTCGCCGTCATTCGCCTCGTGATCACTTGGCCTCCCAAAGTGCTGGGATTACAGGCGTGAGCCACCGCACGCGGCCTGGCCAGCCCTTTCATCCAATGGTTTTCCCATTCCCATGTCTTTATGTTGAAAACAATTTTTTTTCCCTAGTACATCAACATTTGTCAGTTTTTAGAATAAGTTTTAAGGATTAGATTTTTCCAAACAACTTTAAGCAGTTAATGAAAACGGAAACATACTTTCTCCAGTCTGAGAGGAACTAACAATTTCTTGTTAGTGACCTCCATCTGTTAGGTCAACAAATGTGCTTGGCTTCAGGACAGGCGTTCTTTCCTCCACTTGCGGGTTGCTAGTTACTAAATCTCCACTAATGTCTGTGTTTCATCAGAGGCTGATTTCTTTGTTTAGCTGTTTTGACTAGGAAGGAAATGGAGCTTCAGATGTGTCCTGGATTATCTAGACCCAGTGGTTTTTCTTGTTTATCTATTCTGCAGAGCCTCTGTGGTCAGAGGAAATTGTAGACGATTTTTTTCTTGGCTTATATTGAGTTGCTGTTTATCACATGGTGGGAAAAAGGTCTCCTAGAGCAACTTTCTGTTTCTTTGGGAGGGGAAGTGGAATTTGAGGATTTTTTCAGAATCTTGGCTAATCACCTTTATCCTACTACTTGCCTGAATTAGGGGCAGGGACATTAGGAAACAGAAAGCTCTGTTTTGGTTCTTGGAGCCTTTCAACGTGACCACAATTATCTGACTTTAAATGAAGACAGTTCTGCATGTCCATTACAGGTTGGTTCTGTTTTCAGTGCTGCTCGCTTATTTGCATTTTTTACTTTCTGTTTAGCATTTCATTAGGCTCTGAGGAATTGAGATTGTGTAAACCTGAACATTCTTTGCCATTTTGTTTTGCAGTCTTCCAGTTTATTTTTATTATTATTATTATTTTCAGTTGGAGTCTCACTCCGTCGCCTAGGCTGGAGTGCAGTGGTGGTGCGATCTCAGCTCACTGCAACCTCCGCCTCCCAGGTTCAAGTGATTCTCCTGCCTCAGCCTCCTGAGTAGCTGGGACTACAGGCATGTGCCACCACATCCGGCTAATTTTTACATTTTTAGTAAAGACGGGGATTCACCGTGTTGGCCAGGCTGGTCTTGAACCCCTGACCTCAAGTGATTCTCCTGCCTTGGCCTCCCAAAGTGCTGGGATTATAGGCGTGAGCCACTGTGCTCAGCCGAGTTTATTCATTTTTGATTTTGAGAGATTGTATAGCTTTATTGCCTTTCTTTGAAATGAACAGCTAAGCCAGACATGGTGGCTCACTCCTGTATTCCCAACACTTGTGGGAGGCCAAATCAGAAGGATCACTTGAGCCCAGGAGTTTGAGACTAACCTGGGCAACATAGGGAAACTCTGTCTCTACAAAAAAATGTAAAAAAACATAACTCAGGTGGCTCATGCCTGTAATCCCAGCACTTTGGGAGGCTGAGGCAAGTGGATCACCTGAGGTCAGGAGACCAGCCTGACCAATATGGTGAAACCCCGTCTCTACTAAAAATACAAAAATTAGCCGGGTGGGGTGGCATGTGCCTGTGATCCCAGCTACTTGGGAAGCTAAGACAGGAGAATTGCTTGAACCCATGAGGTGGAGATTGCAGTGAGTCAAGATCGCATCACTGCACTCCAGCCTGGGCAACAGAGCAAGACTCCCTCTCAGAAACAAACAAACAAATAAGTAAAAAAAAAAAAACATAGCTGAGGTGCAGTGGCACACACTTGTGGTCCCAGCTACTCTGGAGGCTGAGGTAGGAGGATTGCTTGAGCCCAGGATTTCGAGGTTGCAGGGAGCCCTGATCACACCACTGCACTCCAGCCTGGGTGACAGAGACACTGTCTCAAAAATAAAACAGAAATGAAGTGAACGGCTAATATTATAACTTCTAATACAGAACCCCTGGAACTAGCACATCATAAACATATACATGCATGCGTTAATATGTATTTGCAGGATTCGTATGTTATGAAAGAATTATAGTGGTTTTTAGGAACTCCAGACTCCCAAGATAGCCTTCTTTGTTGGCTGTTGTAATTTAGGAATATTTTCCTTCTTTTTTTCTCTATTATCATAAATTATTGGATTAAATAATACTTTGTATATTAATTGCTTATTTCTCACAGAAGTTGCTGTAGATAAAGATACTTGATATTTTTTGGTCTGGCTATGTTAGAATTTTCTGTGATAGTTTTTTTTTATGTTTATATGATGTTAACTAATTGGAATAGTTATAAATTCAGCTATAAGAGATGCTGTAAATCTAGACTAGTAAGTTCCAGGCTCCTTGGATTGAAATGTTTTATTTATTTACCAAATATTAGTTAATGCAACTATATGGTTCCTTACCTAGAACCTTAATTTCTAGGTGTGAATAATAAAATTTATACATAAGAAACAAGTTGTGGCCGGGCGCGGTGGCTCACACCTGTAACCCCAGCACTTTGGGAGGCCAAGACAGGCAGATCACCTGAGGTCAGGAGTTTGAGACCAGCCTGACCAACATGGAGAAACCCTGTCTCTAGCAAAAATACAAAATTAGCCGGGTGTGGTGGTGCATACATAATTCCAATTCCAGCTACTCGGGAGGCTGAGGCAGGAGAATTGCTTGAACCTGGGAGGCGGAGGTTGTGGTGAGCTGAGATCACCACTGCACTCCAGCCTGGGCAACAAGAGGGAAACTCTGTCTCCAAAAAAAGAAAAAAAAAAAAAAAAAACGAAAGAAACAAGACTAAAACTACGTAAACTCAAGTACAGTATTTCTGCTAAAAATTCTAAATAGCACTACATTAAAAAAAATCAGAATGAAAACAATTTACCATTTATTTGAGGATTTTTCAACTAAGACCTTAAAATGTAAATGCTCTGGAGCATAAAAAATCAGGATTGGGTATTATTAACTAATTGAATAGTATTTTTTTAGCTTTTATTAGAATAGATCTTGTAGTTGCTGCCTTAAAATTTAACTGCCTAAAGGGAAAAATTATATTTGTGGAACTTTATCTTTTGTAACCTAATGTAGTGCCATATGCATATATCTTTTATTTTGTTTTATTTTATTTTATTTTATTTTGAGACAAGGTCTTGCTCTGTCACCCAGGCTGGAATGCAGTGGCACAATCATGACTCACTGTGGCCTTGACCTCCCAGGCTCAAGTGATCCTCCCTGCTCAGCCTCCCAAGTAGCTAGGACTACAGGCGTGTACACCATCACACCCAGCTCTTTTGTTAAGGAGACTTTAACAAAAATAAAATCTTAGTCTGATTTGTGATTATCTAGTATTGTTATGAACCAGTTAAACATTTTAATTAGTATAATGTTGTGGAAAGCAAATAAACTTTAAACATTTTCTGCACCAAAGCATGATAAAGGCTGATTTTACGTTGAACTACAGGTTTCTGTGGATCCCTTCTGAAGTTCTATCTGAAAATTGCGCTTAAGTGAATTTTCTGTTAGAAGAACTTGGTTGCTACTTTCTTGTCAAGATGATTGCAACACCTTTGAAACATTCAAGAATTTACTTACCTCCAGAGGCATCTTCTCAAAGGAGAAATCTACCCATGGATGCAATCTTTTTTGACAGCATTCCTTCAGGCACACTTACTCCTGTAAAAGATTTGGTGAAATATCAGAACTCCTCCTTAAAATTGAATGACCATAAAAAGAATCAGTTCCTAAAAATGACAACTTTTAACAATAAAAATATATTTCAATCAACTATGCTAACAGAGGCTACTACCTCTAACAGTTCTCTTGATATCAGTGCTATAAAGCCCAACAAGGATGGATTAAAAAATAAAGCAAACTATGAATCACCAGGAAAAATATTTCTAAGAATGAAAGAAAAAGTACTGCGTGACAAGCAAGAACAGCCATCAAGAAACAGTAGTTTGTTGGAACCACAGAAAAGTGGAAATAATGAAACCTTCACTCCTAACAGAGTTGAAAAAAAAAAATTGCAGCATACCTACCTATGTGAAGAAAAGGAAAACAACAAATCATTCCAGTCAGATGACAGTTCACTAAGAGGTTAGTTTTATGTGTTAGCTAAAAAGCTGTAATGTCTTAAGTGTTTAATGTTTCAGACACTGTTTTAGGTGCTCAGAATATAGCAGTGAACAAAATGGACAAAAATCCTTGCCCTTGTGTAGCTCATATTCACATGGTGGGAAGACATAATTAACATATTAAATAAGTAATTTTTATGGCTTAGTAGAAGAGGAAAAGTGGAAAGAGGAAAAAGCAGAATTAGGATGATGGGAAGAGTTGGAGGGGGATGTAATTTTCAGTGCGATGGTCAGAGTAATCTTCAGTAATTTGAATTTGGGAATTTGAGCCCACAAAATTGAATGAGATGACAGATACATGTATCTTGAGGAATGGGGAAGGATGATCTAGGCAGCTGTTATAAACGCCTTGAAATAGCATGCCTGACATGTTGAAGGACTAGCTATGAAGTTAGTGTGTCATGGAGTGAGTAGATAGAGCTCAGAAGGAAGGGATAAATAAGAGTGGGTCAGATAATATAAGGGCCTTGTAGGTAAATGTAAGAGTTTTGGCCTTTACTGTGAGCAGAATAAGCCATCGGAGGGTTTTGAGCATGTGAATGACAAGATCTGACTTATGAGGGTTTTTTTGTTGTTTTTTAGTTAACCACTGTGTACAATGACAATGTTTTTAAAATGTCACTCTGGCTGTTCTGAAATAGAGTTACTGCAGTAAGCCAGATGACAGCCGGTGTTGGCTTGGTTCAGGTGTTAGTAGTGCAGATAGTAAATGTGCAGATGGTAAATGGCTGGACTCTAGGACAGACGGAAGGAGGAATGGAGTGCGGGCTCATTAACTAAGATTTTGTTATGTTAATTTTGATAACCTCTATTAAAAATCTAAGTTTAGGTATTAGGGTGTTGGAAAAAACTAGTTGGAATTTAGAGAAGTGATCAAGGTGAGAAAAGTACATTGGGGAATCATTAGCACCTAAATGGTATTTTAAAAGCAATGAGATTAGATGAGGTCATCAAGGAGTAAGTGTAGAAAGAGAAAACATTCAAGAGCTGGGTCCTGGGGTACTCCAGCATTTGGAAGGTAGAATAAAGAGTAGAAAGGCCGGCCGGGCACGGTGGCTCATGCCCATAATCCCGTCACTTTGAGAGGCCGAGGCAAGTGGATCACCTGAGGTCGGGGGTTCAAGACCAGCCTGACCAATGTGGAGAAACCCCATCTGTACTAAAAATACAAAATTAGCTGGGCTTGATGGCGCATGCTTGTAATCCCAGCTACTCGGGAGGCTAAGGCAGGAGAATTGCTTGAACCCGGGAGGCAGAGGTTGTGGTGAGCTGAGATCACGCCATTGCACTCCAGCCTGGGCAACAAGAGCAAAACTCCATCTCAAAAAAAAAAGAAATAAAAAAGAAAAGAGTAGAAAGGCCACTGAGAAGATTGTGAGGAAGAAGAAAAACCAGGAGAGTGATACTGTGAAAGCCAAGAGAATGAAGTACTTTAAGGTGGGAGTTGACAGCTGTCTAATGCTCCTAATTGGTCAAGTAGGCTGAGATTCTACTGCTCGTTTTAGCAATGTGAAGGTCATTGGTGACTTTGATGGAGGGCAGCTTTGGTGGAATGGTAGCAACGAAAACATTGCGTGAAAGGGTTCAAGAGATAATGTGACAAGAGGAATTGGCAATAGTGAACATAGACAGCTCTTTTTGAGGCTGGCAAAGAAATAATGGCAATTGTAGTTTAAAGTTTTATCATTTTTAATACTTGGTGAAATACAGCATTTTTATATGCTGTTGGGAATAATGGAGTAGGAAGAAAAAAAATTGAAGTTGCTAGTATGATGCCCTTCAGTAGTTGAGAGGAAATATAATCTAATGCATCATTAGCGGTTTGACCAGAACACAGACAGACCAATTGTTAACTGAAAAGAAAGCCGTTTACACAGATGTTGGTGGATTATTATTTTATGACTTCACAAATAATTTGAAATAAGTAAAGTCATCAGCTGAGCAATATGGAAAACAGGTATTGAAGTTTGAGGAGGTAGAGATTTGAATAGTTTGGGAGAGGCCTAAATTTGATTTCCTGGGTAACACAGAAGAGCTGTTTAAGATTTGTGAACATGAATTTAAAATGGAACCAGTAAATATGGCTGTGAGTTTTCCTTTAGCCCTGTTTTGCTGCTAAGATGCTGGTGTAGAATTGGGGGGAGTTGGATTTAACTGGGTTGTAATTTTGCCAAATAGAATGAAGTGACAGAAGGACAAAGGAGGGTGTGTGTGAAGGAGTCATAATGAAATTTAAGCTGATTAATGAGGGCAAAGGATCTGAAGGAGATGAGGGATTGTGAAGTGTATATTTTATTTGGATAGTCACTGGATTTGAGAGAATGATCTGGAAAGATGACACTACAACAATTAAAATTGAGATTTTAATGAGTTTCAGTCACTGATAATGAAAGATATTTTACATGTATTATCTCTTTTAATCCTTTCAACGAACACATGGGTAGATGCCCATTAGTGGTCTATAAATGGGGATTGTAAAGAGTGTAAGTCCGCTTGCTCTATGTCTCATAGGTAGCAAGTAATAAGCTGATAACTGAATATAGGTATCTGTTAGAAAGCCCATGTTCTTAACCACTACACAGTAGGTTGTGGGTATATTGTTGCATTTCCAAGACAGTGACATATTCTAACACAGAGTTTTCTAAGGGAGTTTGGGGGTAGAAGTGGGGAGACTCACAAAGTCATCTATTTCTCATATAGCCTGGGAGAAAAGGAAGAAGCAAATGAAATAATACATATTAAAGTTTTTAAATATAATAAGGTAGCATTTGAGAGTAAGAAATACCTGACCATTTTGAGAATCTGGTGACCCTTTCCCCCAGAAAATATAAACACAAATAGAAACACAAATTTTGTATATACTTTTAGAAACCTTTTAGAGAGTCTACATGAACCTGGGACTCCCACATAAGTGAATAAATATAACTTATTGCATTTGATTGAATTACTACTGAATTGCCTTGCCATTTCTTGTAGAATGAGTTAAAGATATAGAAACTTATTGTTTCTTTTTGTGACACGTTGTTATAATGAAATCTTTATCTTAAGATTTCTGAGACCAAAGTGGCATACTTATTAAAGCATAGTCACTACCAGTTTTTTCAAGTATAAAATTTAAAATTAAACATATAAGATAATTCTTCTCAGGCTCAAATTTTAAGTCTATTATCATCCCCTTTTTGTGTGAAAGAAACTACATTCGAGAAACATTAAACTTTAAAAATCTAGGAGGTAAAGCAGAATAAGATGCAAGCAGTGCTATTAGTCCTTATTTATCTAGTTGAGAAACCTACAACTTCTGAGCATTTGAAGGCCTACTAAAAATTGTCTAAAGGATATAAATTATGGCTGAGTCTGCTGTTGCATCTCAACATTTTAATTTTTAAAGAATAAGTTACAATTCTTCGACTATCTTTCATGCTTTAGAAATTCACAGCAACCAGAAACAGAATCGGAATTTTCAAGACTGGGTGAAACTTTATATTGTAATCTTAACATATACATATCCAATTTGTGGCAGCACCAGAATTTCAGATCTCTAGGTTTCTAAGTCCAATACTTTTGTCTAGAGCTGGCGGGTTGTGTTCAGAGAAGGTTTTAAAAAATTCTTCCTCACCGTAATGTTGGTATAGAGAATGGGGTAAAGGTATGAGAAGATAATACAGCCAAAAATATAAAAATATATGTAACTGTCATATATTGCAAAAGTACTATACTGGTCTGATCATTACTAAATCTAAGTGTCTTTATTTCAAGAATTTTAAAAGCTGTTTTTTTCTTAGTGACTAATACAATTCAACTTCTTCTTTCTTTAAAAAATAAAACCTTAGCCTCAGTCCAAGGAGTTCCTCTAGAATCATCAAATAATGATATTTTCCTCCCGGTCAAACAAAAGATTCAGTGCCAGCAGGAAAAGAAAGCACCACTGCACAATTTAACTTACGGTAAACTATTTTTGGTTTGTTTTCAGTTTGTTACTTAAGTATATTGTTAAATGTTCTAGGTAATTACTTTCCTTGTGTGGGCATTAAACTTTAGCTGTGGACAAAAGCTTGAATCGTAAAAGAGACACTCAGAGAAAGACTGGGCAGGAGGGTGGAACGTTCCTAACCTAAATTTATCTCTTTTAATTTCCTGTGATCCTTCTATAATTGTTTTGTTTTGTTTTGTTTTGTATTTTTTGCAGAACTTCCAACTCTGAACCAAGAACAGGAAAATTTTTTGGCTGTAGAAGCCCGAAACAAGACATTAACTAGAGCTCAGTTGGCTAAACAAATTTTTCACTCAAAGGAGAGTATAGTTGCAACCACTAAATCCAAAAAGGACACGTTTGTTTTAGAAAGCGTTGATTCTGCTGATGAACAATTTCAAAATACTAATGCTGAGACTCTCAGTACTAATTGTATTCCTATTAAAAATGGCAGCCTGTTAATGGTTTCTGATAGTGAGAGGACAACAGAAGGGACTTCGCAACAGAAAGTTAAGGAAGGAAATGGAAAAACAGTGCCTGGAGAGACAGGTCTTCCAGGTTCCATGAAAGATACATGTAAAATTGTACTTGCAACACCAAGACTTCATATAACAATACCTCGGAGGTCAAAAAGAAATATTTCAAAGCTTTCTCCTCCAAGAATATTTCAAACTGTTACAAATGGACTTAAAAAAAATCAGGTGGGAAAACTTTTAAGACAGATATTTATTTCTATTTTTACCCCGTTCTTCAAGAGCTTGAGCTTTTAATGTTCTCTCATTATTTTTTTTCTAGCTAGGATTTGAACCTGTATGCTTCATTATTAACAGTGTCTTCATTATCATGTTTTATTATTTACTGCAGTGACAGTGTGACATAGTGAAAAGAACAGTGAGTTGAATGTAAGAAGACCCACATGTTAAGTCTTATTTTGCTCTATTACTAGTTGTGTAGTCTTCAATAATTTACTTGTTCCTTTTGGTGATGAACATTGAATTCATTCCTACTCTTTTTTTTCTGATACTTACAGTACTATTAAAATAGTTAGATTAATTAAGATAGAAAGGAACTGTAGCATCTGAAGATTTGAGAATTTTTCCCAAATTAAATACAGAGTAATCAATGAAAGACTTTAGAGCATTAAACTGTTACATTAGGACAAATTCTCTGAAGGAAGTGGAATGGAAATACAAGCTTAAGGAGGAAGATGCAGTGTAAAATTTCCAATTGTTAGAGGTTTGCCCATTAATTAATTAATTATTTTTGAGCTGGAGTCTTCCTCTGTCACCCAGGCTGGAGCACAATGGCGTGGTCTTGGCTCACTGCAACCTCCACTTCCTGGGTTCAAGCGATTCTCCTACTTCACCCTCCTGAGTAGCTGGGATTACAGGCGCCTGCCACCATGCCCAGCTAATTTTTGTGTTTTTAGTAGAGACGGGGTTTTACCGTGCTGGCCAAGCTGGTCTCTGACTCCTGACCTCAAGTGATCCTCCCGCCTCGGCCTCCCAAAGTGCCGGGATTAGAGGCGTGAGCCACTGCATCCAGCCATTAATTCTTAAATGTATGATGGTGGTTATCAAGTTGAGATCATGTATAAATTCCATCTAAATTTTAATTAATAATTAATTTTTTAAATGAGGCCTTACTCTGTTGCCCAGGCCAGCCTTTTGGGCTCAAGCAATCCTCCCACTTAAGCCTCCCTTGTAGCCATCTAAATTTTAAAGAGTGACATACCAGTTATGGTTTTATATCTCAATATATTCGCTAGAAATCCCATTATTGGAAAATATTTAAACTTTATTTATTTATCTATCTATTTATTTATTTATTTTGGAGACAGAGTCTCACTCTGTCACCCAGGCTGGAGTGCAGTGGCACAATCTCAGCTCATTGCAACCTCCGCCTTCCAGGTTCATGCAAATCTCCTGCCTCAGCCTCCTGAGTGGCTGGGACTACAGGCACATGCTGCCATGCCCGGCTAAATTTTTTTTTTTTTGGATTATTCTCATTAACATATAAACATGTTGAAACATGGCCTGCATTTTTTAAAAACATGCAAACAAAGGCCCATCTTTCCTTTATCCCCTGTCCAACTCCAGCTGCTACACTACTTTTTGTTTCCCTTATATAGCAAGACATTTGAAAGAGGTCTGTGTATTCATGGTTGGAGTTGAGAAGAATATTCTGTGCTGGAAACATATTGGAGAGCTATCAGCATAGAGATGGAATTTAAAACTATGACACTGGAAATACAGCCTAGAGAGTGCGTGTAGGTAGGGAGAAAATTGAGGGGGCAATTGAAAGGGCAATGTCCTTACCACCTAAAGTAAAAGGAAATGATTACAGGTGTGAGCCACCACGCCTGGCCCCAAAATGTCTTTCTAAAGAAGTGTTACGCTTTATATTTTGTATTCCAGGATCGTTCCTGATTTTCTGCTACATTGCTGCCCATCCCTTCTCAGTCCTCTTTGCTATTTCCTCTTTCTTTCCCCAGAATCAGTCCTAAAAATGTTGGAATTACTGCAGATCAGCCCTAGAAATTGTTTTTCTACCTACACGCACTCTCTAGGCTGTATTTCCAGTGTCATAGTTTTAAATTCCATCTCTATGCTGATAGCTCTCCAATATGTTTCCAGCACAGAAAATTCTTCTCAACTCCACACTCATGTGCAGTTGTCTATATGACTTTTCTATTGATATCAGATAGGCATCTCAAATTGAAAATGTGAGAAAATGTGAGATTCTTATTCTTGATTTCTTTACCATACCTTCTCCATTGTCCTGTATTAGTACATTGTAATACCATTGGCCCCAGTATTTAGGCAAAATTTTAGATTCATCTTGGACTCTTGTTTCTCTCTCATGCTCCACATCCAAACCATGAAGAAATCCCATTGGCTCTACTCTCCTGAATGCGGCCTCTTCTCACTGTTCAACCACTACCTCCTAGTCCAGGGATGACTGTCATAGCCTAGTGGTCTCCCTGCTTCCAGTATTGCTTTTCTCCTTTTTCAGTCTGTTTTCCAGACAAGCTAAAATCTTCATATAGTCTCATCTCTACCCAACAGTCCCTTAAAATATCAAATTTTGTCGTTCTGTTCAGAATCCCCAGTAACTTGTCATCTCAATAGAAAACACTAAGCCTTTACCATGGTTTACCGAGCTGTACTTAGTTAATCCTGGAGATCTCCAACCTCACCACTTATTCCCTCTCACTTACTCCTTTCAAATTATGCCTTCCATGCTGCCTACCTGGATCTCTGCGCTGACTCTCTGTGCTTAGAAGAATCTTTTTGCTGATATCCATGTGACTCATTGCTCACTTTATTCAGTTCTCTCTTCCAAGACGTTCCCTGACTGTTTTGTCTTAAAAAGCACCTCATTTATCTAATGCCTTTTATTTATTTTTCATAGTAATTACCACCACCTGACATTTTCATATTGGTTTAGATGCCATTATCCTGCTTGCCTCCACCCCCAACCCTAACACACACACAAGAATGTTGGCCCTAAGAGGGGCAGCTGTTTACTTTCTCACTCAATCTCCACTATCTAAAACAGTGTGTAGAACTCAACAAATATTTGTTGAATGAATAATGAATGAACATTTTGATATCTTATATAAGCAGTATAATAGTATGGTACAGGATTATTATCTCCATCTGACTGGTGCGTTGATATATCTCAGGTAGTTCCAAATGTGGGAGAAGGCAAAAAGAGAGTATTATTTACTGTTACTTCCCCAAGTCCTACCTATAATTTTTTACTTTTTTCAGAAAGAAACATTTAAAAGGGGCTTAAAAACAGAAGCCATATTTGTGTCTTGGGTGAGGGTAAGACAAGATGGTGGATCCCCTCGCCATTACTACTGAGACCCATGGCTTATAAACTATCCTACTTATAATTTTTTATTTTTATGTATTTACTTTTTGAGACAGAGTCTTGTTCCATCACCTGTTGAGGCTCACTGAAGCCTCGACCTCCCAAGCTCAAGTGATCCTCCCACCTCTGCCTCTCCAGTAGCTGGGACTACAGGTGTGTACCACCACACCCAGCTAATTTTTAAACTTTTTTTTGGAATCTTACTATGTTGCCCAGGCTGGTCTTGAACTCCTAGGCTCAAACAGTTCTCCCGACTTGGCCTCCCAAAGTTCTGGGATTACAGGTTTAAGCAACTGTCCTCAGCCATCACCTATAATTTTTTAAATGAACATAATCAACATGTGCCATAACAAAGACTGTCCCATTTTAATGTCTTTTCCTGACTCAGTATAAAACTACCACTGGAGAATTTGTTTTTATTTGTAAATGTGTAACTTTACATATAAAGTAAATTGCCACTCAAATTATTCCATAAATTTTGACTTTTTTTCTCATCAGAAGTAGTTCAATCTTAAATTTTATGAAATTTATATTCAAGAATTTCTTTGCATAGATTGTCATAAAATGTTTTCCATTAGAATGATATTTTACTTGTAGTAAGATAATAAAGAGTTCTCTGAGCTATTCAGATGTTTACTTTGGAATAAAATACTGTTAAATCTAGATTACCAGCAGTTACCTTTTTAGTTTGTAGAAAATTGGAATACAGGTCTAAACTTTACAAAAAAAAAAAAAAACTCTTAATTTTTTAAGGACAAAACATAGCTAACTCCTTTTCACTCCAAGTTACTGGGCTTTTTGCAGGACTTGGTGTTTTAATCTGTACCTTGGGATTTTACATGATTTTTGTCCCCACCAGTTGAGATTTGGTGATAGAGTATTTGAAGTATAATTGCTTCTTGATTGTAGAACAAATGCAATACAACCTGAATTCAGTCTTTTCTTTTCTGTTTCATTGTATACAAGAATTTTACCTATTGCTATTTAGAATAGAATGTGAATCTTACATCGATGACACTAAGGAATATTTGGATTACTTAGACAAGTTTTTTCTTTTAATGTAAGTTAATTTTGTAATGCTTGTGCTGCAAGTAATACAGGAAATATGTTCTTTGTTTTATACTTGATTAGGTAGTTCAGCTACAGGAATGGATGATTAAAAGCATCAATAATAATACTGCTATATGTGTAGAAGGAAAATTGATGTAAGTATACTATTTCATTATTCTTTTAATAAAACTTTAGTTATGTGTAAGCACTTAAGAGTTAATGCATGAGAAATAGCATCCTCCACAAAGCAAAGACCTAACAAGGTTATGAACTGAAGGCAAAAAAGTAAAATTACTGTGCAGGTCCTAGCCATGTTGATTGCTACCAGCTTTCTTGTTTTTGCATGTTTACTCAAGTTTTTCTTAAAATAATGACAGTTCAAATTTGTATAGTGGTTTATTTTTTTCTGAGGTGCTAATAAGTGGACTGGTATTATCTGCTTAATTATATATGATCAGTTAATATTTACTACATGCATTTCAGTCCAGATTCTCACATCTAAATTGGGACAACCAGATATAAATTACTGATCCAGAAAAGGAATCAAAATTACTTAAAACTTTGCCATACGGCTACATATTAAGTAATCATTGGCACTTTCTGGTTCTCCCTAAAGTGAGAGCATCACCAGGTAAGTGGGCTTTACCTAATTCTGCTACTCTATTAGCACCATTTCCTATTCTTCAAGACCAGTTTCTTAGTGCTACAAATATTTGTAATAAAAGGTTATAACTGTTCTCCAGCCTGGGTGACAGAGCGAGACTCTGTCTCAAAAAAAAAAAAAAAAAAAGTTATAACTGTTTAAGGTACTCATATGTAAGTTTATAAGTGAATGTGTAAAATCTGTATTGTCCATTCTTTATCTGTCTGCTTTATGCCCATTTCCTTACTATTAAAGATGCAGTGTAGATTGCCTTTGTTGGAATTCCATTGCTGCTGCCTACTATCTGTATTACCTGGACAAGTTATTTATCCCCTGTCAGTCTCAGTTTCTTCATTTGTGCAATATGGATAATGGTATTACTTACCTAGTTAGTTGTGCTGAGGATTAAATGAAAGGCTAGAGAACAGTGCTTTTTGAGTGTTATT